>NC_000002.12:189913860-190216890 GCF_000001405.40 Homo sapiens
GAGAATGAAGCATATCTTTTCCTTAGTGACTACAATAATCCAAATTAATATGAAAAAAGCCCTTTAGGTTATTGGTAGCTATGCTTAGACTATGCTTTAGAATATTCCATACGGAAATGAGGAGTAACTTTTATGTAAAATGCCAAATTGGCACTTTACACCTGTTAGTGTGTTTCGTTTAGAACAGCTGTGTCTTTTATTATCAGTAAACAGATGCAGAAAGTAATGGAATGTTTTAAAGCAATATGTTAATCCTGTCTTCCACTACTGAACTGTCTCACAATATAGTGATTAAATATTGACTGTGCAGCTGTTACGTACAATTATAGAATTTCTTAGTTAATTTCTCCTTCCCAAGCTCAAATGCTTTAATATTTAGAGATCTAGTTTCTAATCTTAAAGTGTTTCATAATGTAGTTTATTTATTACAAATTGATTTCTGAAGAGAAGTTATTTGAATACTACAGAGACAAATTCATGTTCTTAACATTCTTATTAAATGTTTCTATGAATTGACGAATGTTCTTGGTAGGATAAACAATTTAAAAATTTTATTTGTTTATTTTTCTTCCCTTGTTCATGAATATGAAGGTGATTATTGAATATAACAATTTTGTATGAAACTGCCAGCAGTAAGCTAAATAGGAAATTATGGCTATTTCATGAGACATTTATGAACCAGAGTGTATAATACTTTCTTAGAATGATGAGTATGCAAGTTATTTCAATTATAATAGCCCTTTTGCAGTTTAATTATGTTTTAATTCTTATATTTACCTTGTCAGAGAAGATATTTAAAATGTTGCTTCATTAATTATATGTATTCTTAAGCTTGAGGAACAGTTCTATTAGCTAAGATTGTTATTAATATCTAACATTTATTGTACTCTTAGTATATGAAAGGTATTGTGTGAGGCACTTTATTATAATATTCCTGCCCCATTTTATAGATGAGAAAATTGAAGCTTAGAGACATGAAGTAAATTGACCAAAGTCTTACAGCTAGGAAGTAGTAGAGCCTGGATTTAAACCCAGGCATTTTCACTCTCAAGCCTCTTGTTCTTAACAACTTTACATTTTGCCTGCCATTGGCATCTAATATCAACATTATACTGAGGGGAAATTACGTGCGAAGTAAATTTTGACTGTTCTTTTTTGAAGCCACATTGTTCACTGCAATGTGATTATTAAATCGTTTAGGCAACTTGCCTAAAAAGAAAACGTAATTAAAACATGCATGGAAAGAGAGCTTCACTTCTTGGTATCTCCTCACACAATTACTGTGTTGGTAGTTGACAGTCTACACTAGAACTGTTTTTTTTTAACTCCCTTTATGATTTTACTCTCATTGTACTACTTGCTCAGACAACTCCAGCAATTTATTTGTTCCTCTTCCTAAAAATAACCTTTGCTTCTTTGCCTCAAGAGTTTTAAAAGAGCAGCATGATGTAGTTTTTACCTATGTTACGTTATTTATGCATTAACCAGGCAATATCAGTTATTATCAAAACTTTTATTAAATGACATTCCTCTGTCAGGATAGTCATTACTAACTACTTCTATATTCTTAGTTTGTTATATCATTTGTCATAGGATGTAACCCCATTTTATATATGAAAAAACTGGGACCTAGAGATATTAAGTAAATTGGCCAGGATCCCAGCTAGCAAATGATGTTTGTGTCAATTTGATTTTTTTTCTCAAAAGAAAAAAATTTGAAATTTAAAGTGTACAACTAATCATTTCTTAGAGGGTTTTAAGACTTCAAATTTCACCAGATGGTTACTTAAATATAGTTTCCCTTGACACTGATGAGAATGCTTATAAGATTAACTAGGATCAGCAATGTCATGAGGTATTGCCGGGGGAAATTTAATATATATTAGAAATCCATTATAAGGTAATTCTTAAGGGGCACAATGTTCTTGGTTGCAAGCTGTCTAAAATATAAGAATAGATGTATCTTTGCATGCAATAAGATGAAATGTCATGTTTATAACAGATTTTAAAATGAAAAATATATTTTTTGCTCAATTTAATTAGCTATTCTGTACTTATTCAGCATTATCATTTTATTTAAATTTTTATTAGTGTCTCCATCAAAACTAGTTACCCAACACATAGAATATAAGATAAACAATTAAGCTATCACTTTATAGTGTGTAGCATAGAGCTTTCCCAGGCAGATATAATTATTTGGATTTTGTTTTTGTTTTACATTTTTGAAGTCTTTTAAAAAATAAAACTTTTACTTTGGGATATTTGTAGATTTACATGCAACCATAAGTAATAGAGATCTTACGTACTTTTCACCCAGTTCTCCTCAATGGTAACATATTGCAAAACTATAGTACAATATCATAGCCAGGACATTAGTGTTAATATACTAAAGACAGAATATTTTCATTGATCCCTCATATATTATACTTCTATAATTTTCTATAATTTTCTTCCTTTTTCTTTTTCTTCTTTTTTTTTTTTTTTTGGAGACAGAGCTGTCGCCCAGGCTGGAGTGCAATGGCAGGATCTCAGCTCACTGCAACCTCCACCTCCCAGGTTCAAGCAATTCTCATGCCTCAGCCTCCTGAATAGCTCAGATTACAGGCATGCACCACCATGCCCAGCTAATTTTTGTATTTTTAGTAGAGATGGGGTTTCACTATGTTGGCCAGGCTTGTCTGGAACTCCTGGCCACAAATGATCCACCCGCCTCGGCCTCCCAAAGTGCTGGGATTACAGGTGTAAGCCACTGCGCCCAGCCTATACTTAAATAATTTTCATATGCCTGTACTAGAAGTCTATAATTTTGTTATTTCAAGAATGTTACATAATATGGAATCATACAGAATGTAAACTTTTATGATTGGCTTCTTTTAAACTCATTTTAATTCTCTGAATTGTCATCCAGGTTGTTAAATGTATCAGTAGTTCATTCTTTTTTACTCCTGGGTAGTATTCCTTTGTATGGATGTACCACAGTTTGTTTAGTCATTTATCCATTGAAGGACATCTGAGTTATTTCCAAAACAGAGTAAAATCTGGTTTCATTCACCGTATAATTTATAGTTTTCCGTTTTACTCTTCAGTTCATGATTGATTTTTTGTTTTGTATGAGCTTTTAATTTTTTCATTGGAACAGGATTTGGGGGTGGGGATACTAAATGTGGCAGGGTTCAACAAATTTACATTTTATCAAAATAAGGTTCTTGAAGAATATAATGATAACATATACTGTAACTCTTATAGCACAAACCCTCATATTAATTGAAGGTCACAGAAAAATACTGTAATGATTTAAACAAAAGTTTTAAAATACATCAATGATGCAAGTTTCAAACAAAATGCAGTGATCAAAATACTTAACTGTCCTTTCATCAAGCTTTTACAAACACTGTCTTCGCTGTCTGAGCAAATCAGTTTTGGTTTCTTCATGGTCCTCCATCTGTCTTTTAACATGACACTTGTCCGGTTGTTGAATTTATAATGCAATAGTATTTTAGATCAGTTTCCCTCTCCATATTTCCTCATGCCAGATCTCAAATTCTTGTCTTCTTCTCAAAACCATGTCTGTTTTTTTTCTAGCTCGATGTTTTTCAGGAATTACTGGTTGACTCTTTGAAACAGATATTCTGCTTTCAGGGGCTCTTCTGCTTTCTTTTTTCTTTTTTGCACTTTGAAGAGCTCTTACTCTTCTTTCTTTCTTATTAAGGTCTTATTGCTGGGCTCCACATTTCAACTTAGATAAGAAAAGATTCTTGTGAGACCTTTTTCTTGTATCCAAGTTAGCTTCAGTTTCTATTTCGGTATCATTACCATTAGGTTGATCTTGAGAAGTTATTGTTCTTATTCTTTTACTTTCTACTACTTTTGCTGCTGCCTTCATTAGAAAGGTTGATGAATCCACTCTGCCAATTTGTGTTTTTTAATTGATGGAGTAGGACCATTTACATTTAATGTAATTATGGGCTTTAGCCTGTCATTTTAGATTTTTTCTGTTTCTGCTGTTTTTTATTTATCTGTTTTATTTTTTCTGCTTTCCTATGGGTCATGTCAAAATTTTTTAGAATTCCATTTTGACTTATCTTTAGTGTTTTTAAATATCTCTTTGTATAGTTTTTTAGAGGTTGCTCTATATATTACATTATATATACATAACTTATCATTGTCCACTAGTGTTGTCATTTTACTAGTTTTAGTAAAGTGTAGAAACCTTACCTCCCTTTATGTTTTTTTTACCCTCTCCTATTTATAATTGTCTTAAGTACTCTACATATGCTTAGAGCCCCAGGAGACAATATTATATAGATAATAGACAATATTATACTTGTTGTTTCATCCATTAAACATAACTTACAAAACTCGATAGAATATATAGTATTTATCTATGTTTTTTACTTATCATATTTCTTTCTTCCTGATATTCCAAGGTTTCCTCTTTAATTGTTCTTTCTGGTTAGAGAACTTTAGCTATTCTCATACAGTGGGCCTCCTAGTACCACACTCCCTTTTCCTTCATCTGAGAATGGCTTGATTTACCTGTCATTCCTGAAGGGTATGATTCTCAACATCCAGTAAAAACACCCTAGACTCAATTATATTGACTAGATATCACTTCACACTCACTAGTATGAGTATAATTTTTAAAAGAAAATAAGTGTTGGTGAGAATGTGGAGAAATTGTAACACTCATACATTACTGGTGGGGATGTAAAATGGTACAGCTGTTATAGGAAATACAGTTTTGAGTTAAAGAGTTAAACATAATTACCATATAACCCAACAATTCACCTCTCCAGTATATATCCCAAAGAATTGAAAATGGTAGTCAAATATATAGTTGTACACAAATGTTCATAGCAGCACTATTCACAATGGCCAAAAAGTGAAAACCTAAATTTCTATCAATAGATATGTTGTCCACAAATGTAGTATATCTATAAAATGGAATATTTTTCAGCCATACAAAAGAATAAAGTACTGGCACATAGTATAGTGTGGATAAACCTGAAAAATATTATGTTAAGTGAAAGAACCCAGGTATAAATATCACAACTGGTATGATTCCATTTACCATAGTCCCCCCTTATCCACAGTTTTACTTTCCATGGTGTTAGTTACCTCTAGTTAACCATGGTCCAAAAATATTAAATAGAAAATTCTGGAAATAATTCATAAGTTTTAAATTTTGGCACATTCTGAATAGTGTGATAAAATCTCGAAAGACTATACGTAGGGTTTGGTACCCTCTGCAGTTTTAGGCATCCACTGAGGGTCCTGGGACATATCCTCTGTGGACAGGGGGGACTACTGTATATGAAACTTCCAAAATAGGCAAACCCATAAAGACAGAAAGCAGACGAGTAGTTGCCAGTGGCTGGGGGAAGGGATAGATGGAGAATGACTGCTTAATGGGTGTAGGGTTTCCTTTTGAGCATTAAAAATGTCTTGGAACTAAAAGTGATAGTGGCACAACAGTATAGTGGATGTACCAAATGTTAATTAATTGTGTACTTTTAAATAGTTAATGGTTAATTTTATGTGAATTTTTACATCCTTTTTTTTCTTTATTCTAAAAAAAAAAACAGGATACATGTGCAGAACGTGCAGGTTTGTTACATAGGTATAGGAGTGCCATGGTGGTTTACTGCACCTACTGACCCATCGTCTAAGTTCCCTCCCCTTACCCCCACTCCCCAACAGACCGTGGTGTGTGATGTTCTCCTTTCTGTGTCCATGTGTTCTCAATGTTCAGCTCCCACTTATGAGTAAGAACATGGGGTGTTTGGTTTTCTGTTCCTGTGTTGTTTGCTGAGGATGATGGCTTCCAGCTTCATCCATGCCCCTGTATAGGACATGATCTCATTCCCTTTTATGGCTGCAACATCACTTTTTAAAAAGCTGCTAGAGAAAGCTTCACTTTATGTTGTCTCTGTAGAGTCATCTCTAGCCTGAGTGTGAGCCTGCTTGTGTACATTCCTTATCCCTTCATCTTGCCCCTCCTCCATCCTCTTCCTCTATCTGCCTTCCTTCTTCCTTTTTCTCCCTTCCTCCCTTTCAGGGCTTTGATATAAAGTGGCAAGTAGCAGCCTACACACACAAACATTCTGAGTTTTTCCAACAAATTTCACTACACCTACAATAGTCTATCTTCCATGTTATTGTAGGATACAGTTGTGCCAGATTTGCTGTGGCTTAATCAGGATAATTTACTTTCCAATCTACCATTTCTATGCCCTCACCATTGCTGGTCAACCATATATTCTCAGTTTGGTTCTGGTAACACCCCACTTCCAGTATTGTATTTTATATTAGATTTGTTTACTATAACATAAAAAATATAAGTGTATTCTTCTCTCATGGAGTCATCAATATAGGACTGATATGGCAGTTTGAAGATGTCAGATTCCTGGGCTTCTACACTTTTCTTGCACTATCATTCTCAATATGTAACTTCCATCTCATGGTCTAGGATGGCTGTCCTAGATCCTGCCATCACATTTACGTTCCCACCAGTAGGCAGAAGAAGAAAGGAAAGTAGAGAGCATTATGTTGTTTTCCTTTAAGGCACAAATAGAAGTTGTACACCATTCTGCTCACACCCAGCAGCAAGCAAGGCTAAGAAGTGCAGTTTTTATCTGGATGGATATGCCTAGCTAAAATGTAGTGTTCTATTCCTAAAGAAAGAGAGATGAATAGAGATCTTAATGGATAAGAAGCAATCCTGCCCCAAGGCCTGAGGGTACCACTATTCAATTTATACATTTCTGCTTAATTCCTGTTTTCAAGGCAACAGTTCAGTCCCACTTTCTTCTGTGTCTTGTGTCACAGTGTCTGAAACCTTTTTTGTTCAAATTCTCCAGCCCACAAATTTCTAGCATACTACAGGAGAAAGAAGGAATGGAAGAATAATGACCTGGCCAAGTGGTAGAAAGAGGAAAGATCTTGGAACCCAGTTCTCAGCCTGCCCACTCACCCTGTCTTCCGGTACTTGATGCCTTCAAGGGTTAATGCTTTCTAGGATTTTCAGGGTGTATTGTCTTTCTTCTCATCAGGATAACTTATTCTGGCCCCTTCTGTTGTGCAAAGTCAATTGCTACACCTCCATCTACTTTATATCATCAGGAAATGTGAACTTTCTCACCCACTGATAGACCTTTTTTCTTTTTTCTTTGTCTTTGTGGAATTATACCTTTATGATTCCTTAACTATCATTTCAGCGGAATTTCTGCTAGAAGAAGAAAAAAGCATATGGTCAATTTGCCGTGTTTGCCTGAAAGCTTTATATTTACTATTTTGTGTGAAATGTGTTTTGTAACCACACCATACTTTCTGTTGGTACTGTTTGCCTTAGAACTTTAGTTTTAAAGGTGGTTAGAGGAAGACAAGCAAAGAAGGCTGATAAGAAATAGTTAACAAGAAAAGTCAGGAAAATGTTGTGTCATAGAAGTTGAAAGAAGAAATTATTTCAGAAAGAATAAAATGGTCAGCTGTGTACAGTGCTGCTGAGAGGTCAAATAAGATGAAGACAAACCTGTGACCATTGGATTTGACAACATGAAGTTATTGGTGAATTTGTCAAAAATAATTTCATTGAAGTGATGAAGATCCCCAATATGGTGATTTGTAGAGATTAGGAGGTGAGGGATTAAAGGCATAAACTATAGGTATCCCTTAGAAGATTTTTTTAAAGGAGCAGAAAAATGGATGATAGTGAAGAAAGGTAGAGAATTATGGATAGATTCCATTCATCCTTCCTATTTTTAATATGGGCAATAAATAGCATGTGTATGTGCTAATGGGAATGTTTCAATAGAGAGGGAGTACTTCACAATGTAGAACAGAGAACAGAGTAGACCTAGAATTAGTTTGAGTAAAAGAGTAAGATCATCAGAATTTGTGTAGTATGATCAGCTGGCAGTCAGGAAGGTGTGCAGACATATCACCTTCTCACACATAATGAAGAACTATTAATTTGTTCACCTGACATTAAACAGATATTATGAACACCTGGATATGCAAAGTACTGACTGGGTTAGGCTCTGGGGAAAGGGTGATAGTTGTCTCTGTCCTCATGGAACTAGCAATTCATTAAATAGAGAATTTAAAATGAATTGGTAAGTATAAAGAAAGATAGGGGAAGTATAGGGTGCTGGATGAGCACATAGCAGAAAGGTTCTGGAAGAGGTAACAATAAAGTAGAAATGTGAAGGATTAGTGTGAGCTAGCCAGGTGAAGAGGGAACAATGAAATTGGCAGAAGAAATAGCATATACAAAAGCCCAATAATAAGAGAAACCTTAAAGAAGTTCTGTTTGGCTGAAGCTCACTAGATAAAAGGGTAATAGCAAGAAAGGAGACTGAAAAGACAAGGATCATATCATTGTAACTTTTGTTAAAGTGTTGGCTTTTGCTGTGGCTGGTCATTGAAACATTTTAAACAGGAATTATATCAGATTTTAGAAGAAAAACAATTCTGGCTACTGCTTGCAGAATACATCAAAGGAGAGCCAGAAACAAGGAGACCAGTTCGAAAGCTATCAGCTTAATCCATAACCAATATGAGTTGTCTAAACTAGACATGGGTATAGAGAGAAGTAGGTAGATTCAGCAGATACAGTTGATCCCTGCTGGTGAATTCTGTATTTGCAATTATGCCTACTCACAAAAATTTGCTTGTAACCCCCAAATCAGTACTTGCTGTACTTTCACAGTCATTTGTGGACATACACAGAGCAGCAGAAAAATTTGTGTTGTCCAATGCACATGTTCCCAGCTGAGGTTGAACAAGTCAACATCCTGCCTTCTTTTAGTTCTTATACTGTAAACAAATATCTTTTTTACCTATTACTTATTGCTATGTTTTTCTCATATCTGCACTTTTTATTGGTAATTTTAAAGTTTAACCTGGCCCTAACCATATTTTTAAAGTACTGTCTATATAGTGTTCCTCAGTGCAAGAAGGCCATGATGTACTTTATGGGGCAAGTATGTTTGTTAAGATAAGCTTCTACTGGGTGCGGTGGCTCATGCCTGTAGTCTTAGCACTTTGGGAGGCTGAGGCGGATGGATTGCCTGAGCTCAGGAGTTCAAGACCAGCCTGGACAACACGTTGAAACCTTGTCTCTACTAAAAATACAAAAAATTAGCCGGGTATGGCAGTGTACGCCTATAGTCCCAGCTACTCAGGAGGCTGAGGCAGGAGAATTGCTAGAACATGGGAGGCGGAGGTTGCAGTGAGCCAAGATCGCACCACTGCACTCCAGCCTGGGCGACAGAGTGAGACTCCATCTCTAAAAAAATAAATAAATAGGCCATTTTGTGAAGAGACGAAGACTGAGCGGTTGCGGCCGCGTTGCCGACCTCCAGCAGCAGTCGGCTTCTCTACGCAGAACCCGGGAGTAGGAGACTCAGAATCGAATCTCTTCTCCCTCCCCTTCTTGTTTTCGGCTTTGTGAGAAACCTTACCATCAAACACAATGGCCAGCAACGTTACCAACAAGACAGATCCTCGTTCCATGAACTCCCGTGTATTCATTGGGAATCTCAACACTCTTGTGGTCAAGAAATCTGATGTGGAGGCAATCTTTTCGAAGTATGGCAAAATTGTGGGCTGCTCTGTTCATAAGGGCTTTGCCTTCTTTCAGTATGTTAATGAGAGAAATGCCCGGGCTGCTGTAGCAGGAGAGGATGGCAGAATGATTGCTGGCCAGGTTTTAGATATTAACCTGGCTGCAGAGCCAAAAGTGAACCGAGGAAAAGCAGGTGTGAAACGATCTGCAGCGGAGATGTACGGCTCCTCTTTTGACTTGGATTGTGACTTTCAACGGGACTATTATGATAGGATGTACAGTTACCCAGCACGTGTACCTCCTCCTCCTCCTATTGCTCGGGCTGTAGTGCCCTCGAAACGTCAGCGTGTATCAGGAAACACTTCACAAAGGGGCATAAGTGGCTTCAATTCTAAGAGTGGACAGCGGGGATCTTCCAAGTCTGGAAAGTTGAAAGGAGATGACCTTCAGGCCATTAAGAGGGAGCTGACCCAGATAAAACAAAAAGTGGATTCTTTCCTGGAAAACCTGGAAAAAATTGAAAAGGAACAGAGCAAACAAGCAGTAGAGATGAACAATGTTAAGTCAGAAGAGGAGCAGAGCAGCAGCTCCGTGAAGAAAGATGAGACTAATGTGAAGATGGAGTCTGAGGGGGGTGCAGATGACTCTGCTGAGGAGGGGGACCTACTGGATGATGATGATAATGAAGATGGGGGGATGACCAGCTGGAGTTGATCAAGGATGATGAAAAAGAGGCTGAGGAAGGAGAGGATGACAGAGACAGCGCCAATGGCGAGGATGACTCTTAAGCACATAGTGGGGTTTAGAAATCTTATCCCATTATTTCTTTACCTAGGCGCTTGTCTAAGATCAAATTTTTCACCAGATCCTCTCCCCTAGTATCTTCAGCACATGCTCACTGTTTTCCCCATCCTTGTCCTTCCCATGTTCATTAATTAATTCATATTGCCCCGCGCCTAGTCCCATTTTCACTTCCTTTGACGCTCCTAGTAGTTTTGTTAAGTCTTACCCTGTAATTTTTGCTTTTAATTTTGATACCTCTTTATGACTTAACAATAAAAATGATGTATGGTTTTTATCAACTGTCTCCAAAATAATCTCTTGTTATGCAGGGAGTACAGTTCTTTTCATTCATACATAAGTTCAGTAGTTGCTTCCCTAACTGCAAAGGCAATCTCATTTAGTTGAGTAGCTCTTGAAAGCAGCTTTGAGTTAGAAGTATGTGTGTTACACCCCCACATTAGTGTGCTGTGTGGGGCAGTTCAACACAAATGTAACAATGTATTTTTGTGAATGAGAGTTGGCATGTCAAATGCATCCTCTAGAAAAATAATTAGTGTTATAGTCTTAAGATTTGTTTTCTAAAGTTGATACTGTGGGTTATTTTTGTGAACAGCCTGATGTTTGGGACCTTTTTTCCTCAAAATAAACAAGTCCTTATTAAACCAGGGGAAAAAATAAATAAATAAATAAATAAATAAAAATAAGCTTCATTATGGTATGAGTTATACTGCTGTTAACCATGAGCTCAATGTTAGTGAATGAAAGGTGTGTTTAAACAGAAACACACTTTCTGTCCTAGACAATAATCTCTTCTCATTATACTCATTTAACCTTGAGGGAGGGGGTTTCGCCTCACATTTCTGGCTTCAGAAACCACGTATTGCACATATGAAAGTGAACCCAAAGATTATCCTATCCTAAACTGTTCCTGAGATTCATTCATACCCACAAACAGACCTATGAACATGTCCAACTGGATGTCTTTTAGGAACATCTAACAATGTTGTGTGTTGACTGATTGCTGAAAATCTGTGACCAGAGGCTCACAGGAATGTAATCCTCGGTGGTTTAGTGTTCACTAATTCAGTATTCATAGCAACTTTATAAAATATAACTTATGCAAATAATAATAATCTACTCAAGTAATAGAATATACTAGACTTAATAGTTCCTTAGATGGAGGTAATGATGAATGAGAAATAAAAGATAATTCCCAGGTTTTTGTCTTATACAAGTGATAGTGACATTTATGAAAAGAGGAAGAGCAGTTTTCAGGGAGGCAGTAACCATAGGGGCTAGAGATAATAAGTTTAGTTTTTGACATGTTGAGTTAGATGTTCCTGAAAGACATCCAACTGGACATGTCCATAGGTTCATTTGTGGGTATGAATCTCAGGAACAGTTGAGGATAGGATGATCTTTGGGTTCACTTTCATATGTGCAATACATGTTTTCCGAAGCCAGGAATGTGAGATGAGACGCCCTAACCCAAGGTTAGGGTATAAGATGAGAAGAGATTATGGTCTAGGACAGAATTTTGAGAAATGTCAGTAAAGAGATGACTAAAGGAAGAGGGCATGCAAGGATACTAGAAGCAGAGTAGAGAGAGAAAAAATCAAGAAAATATACATTATCAAAGCCAGAAGAAAAGACCATTTCATGAAGGAAGGTGTTTGTATTATCAAATGTTATCAAGAGATTAAGGACTAAAAAGTATTCATTGGATTTAGTGAAAAGTACATTTATAGATCTTTCTGAGGATAGTCTCATGAAGTAATGATGGAAACTTAATTATACTGGATTGAGTAGACTGTGAAAAAGAAATCTGATTTGAAATTAATCTAGATACTTTTTCTTTAGTTTCTAAGTTTTCTGTTCAACTTTTGCATTATCATTGATATTCGGTTGATCACATATAAGCAAGAGATATAGGCATTTTTTCTTGACTATTTTCCAAGGATGAACCCACTAAATCTCACTGTTTATGGAGCTTTCCATTTCACTCTGTGGAAATGACACAATATGTTCCATCTCTGCACAGATAGAAAGATGCGCAATGATTTTTACACTTTTTTTGTTTTGTTTTGTTTTTTGTTTTTTTGAGACGGAGTCTCACTCTGTCACCCAGGCTGGAGTGCAGTGGCGCGATCTAGGCTCACTGCAAACTCCGCCTCCTGGGTTCACGCCATTCTCCTGCCTCAGCCTTCCGGGACTACAAGCGCCCACTACCATGCCCCGCTAATTTTTTGGGTTTTTAGTAGAGACGGGGTTTCACTGTGTTAGCCAGGGTGGTCTCGATCTGCTGACGTCGTGATCCGCCCGCCTCGGCCTCCCAAAGTGCTGGGACTACAGGCGTGAGCCACCGCGCCCGGCCTTTTTTTTTTTTTTTTTTTGAGACGGATTCTGTCGCCCAGGCTGGAGTGCAGTGGCGCGATCTCGGCTCACTGCAAGCTCTGCCTCCCAGGTTCACGCCATTCTCCTGCCTCAGCCTCCTGAGTAGCTGGGGCTACAGGCGCCCGCCACCATGCCCGGCTAATTTTTTGTATATTTTTTAGTAGAGACGGGGTTTCACTGTGTTAGCCAGGATGGTCTCGATTTCCTGACCTCATGATGCGCCCGTCTTGGCCTCCGAAATTGCTGGGATTATAGGCATGAGCCACTGCGCCCGGCCTAATTAATTGTTTTTCTAAGAGCAAGGATCTTACTTTGTTGCCCAGGCTGGAGTCCAGTGGTGTGATCATAGCTCACTGCAGCCTCAAACTCCTGGATTCAAGTGATCCTCCTACCTCAACCTCCCAAGTAGCTAGGGCTATAGATGCACACCACCATGCCTGGTTAATTTTTTTTATTTTTATTTTTTGTAGAGACAGATCCCTGTCTCTCTGTTGCCCAGGCTGGTCTTGAACTCCTGACCTCAAGTGATCCTCCCACCTCAGCCTCCCAAAGTACTGGGATTACAGGCATGAGTTCCCATGCCCAGCAATGAACTTAATTTTGCAATACCTTTGCTACTTTAAATATTCAGTACTCAGGCTGAAATCTCAGTTCTATGCTCTTTCTTTTCTGCTAACTATAAAAGTTTAGAATAGCTTAATATATTATACACTTTTGGTCAGAGAGTGAATAGTTTATAGAGTATAGAGGAGTTTTTTTAAAAATGAAATCGAATTAACAGTTGAACATTCACATTTCAAGAACAAAGTGAAAAATAGTGTACAAATAAGTTTTAGTGAGAATAATATTGATTTTATGCAGCTATTCTTTTCTTTTTAACTTTTAATGTGCGATAATGGTAGACTTACAAAAATAGTATGAAGAATTCTGTATACACTTCACCCAGATTCTCAAAATATTAACGTTTTACCACATTGCTTTACCATTCTTTCTTTTCTCTGAAACATTTTGAAGATTTTAAGTTGTACACATGATGCTCCTTAACCTCTAAACAGTTCAGTGTTTTTTCCCTAAAAATAAGGATATTCTCTCGTGTAATCTTAATACAGTCATCAAATCAGGAAATTAACATTGATATAGTACTATTGTCTAGTATATAAGCCTGTGCTGTTCAGTCTGGTGGCCACTAGCCATATGTGGCTATTTAAATAAATTAAATACATTAGAAATTCAGTTTCTCATTTCAGGCACTCAGCAGTCCAGTGGTTATTGTATTGGAGAGCATAGATATAGAACACTACCATCATTGCAGAAAGTTGTATTTGTAATGCTCTAGACATTCAAATGTTGCCAGTTGTCCCATTAATGTCTTTTGTAGTAAGTAAAAGATGATTTTTTTCCTGTTTCAGGAATGATTGCGCAATCAAGTGACATTTAGATTTCATGTCTTTTTAGTATTGTTTAATCTGGAATTGTTTACAGAATTAATTTATCTTTCAGGTCCTTAACATTTTTCAAGAGTTACAGGCCTGTTATTTTATGAAATGTGCCTTATTTGGAGTTTGGTGTTTCCTTCAGATTAGTATCAGATATTGGATATTCAGGAACAATACTACAGAAATGCATTTGTGTCTTTTTCAGTGAATCATATTTGAAGGCCCATTGTATCAATTTTTCTTGTTACTGGTAATGTTAACATTGATTTATCAGGTTCATTGATCTATTTCCATTGTAAAGTTGGAGAAGCTTTTTTTATTTTAAAAAAGTTCATTTACCAATTTTAACAATTGAGAAAAAAGTCTGACTATAATACTTGATGACATAGACATCATGTTTAAGTAGAAAACACAAGAATAAAAAAAGCAATTATCACAGATAATATTTCACAACTTCAGTTGTTTCCTTCAAATTTGCTTTATGTAATTGGGTGGATATAAATTAATAAACAGAAATTTAAGCAAGATACATGTAACAATTTAACACAACTTGATACTCTAATTTCTTTCAATTTTTCTCAAATTCATCTTTAAGTCTTTCCATCATGGGGCTCATAAGGAAATTTAACCAACATATGGATACTATAGTTGAATGTCAAATCTTTACAAAGTACTTAAGAGATACTAAATTCCTCTATATTGCAATTATGAAGAAGCTTCATGACACTGTGTTTTGCATGTAGAAAAATGTTAGAGTCCAATATGCAGCTCAACATAAAATAATAAGAAACATTTCTGATTTCTTTGTTAGGTTGAGACCACTTTTCCTTTTCCTAATGAATGATTTTTCTTTACTGTTATGTCACTGAAGTGAAAAAGTAGGTCACCTAGGAGTATATACGAAAAAATAAATACATTAAATGGATAAAACATTACTACTATGTCTTTACCTCTAACACTTCAGAAGCCTAGAGATTTAAAGTATTCTTACATTAAATGGAAGAAAAAATGGAGAAATTCCTTCTTTTTTGAGATCACAACTATGAAGTCATGTGGTTATACAAATTCTGCATTTGTGTGCAAAATGTGAAACACACTTTTTGCTTCTACTTGCTTCATTTTGTCAGTTAGCTAGCAGGACTTAATAGATACCTTTCCAAGAAACAGGGACTGAGATGTGTTTTATGTAACTTCAGTAACCTCAGCATTACAGTAATGAGGGATGCAGTATCTTTTTGCTATGGTTCAAGACAAGAGGGAAGGAGGTCACAGGAAACAGAATAAATCAAAATTGTTACAGCTGAGTAACTATTTCTCATGAGGTCTCACCGTGGTGCCACCTTCATTTTTCATAAACATGGTGGCATAATTCAATCTCAATAAATCAGAATTCTTAATATTTAAAATTTACCTTGATTTTCAATTATCACCATATTAACAACCAAAATAATTAGATAAAACACACAGGAAAGTGTAATATTAAACCCCACTGTAATAGAGTTGGTTTATTGACACTTTTTTTTTTTAATAGAAAAGGGATAGTACATCTCAGTTTGCTTACAAGCTAGGATATCACTTTGAATTCTGCATTTCCTGACTGCAAACAGAATATAGCACTTATAACAGATTATAAATAAACTGGTTTTCAAGCATAGAACTAGCCCAATGATAATAATACACTATTTAAAAGGACCTAAGGCAATGAATTCCATTTCTAATGGAAAAAAATAACTGTGCAAACAAGCTTTAAACTACTTTTTTTGTGTGTGCCAGTGTTATAAAATGCAGCTTTTAATAAAACCTTGACCCAAATGCCAGTAACATCAGAAAAGAATTTGGGGATGGGGAGGGGGAAGAGAAGAAAGTTATTTCATTTAGGAAAATAACTACTATCTTTTGCTTATCTTCAGTACATACAATTTAAACAAATACAGCTGCTGTAACACTTTACACAATTCCTATGTACTGGAGCAATAACAAGGTCTAAATACAGTTATATTTTTGAACATTGGGTCAAGGCCTTACATAAAAATACCATCCTACTTTTCTCTCTAAGTTTTGAAATATCATGTACTTTCCCCCAACATCTGCAGCCATCCAGGAATTTTTAGGAAACTTTTGTGCATGATCTTAATTCCTAATCCCTGGTTCTTTGGGCTTAGTGACAACAGATCAAAACCCCCCAACATGATGGTTCACTTGAAGTCAGATGAGACACCCTGGCTCAATAGTCTAGGTTGAAAGCAGTGCTGCATCAACTGGCTCCATGGAGGAGGGGCACGTGAAGGATCTCATCTACCAGTCATAATACAGTCCAGGTGGTAGATGTACATGCACGGTAGAAATTGAATTGGGGCTGGGCGCGGTGGCTTCACGCCTGTAATCCCAGCACTTTGGGAGGCCGAGATGGGCGAATCACGAGGTCAAGAAATCGAGACCATCCTGGCCAACATAGTGAAACCCCGTCTCTACTAAAAATACAAAAATTAGCTGGCGTGGTGGCGCGCCCCTGTAGTCCCAGCTACTCCGGAGGCTGAGGCAGGAGAATTGCTTGAACCTGGGAGGCAGAGGTTGCAGTCAGCCAAGATCGCGCCACTGCACTCCAGCCTGGGTGACAAGAAGGAAACTCCCTCTCAAAAAAAAAAAAAAAGAAATTGAATTGGGTCCCCATAAACAAAGTCCATCATACAGATCACACACTCCCAGATCTGTTTTACTGATCCATCTCTTCCAGGGTCATAAACTCCTTTAGGCAGATGTTGTATAAGGCCTATTCTTTGAGCTATCCTAATTTGTTAGGATAGGTGTTTGCTAGGTGTTGGATGGTAGACTGGAGCTGGAACCTGTTCCTGATATGGCAGCGGCTCCTGATACGGCTTAGTTCCCTCGCTAAAGCTAGCCCAGTCGGACTGAGACTCCTGAAGCAGGGAGATGTCATCCGAGGTGGGGGATTTGAGGCAGTTCCCCATCTTCTGGGGCCAAGGGGTGGGTGTGTGATCTGTGCACTGACAGTCTTCTCTATTTTCTACCTTGAAATTAATAAGTATGTGGGATACTTTGAGACTATGTAAATATATTGTTGCTCATACTTTCCTCCACTAGTTTTAGCATCTACTGATGATGACTCTTACTTGAAACAGTTATGGTGGTTTGTGAAATGGTGGTTTTTTTTCTTTTTAAATTTTATTTTGAATTAATTTACATTTACAAAAATTGTAAAAATAGTACACCCTTCACCCCAAATGTTAACATCTTACACAATCATAATATAATAATTGTACTGTGTATAGAAAACAGGAAATTAACTTTGATGCAATATTGTTATTATTATTATTTTGAAGACAGAGTCGCACTCTGTCACCCATGCTGGAGTGCAGTGGTGCGATCATAGCTCATATTAACCTCAAACTCCCAGGCTCAAACAGTCCTCCTGTGTCAGTCTCTCTAGTAGCTAGGACTACAGGTACACATCACCACACCTGGCTAATTAAAAATTTTTTTGTGTGTGGTGACAGGGTCTCGCTATGTTCCCCAGGCTGGTCTCGAACTCCTGTCCTCAAGTGATCCTCCTGCCTCAGCCTCCCTCCTCAAGCAAACTCTTGTCCTCAAGTGATCCTCCTGCCTCAGCCCCAAATGTGCACAATCGTGGCTCACTGCAGCCTTGACTTTTGGGCTCAGGTGATTCTCCCACCTCAGCCTCCCAAGTAGCTGAAACTATAGGCACGCACCACCATGCTCAGCTAATTTTTTGTAATTTTTTGGGGAGAGATGGGGTTTCACCATGTTGTCTAGGCTGGTCTCGAACTCATGAGCTCAAGTGATCTACCCACCTTGTCCTCTTAAAATGCTGGGATTTACAGGCATGAGCCCCAGCCCGATACAATATTATTAACTGATTTACAGTCCTTATTTAAATTTTGCCAATTTCCCAACTAATGTCCTTCAAAGCAAAAGAAAAAAGTTCTAAATTTTGCCAGACACCTCACTGTTCTTACTTTGGTCCAGAATCCCTCATCGTGTTTAGTTGTCATGGCTTTCTTATGTGATGAGCAGAGATTAACAGATGATCATCTTTATCCATGTGACCAACAAGACCAAAAAGGGATAATTCCTCAGTCTTTCTTTTTATGACAAATGGTCGTTAAAAAGTGAGGTCAGGAGTTCGAGACCAGCCTGGCCAACATAGTGAAATCCCGTCTCCACTAAAAATACAAAAATTAGCTGGATGTGGTGGCACGCACCTGTAGTCCCAGCTACTCGGGAGGCTGAGGCAGGATAATTGCTTCAACCTGGGAGGTGGAGGTTGCAGTGAGCCGAGATCGCACCATTGCACTCCAGCCTGGGCGACTGAGCGAGACTCCAACTCAAAAAAAAAAAAAAAAAAGTCATTCTATTCATGATAAATGCTGATTCTCCCCCCACCACCACACATGCACACCACTTCTAATATATATACCACATTTATTAGTTGGAATTCTATTTTGGGGAAGAATTATCCCTTCTCCTTTATTTACTACTATTGGTAGGAACTCGTGCACCTTTAGTCCCAGCCACTCAGGAGGCTGAGGCAGAAGGATTGCTTGAACCTGGGGACGTCGAGGCTGCAGTGAGTCAGGATAGTGCCACTATACTCCAGCCTGTGCAACAGAGTGATACCCTCTCTTTCAAAAAAAAAAAAAAAAGAATCCATTACTATCATTAGTTATTTTGATGCTACATTATCCTAGATTTGACCAGTGAGAGCCTTTCCAGCAGGTTTTTATTGACTGAATATGTCTCCTGGTAAAAATGGGATTGTTTTACATTATTGGTAACATTTAATTAAAAGCCACATGGAATATGGCTTTCTCTATCAACTGAGTATCTTAAAGATACTTAAAATATTTGTATCATTGTTAGGGTCCGAAAAAGCAAAGATTACTGATCATATATTGCCGGTAGCTCATATCTAGATTATCCTATGTCTCATGCCCATCACTGAGAACATTATGTCATCACCAGCATCACTTTATTAATGTTTAATTTGGGCAGATACTCAGTATCTTCAGTTTTCAGATTTGAGAAAAAACTTATATAATCAGCATTTAGTTATTAATATTTTCTTGCTTGTTAAGTGCCTTTACTAATGCCAGTGCTTGTGAAACTAGGTTAACACTATATTTGGGTTGAAACTGATAGTTTACTCATGTAACAGAAGTATCTCTCATAAAGACTTCTACTCCTTTTGGGAGGGAGATGTGAGAGTGGGGGCAGAAACAGTGTCTTAGAAAATCAAAACCGTGTACCTAGTGTCTAGCATTATGTTTGTCACACTTAATACTCAGTAAATATTTGTTGAATAAATGAATAATACCCAAGGAAGGGCCCACCTTCCCATTTCTTTTATTTTCAATTCTTTTAGATGATTTTTAAACAGTCATTTTTCATATGTGGGCCATTTTTGTTTGTCACATTTTACTGCCTAAATATCTAAAATTATCAAAGCCTTTCCAAATTGTCTTCTGTGGAAAAATATGTGGGTTGAAATTTTCAAAAAGGGGTAGAGATTTCATCTACAAAAATTAAATTGCTTTCTTTTTTGGACTTAGCTCACAGAGCCTTTAATATGTTAACTACATACCATGAATCTCTTAGAGATGGGAGAATACCCAACATTTTTGAAATTTATTAATGATAATAACCTATTTTTCTCAGTTTCTAAGAGACTATAGGAAATGCTTATCTGATTTTTTAAAAACCTGCTTAACTCTCTTTAGGCTTATTTCTTTGTTAATATTTGATATTATTTTGTCACTTTTGGACTACTTGATATGCCCCAAATGAATTTTCTTTCTCACTAACCTGGACAGCCTTTTCTCAGCTAAATATGGCATGTCCTAAGAAGTCCATTGATTGCCCAAAAAGCTGATCCCATGGATTAGAAATAGCCTTAAGAAGATTACTCATCTAAACATTTGCCACACATTTATCAGAGAAATTTAATGCAATTTTTCTAAGTCATCTAAACTCTTTGTAAGCCATTCTGTACACCTTGGTAGGAGATGTTTCATATTTGTAGAAATTTCAAATATTCAAAGAATGTTGAGTCAGTCTCTCAATTGGCAAAATTATACAGAGTAAGAAAAATGTCCATAGAAATAGAACCAAGAGAAGTCTATATAAATAGTAGTGTGAAGAAGAGTGAATTCCTTTGTAGCTGTAACATCACATTTTTTGCATGTTGCACACATTGTTTAGCCATTTCTGAACACATTTCCATTTACGTCATTTGTAAAAACTGCCTAGCCTCATATTCTGGAAAACTGACAAAATTTGTAATGAACAGATGCAGATTCCATAATTGTAATTGGCCTTTATTCTAAACTAATTTTTGGTTCATGCATTGTTAATGATTTCTATTTTTCTCCATTTTTACCTTAAAATTGGAAAGAGTATATTTTAGAGGGAAACATTTTTTGTTGACTTTTAAAAATCAAGACTTACTACATTATGACCTGTAGGTTCTCCAATTACCTATATTTAAATCTAGAATTTTAAGGGTGCCCTTTTAATATTTCCTGTTATACTTAGTTTTACATAATCTTTTAAATTTTTCTTTTATAATTCCCAGATAAACACATCAGTTTTAAATGAAACCCCTTTTTAATTTTTTTCTATAATTAATACTATCTTGTTTTTAAATAATATATAGATCATTTAGAATATAAAAGATTATAAAGAATTTATTTTATCTATTTTATGTTTTTACAATTCAAGTCTTTCTTAAAGTGAATAATAAATATTAGTAGAGCCTCAAACAGAAAGAAAAAGATATATTCTCATATTGTTTTATTATTGTATGATTTTCTAACAATGCCATTTAAAAGACTGACTTTCCAAAGCAGGACTAATTCAGGTGAATCTCTGATTGTCTTAAAGGGACTATATGATCTGGCTGCAAGCATAATGCATGTAGCGTTTTTAAATAAGATGAGATAAACCTGAAAATTTCTGATCTTTGAACAGCTCCTATGACAGCTTCTGACTAGTGCCAAATTTTGTCAAATGAATGGGGAACATGATATTTATTAATGAAGGAATGGGTTTTTAAAATAATTTTTTTTAGTGTTTATACATCCTTTTTATTAAAGTATGAAATACAGAGCAAGTGTTTTGGCATATTGTTGCTTGTTATAAGGAAGATTTAATAGCTTGTTTTGGACTATTAATATGAAGAGAAGTCATTTGGAGTTCAGACATATATTTAGAACTAGCACGTGTGCAAAAAGATACAAAGTGAATCAAGAAATTCTGGAAAAGATAGTTTGAAGAAAAGAAGTTGCTATTTTCAAGCTAACATTGGTAAAGTAAATATCGAAAAGATAATTAAATATTTTCTTCATTTTGAATATTTTATTAAGGATCCCAAATAGAAACTTAGAATTGACAGAATTAAATCAGTGAAAGTATGAAACTCGTTTTCTAAAATAATAGGTACATAAATATAATTTTCAAATGGAGTCTAGGAAACCCAAAATGCTTACTGCAGTTAGGTATAGGAGATGATTACAAACTTAACAGCTGTCTGAGTTTAGTAACACAAAGCTATTTGTTACTGCTTGTAGCAAATTTAGTTATGTTATATAAATTAGTTTTCTCTGATTTTGAAAATGTCTTTATCATGATTTTTGCATGAAGAGAAAATCTTCACATTTCACATACTTTTTCAGCAAATATTAATAGGAATTCAATGACTTGTTCTTTAACTTTTAATTTGTTGATCAAAAGATGTGTATAATATTAAAAAATACATGCCAAGTAGGTTTGCTTCATGAATTTTACAGCATATAATAAATGAAAACCCTGGTGACCTTTTGGCCTTGTTGGTCACATGCATGAAGATGATTATCTGTTAATCTCTGCTAATCACTAGTACATCCTTTTACAGAAGACAGAACAGTTTTTGGTTGTGTTTCATTTGCTCTTTTGAAAAGTGCTTTAACAAGAAACTTTAGGAAATCATTTAATATTGTAAGATTATAAAATAATGGATATTTTCTATCTAAAGATGGTAAATTTAAAATGAGAATTAGAATTCTATACAGGAGTAATATTGAAAAAAAATTCAACATGTATATGTCTCCATATTTTATTTGGGTATTTTTATGGGTTTGTTTTAGATGCCAATAATAGTTTTTTGAATGTCATAGACTTGAATGACTCTGTTAGACTTGTTGATACACACACACACACACACACACACACGGCTATCTCTCACACACTTTCACATATGCAGTGCATTATTGTTATAACTGTAAAATTTTAAAAACTGTCAGAGAAAAACAGTGCCTCTCATACTTTGATATATGTATGATTTACCTAGGACCTTGTTAAAATCTAGATTCTAAGTCAATAGTTCTAGGGTAGGTTTTGAGAGTCTGGAATTATAGCAAGTTCCCAAATCATGACTATTCTGCTACTCCAGGGTCAGAAAACTTTTTCTATTAAGGATCAGGTAGTAATATTTTAATATTTTAGGCTTTGCAGGACAAGAAGCAAAATCAAGGATATTCTGTAGGATATTTCCTACATTATAGGATAAAGAAACAAATGTCCACAAATTTTTTTATTGATGAAATCCAAGAAATAATTGAGAAATTTTTCATGGTATAGCTGTATACACTACTTAATAAAAAGGAATGATCTGATACACACAACAACAGAATGAATCTCAAAAACATTATGCTGAGTGAAAGAGACCTTACACAGAAACTACATACTATGTGATTCCATTTATATGAAGCTCTAGAAAATACAAACTGGGCCACGCACAATGCCTAATGCCTGTAATCCCAGCACTTTGGGAGGCTGAGGAGGAAGAATCACTTGAGGCCCAGAGTTCAAGACCAGCCTGGGCAACATAGCGAGACCCCTGTCCCTGTCAGTGCACAGAAAATAAAAAAATGTATGTGGGCATAATGGTGCATGCCTGTAGTCCCAGTTACTTGGGAGGCTGAGGCAGGGGTATGGTGTGAGCCCAGGAGATTGAGGTTACAGTGAGCTATGATCATGCGACTGTACTCCAGCCTAAGTGGCAGAGCAAGACCCCCTGTCTCTTCAAAAGAAAAGGAAGAAAGAAAATACAAACTAAAAAACAATAACAGAAAGCTGATGATGGTTATATGGAGACAGGAGTGAAGGGATGGACTGACTACAAAGGAACCTGAAGGAACTGTTTGGATGATGGAAATGTTCTGTATGCTGGTTGTGGTAGTGGTTATGCAGGTGTATATGTCCTTCAGAACTTATTGAACTTGGGAAAGCCAGCTGACATGTTGTGAGGACACTCAAGCAGCCCTGTGGAGAGATTTTATGTTCCAAAATGGTGTAGAAGCAAGTTGGCTTCACTCCCCTTCACAGAAAACCACAAACAAGAGAGCACCGAGATCATCACCAGCAATATCCCAGCACTCAAATATTAAGATAAAACAGTTTGTAGAATCACAGGGAAATCAAGAACAAAATCTTTGAGCAAAACTCTATAGGAAAAAAATCTAATAATCCAATTGAAAAATTGGCAGAAGATTTGAATAGAATCTGAAAAGAAGACATACAAATGGCAAACCGATATATGAAAAGGTGCTCAACATCCTTGACCATCAGAGAAATGCAAATCAAAACAACGAGATATCATCTCATGCCAGTTAAAATGGCTTATATACAAAAGGTGGGCAATAACAAATGCTGGCAAGGATATGAAGAAAAGGGAACCCTCATACACTGTTGATGGGAATGTAAATTAATATAACCACTGTGGAAAGCAGTTTGGAGTTTCCTCAAAAAACTAAAAATAAAGCTACCATATGACTCAGCAATTCCACTGCTCTCTGTATACCCAAAAGAAAGGAAATTGGCATACTGAAGAGATACCTGCATTCCCATGTTTGTTGCAGCTCTGTTCATAATAGCCAAGATTTAGAAGGAACCTAAGTGTTTATCAACAGATAAATGGATAAAGAAAATGTGGTACTTAGGCCAGGTGCGGTGGCTCATGCCTATAATCCCAGGACTTTGGGAGGCTGAGGCGTGTGGATTGCCTGAGCTAAGGAGTTCGAGACCAGCCTGGGCAACATGGTGAACCCCGTCTCTACTAAAGTACAAAAAAATTAGCTGGACATGGCGGCATGTGCCTATAATCCCAGCTACTTGGGAGGCTGAGGCAGGAGAATAGCTTGAACCCAGGAAGTAGAGGTTGCTGTGAGCCGAGATCATGCCACTGCACTCCAGCCTGGGTGACAGAACGAGACTCCATCTCCAAAAAAAAAAAAAAAAGAAAGAAAATGTGGTACTTATACTATGGTGTACTATTCAGCCATGAAAAAGAATGAGATTCAGTCATTTTCAACAACATGGATGGAACTGGAGGTCATTATGGTAAGTGAAATAAGCCAGGCACAGAAAGACAAACATCGCATGTTCTCACTTACTTGTGGGATCTAAAAATCAAAACAAATTAAATCATGGAGATAAAGAGTAGAAGGATGGTTACCAGAGGCTAGGAAGGGTGGTGGGGATGGTTAATGGTTACAAAAAAATATTTAGAATGAATGAATAAGACCTAGTATTTGCTAGCAAAATGGTGACTATAGTCAATAATAATTTAATTGTACATTTAAAAATAACTAAAAGAGTATAATTGGACTGTTTATAACACAAAGGATAAATGCTTGGGGGAATGGATACCCCATCTTCCATGATGTAATTATTACACATTGCATGCCTGTATCAAAACATCTCGTGTACCCCATAAATACATATATCTACCCACAAAAATTAAAAATATTAAAAAATTTGAGTAGATAGTAATAGAATTGGACTTCCATATCTTCAGTGCCCTTCCCCACAATCGGTCCAGCACCAGGCATGTGGAACATTTCTCCTCCTGACTCATGGTTTCTACACTGGAAAAAGTGAGGTTGAGATGGATAACCAGCTTCCCCACCGTCTTGGGTTCCTGACAGGAGACCTGTCCCTGCTTCAACCCACAGGAAGCATTGGGAGTGTGTGAAGGAAGAAATATTCCTGAGGACAGCCAGAGACAAAGCAGGGAGGTGGGACTATCATCCCCAGCCATGGAAACTCTGCTCTGTTACTCCACCAAAGGAGATGCCAAATCAATCAGTGTGGCCTTTCAGTGGCACCATGCTGTAGGAGGTTTGTTCCATCGTTCCCGTGGGCAAAAACCCCTAGCCAGACTTTCTACACGTTACTGGAATATCTCCTGCAGGACCTTCCCAATTTGGGATGGGGAACACTCTGATTGTTTACTAGAAATGAGGCAAATCTGTGCTTAAGGTACCATTTAGTGCCAAAAAAGAGTCTACAACCTAGCAGTGGAAAAAAAAAGTAAATTGCAAAGAATCTCTAAGTAAAGGTATCTAATAAAAACCAAAACATGCCAGACAGAGAACACTGGCATAAATAACCTTCCATCCAAAGACGCAGACATACAGGAAGCAACAACAGAGAACCTCCTCTAATGGATAAGGCAAGGAACCAGTGACTGACTTTAACAAGATGGTGATGTGTGAACTCTATGACTAATCATTCAAAATACAGTTTTAAAAAAACTCAGTGATCTTCAAGATAATACAGAAAAGCAATTCAGAAACTTATGAGATAATTTAACAGAGAGATTGAAATAATTTTAAAAAATCAAATATTGGAACTGAGAAATATATTAGTTGAACTGCAAAATTCACTAGGAACTCTTAAGAGTAGACTGGATCATTCAGAGGAAAGGATCAGCAAGCTGTAAACAGGCTATTTGAAAATACACAGTCAGTCAGGCATGGGGGCTAACACCTGTGGTACCAGCAATTTGGGAGGCCGAGGCAGGTGGATCAGGCTGGTCAGGAGTTCGAGACCAGCCTGACCAACAAGGCAAAACCCCATCTCTACTAAAAATACAAAAATTGGCCAGGTGCGGTGGCTCACGCCTGTAATCCCAGCACTTTGGGAGGCCGAGGTGGGTGGATCACAAGGTCAGGAGATCGAGACCATCTTGGCTAACATGGTGAAACCCTGTCTCCACTAAAAATACAAAAATTTAGCCTAGTGTGGTGGTGGGCCCCTGTAGTTCCAGCTACTTGGGAGGCTGAGGCAGGAGAATGGCATGAACCCAGGAGGCGGAGTTTGCAGTGAGCCGAGATTGCGCCACTGCACTCTGGCTTGGGCGACAGAGCAAGACTTCATCTCAAAAA
The DNA here is from genome assembly GCF_000001405.40 of Homo sapiens. Lineage (NCBI taxonomy): Eukaryota > Metazoa > Chordata > Mammalia > Primates > Hominidae > Homo > Homo sapiens. The sequence continues at coordinate 189,940,284 of NC_000002.12, forward strand.
AAAAAAAAAAAAATTAGCCAGGCGTGGTGGCAGCTGCCTGTAGTCCCAGCTACTTGGGAGGCTGAGACAGGAGAATGGCGTGAACTCAGGAGGCGGAGCTTGCAGTGAGCTGAGATTGCGCCATTGCACTCCAGCCTGGGCAACGGGGGGGAAAAAAAGAAAAGAAAATACACAGTCAAAGGAGAAAAAAGAACAAAGGAACAAAGATTGCCTACAAGATATAGAAAATTACTTCAAAGACCAGGTTTAAGAATTACTGGTGTTTAAGAGGAAGCTGAGCAAGAGCAAGGGGTAGAAAGCTTTCAAAAAAAAACACTCACAGGAAATTTTCCAAAACTTGAGGAGATAAATATTCAGGTATTGAAAGGCCAGAGGGCTGGGCACAGTGGCTCATGCCTGTAATCCTAGTACTTTGGGAGGCTGAGATGAAACCCCACCTACACTAAAAATACAAAAAATTAGCCAGGCGTGGTGGCGGACACCTATAGGCCCAGATACTTGGGAGGCTGAGGCAGGAGAGTGGCATGAACCTGGGAGGCGGAGCTTGCAGTGAGCCGAGATCGTGCCACTGCACTCCAACCTGGGCGACAGAGCAAGACTCCGTCTCAAAAAAAAAATTATTGAAAGGCCAGAGAATACCAAATTTGTTCCAAATCAGACACCCATGGATATAATAAACCCTCAAAGGTCAAGGATAAATGGAGGATCTTAAAAATAGCAAGAGAAAAGAAGAATATAACACATAAAGGAGGTTTAATTCATTGGGCAATAGACTTCTCAATAGAAATCAGGCCAGGAGGAAGTGTAGTGACATTTTCTAACTGCCATCCAATAATACTGTACCCAGCAAAGTTTTCCTTCAATTATAAAGGAGAGATAAAGCCTTTCCCAGACAAATAAAAGCTGAGTAAATTCACCACCATCAGACTTATTTTACAAGAAATGCTAACTTCAATCTTAAAAAAACCAAGCTAACACGTGAAAAGAAAGCATTGAAAAGTATAAAATCCACTGGTAAAATTAAATACACAGACAAACTTAGGATGTAATTGTGGTGTGAGATCCACTCGTAACTCCAGTATGAAGGCCAAAAGACAAGTGTCTGGAAAACAATAATAGCTACAGCAACCTGTTAAGAGATAAGCAGTATAAAAATATGTAAACTGAGACAACATAAAGTCAAAATGTGGGAGGGTGGCGAGAATTTAAACGTAAAGTTTTTGTTTTGTTTTTAATTTTTGTTTTCACACTTTTCTTTGAGATCCAAAGTAAATATAAAATAAAATAACTTTGAGATCCAAAGTAAATATAAAATAAAATAACTTGTCATATCTATAAGATGTTTTTTGTGAGCCTCACATAACCACAATGCAAAAACCTGTAATAGATTCCCTAAAAATAAAAAGCAATGAATTAAACATACTAACAGAAGGAAAAATCACTTAACCACAGAGGAAGACAGGAAGAAAAGAAGAGAGGAGTTACAAATCAATGAGAAAATCAACAACAAATTGGCAATAGTAAGTCCTTATCAATAATAGCACTGAATATAAATGGACTCAATTTGCCAATTAAAAGTCATAGTGTCTAAATGGATAAAGAAACAAGATGCAACTATATGCTGCCTATGAGAAACCCAGTTCACCTATAAAGATGTACATAGACTGAAAGTGAAGGGATGGAAAAAAAGTATTCCATGAAACTGGAAACCAAAAAAGAGCAGGGGGAGCTAAATTTAGATAAAATAGACTACAAATCAAAGACTGTCAAAAGAGACAAAGAGGGTCACTATAAAATGACAAAGGGATCTGATATAGTTTTGACTCTGCCCAAATCTCATGTTGAATTATAATCTCCCATGCTGGCGGGGAGGCCTAGTGGAAAGGTTTGGATCATGGGTGCAGATCCCTCATGGCTTGGTACTGTTTTCATGCTAGTGAGTTCTTATGAGATCAGGGCATTTAGAAGTGTGTGTCACCTCCCCACTCAACTCTGTTTCTTGCTCCTGTTTCATTACGTGATATGCCTGCTCTCCCTTTGCCTTCTGCCATGATGGTAAGCTTCCCGAGGCTCCCCTAGAAGCCAAGCAGATGCTAGCATTGTGCTTCCTGTAAAGCCTGAAGAACCATCAGCCAATTAAATCTCTTTTCTCTATAAATTACCCAGTCTCAGCTATTTCTTTATAGCAGAACAGCCTAACACAGAAAATTGGTACCAGAAGTGGGGCTTTACTATAAAGGTACCTCAAAATGTGGAAACAACTTCAGAACTAGGTAACAGGTAGAGGTTGGAAGAGTTTGGAGGGCTCAGAAGAAGACAGGAAGATGAGGGAAAGTTTGGAACTTCTTAGACACTGATTAAATTTTTGTCACCAAAATTCTGAAAGTGATATGGACAATGAAGTCCAGGCTGCTAAGATCTCAGATGGAAATGAGGAACTTATTGGGAACTAAGGCAGTCATATGTGTTATGCCTTAGCAAAGAGCTTGACTGCATTCTGTTCATGCCGTAGGAATCTGTGGAAGTTTGGACTTCATAGTGATGATTTAGGGTATCTGGGAGAAGAAATTTCTAAGCAGCAAAAGGTTCAAGATGTGGTCTTACTGCTTCTAACAGCCTATGCTCAGATGTAGGAGCAAAGGAATGACTGAAAGTTGGAACTTATATTTAAAAGGGAAGCTGAGCATAAAAGTTTGAAAAATTTGCATGCTGGCCCTGTGGCAGAGAAAGAAAAAGCTTTTTCAGGAGAGGAATTCAAGCAGGCTGTGGAGCAACCACTTGCCAGTTATTCATGCAGCTAAAAGAGAGCCAAGTGCTAATATCAAAGACAATGAAGAAAAGGCCTCAAAGACATTTCAGAGACCTTCACAGCAGCCCCTCCCATCACAGGCCCAGAGGCCTAGGAGGAAAGAATGGTTTTCTGGGCCAGGACCAGGGCTCTGCTGCTCTGCACAGCCTCAGGACAGTGCTCCCTGCATCCCAGCTACTCTGGCTTCAGCTTTGGTTCAAAGGGCCCCTGGTACAGCTCAGGGTGCTACTTCAGAGTATGCAAGCCATAACCCTTGGCAGCTTCCACATGTTGTTAAGCTTGTAGGCACATAGAGTGCAAGAGTGAATGAGGCTTGGCAACTTCTGCCTAGATTTTAGAGGCTGTATGAGAAACCCTGGGTGTCCCGGCAGAAGCCTGCTTCAGGGGCAGAGCCCTCATAGAGAACCTCTACTACAGCAGTGCCAAGGGGAAATGTGGGGTTGGAGCCCCCACACAGAGTCCCCAATGGGACACTGCCCAGTGATGCTGTGAGAAGGAGGCCATTGTCCTCCAGACCCCAGAATGGTAAATCCACCAGCAGCTTGCACCCTGAACCTGGAAAAGCTGCAGGCACTCAACACCAGCTCTTGAAAGCAGCCATGGGGGCTGAACCCTGCAAAGCCACAGAGGTGGAGCTCCCAAGGCCTTTGGAGCCCACCCCTTGCACCAGTTTGCCTTGGATGTGGGATATGGAGTCACTGGAGATTATTTTGGAGCTTTAAGATTTAATGACTGCCCTGCAGCGTTATGAACTTCCGTGGAGCCTGTAGCTCCTTTCTTTTGGCTGATTTCTCCCTTTTAGAATGGGAATGTTTACTCAGTGCTTATACCTCCGATTGTATCTTGAAAGTAACTAACTTGTTTTTAATTTACAGGCTAATAGGTAGATGGGATTTGCCTTGTCTCAGAAGAGACTTTGGACTTTTGCATTAATGCTGGAATGAATTAAGACTTTAGGGGACTATTGGGAATGCATACAAGGCGGGCTAGTATTTTGCAGTGTGAGACGGACATAAGATTTGGGAGAGGCCGGGGCAGAGTGATATAGTTTAGATATTTGTCCATGCCCAGATCTCACGTTGAATTGTAATCCCCAATGCTGGAGCGGGGGCCTGGTGGTAGGTGTTTGGCTCATAGGGGTGGATCCATGAAGGCCTGGTGCTGTCTTTGTGATAGTGAGCTCTCATGAGATCTAGTCATTTAAAAGTGTTCCTGCTCCTACTCTCTCTCTTGCTTCTGCTTCACCATGTGATGTACCTGTTCCCGTTTGCCTTCCACTATGTTTGTAAGCTTCTTGAGGCCTCCCTAGAAGCTGAACGGATGTCAACACTATGCTTCCTATAAAGCCTACAGAGCTGTGAGCCAATTAAACCTCTTTTCTTTGTAAATTATCCCACCTCGGGTATTTCTTTATAGCAGTGCAAGAACAGCCTAATACAAGATCAATTTAGCAAGAGGATATAATAATATATATGCACCCAACACCAGAGTTCCCAGGTATATAAAGGAAACATTAATAGATCTAAAGAGAAAGATAAATTGCAATACAACAATAATAGGGGACTTTAACACCCCACTATCATTAACGAACAGATCATCCAGATAGAAAATTAACAAACATCAAAGTTAAACTACACACTAGACCAAATTGGCTTAACTGACCTTTACAGGACATTTCACCCAAATGCTGCAGAATACTCATTGTTTTCATCAACACATGGAAAATTCTCCAGAATGGACCATATCTTAGGCCATAAAACAATCTCAACAAATTCAAAAATATTGAAATCATATCAAGTATCTTTTCTGACCACCATGGAATAAAACTAGAAATCAGTAAAAAAATGAATGTTAGAAAGTATGAAAACACATGGAAATTAAACAATATGCTCCTAAATGACCAAATGGTCAATGAAGAAATTAAGGAAATTAAAAAATTTCTTGAAATAAATGAAAATGGAAACATAACATACCAAAATCTATGGGATACGGCAAAAGTAGTACTAAGAGGGAAGTTTATAACAATAAGATCCTATATCAAAAATGTAGAAAGACTTCAAATCAACAAACCAACAATGCACCTCATGGAACTAGAAAAGCAAGAACAAACTAAACTCAGAACTAGTAGAAAGAAAGAAATAATAGAGATCAGAGCAGAAATAAATGTAACTGAGACCAAAACAAAACAAAACAGTTCAGAAGCAGCCTTATGGAGAGGTCTATGTGGCTAGAAACTAAAGGCCAATAGCCAGCAGAGAATTGGTGCCTTCTGCCAAGAGCCAGGTGAGTGAGCCATCTTAGATGCAAACCCCACTGCCTCATTCAAGCCTTCAGATGACTTTAGACCCTGGCTGACAGCTTAATTACAACTTCATAAGAAACTTGAAGCCAGAGTCACCCAACTAAGTCATTCCTGAATTCCTATTCACAAAAACTGATTATAAAGCCAAAGACTAAAAAACTCTTCAAACTATTTGCTTTAAATGGATGTACTTTAGTTTCTTGTTTTAAAATTATACCTCAATAGAATGAATTTTTTAAAAGCTTGATTGAGACCATGAGTGAAGAAAATATGTGAAATTACATTGTAAATTATAGATTGGCATTCAAATATGTTATTATCATTGTTTTAAGTACTTCCAGGGGTCCTTTATGTTATGTTATAGTTATGGCAACTAATAATCTGCACCTCTTTCATCAGGAGACTATTTATTCTGAAGTTATACCTACCTGGCCAGTGTACATTTAAGTTAATATTAAGTAGTCATTGCTCTACATATATGTCTGGACTAATTTCTCCAGTAGAAGAGTGGGGACTTCTGAACTGTTTGCTTGAGAACTCAGGGTTTAAACATACTATAGTTGCTACTTGACACTTTCAAAAATGGAGATAAATGAAGAAAGTATGATGGTATAATGTAACAAGTTTTGGACTTTATATCAAGGAAGCTAGGGTTCAGTCTCCACTCCAGCACAAATTCACAAAACTATCATGGAGAAATTACTCAAACTTCCCAGGATACTTTATAAATTTCTTCCTTTATAAAAGTGAAGTTATTAGACTAGGTGGTCTTAACTTCAGAATCCTTGATTGTATGAATTAGAACCCTAAAGGATTAGGGGATTATAATATATAGCGTAAAATAGCATAAATACAGCGTTAAAAGATACTTTTGTTTCTGATCTTATATGAATCTATCTCTTAGGTACTATGAAACTTCAAAGATAGAAGTTTAAAGCTGGGAGCAGGCTCATGCCTATAATCCCAATGGCTTGGGTGGCTGAGGTGGGAGGATTACTTGAGGCCAGAAGTTCAATATGAGCCTGAGCAACATAGGCCCTGCCTCTAGAAATTTTTTTCTTAAAGTTTAGTGCTTTCCTATGACCCTAGTTTTAAAAACAAGTATATTTAAGAGTTTAACGACCTGAAAGTAGCATTGGAACATTGTAGTACCAAAAAAAGAAAAATAATATGATTTTTAGACACTTGAACTTCCTGTTTCTCCTTTTAGCCATTAAAACATTTTTAGTCCCCAAATTCTGAAATTATCTGAAGTTATCTCTTAGATTACTAGATTTTTAGTCACAGTAAATAGGTACATGTGTCATAGGAATATATTTCTTTCTTAAATCTTCAAATAAAGATTTTAAAACAAATGTTTTTATACTTTTTCAAATGCTTTTATTCTTTGGTTTTGCATTTCATACCAGAAAGCTAGCTTTCCCTGATATATAGTTACATAAGAGTAGTAATCAGTGATCAGTACACATAAAAATTATTTTAAAATTTAGCTCATTATTTTCAAATTGTGCTTTCCTACACTGACATTAGCCTATGCTTAGTGCAGCTTTGGGATCATTTAGACCTAGATTCAAATCTCAGCTTTGTCACTTATCGGCCATATATAAGTTGTTCAAACTTTCTAAGCCTCAGTTTCATTTCTTTCTTTTTTCAAAATGGAGTGAAAATATCTGTCTTATGAAATTGTTCATTAAGGATTAAGTGAGCAAACACAAAAGTGCCTAGCACTGATAAATTTTTCTTTTATTCCTAAAAGTTAGCAAATTTAACAGTGCACTATTAGACCCAACAATTGGGTTTTCGTTTTAGCCCATATGAAGAACTAGTAACAGAAAGAAGATCAGTTTGCTCTCTTAATTTCCATCCTATTCCATTTGCACATAAAAGAATGGAAATAACCCACCCATTTCTTTGGCTTGATATATGGCTATTTTATATTTTTTCACATCGTTGGCACTGAATAGTTTTCATACATGGATTATTAGGTAGTCAAATCATTTTTATAAGTATACAATTTTAAACTATTTCACTAGTGCTTAAATTATTTCCATTTATTCTAGCACTAGTAACTAAATTTATAAAATATTTAATGAAAAGGCAATAATGACACTTTGTCACCAGAAAGATGCAGGTTTGAATCCCAATACTGGATGTGATCTTGGGCTAGCTGCATAATCTCTAAGCTTAAATTTCCTCGGCAATTAAATGATGATAATAATTATTTAGCATGGTACATGGAACATAAACACTCAAAAAAAGTTGTATATCATCATCATTATTAAGTGATAATAATATATTTAACCCTATATGGATTATGTATGGATTAACCTTATATGGGTTAAATCTGTAACCCATATAGATTACTCTTGGTGATTTCTAATTCTAACCACTCTAGCTGACTTTTAGTGATTTCCGATTCTAACCAGAGTTTTCAAATCTATGTGAAGAATAAACCTATTATTCAAAAGCACATACTTTGTTGATGGCAGACCAATAATATTATCTTTTTGTTACATGGAAATTTGAAGCAATAGGTTTATGTTACTAAGATTCTTGACAAACAGCTTTACCAAATTCATCATCAGTGTTGGGCTATGCCAGTCTAACTTGGTGGAAAATTTGAATCATGAAATATTTAACGTATAATAAGTACATTTGTTTACCTCCTGTGAGACTTATCACAGCGGTAAGTACATTGTAGGCAGTGTACTAATTACTTTATTAATGTTGACTTAATTTCTATATGTTGGGAGAATTAAAAATGTATAGCATTCTTCATGTACTAGCAAATGGTATTCTGAAAGTTAATAAGAAAGAAATTAATTCATTTTAACTTCTTAGAGGGTCAAAAAATTAATTCACAAATATTAAAAATCATTTTTACCAAGCCTTGTTACAGATTCTGAAAATGAGATTCAGATGAGAAGAATAATTTTCTTTGTCTCTGTTTAGCTTAGAGGACATATGCCTGTTTTTTTTGCATTTAATTTTTACACTTAGCTTTTTAAAAAATAGTTTTTTCCTTAGTACAGTAACGTGTACCTCCCTGAAAAACTTCAGGCAATTTGGAGAACAAAATAAAAATTACCCACAGTTTTGCTCCCCTGCATTACCCACTGTGAACATTTCAGTCTGTCTCTTCTAGGCTCTATTTTTTAACAATGTATGTACATCCACCCCCATAAACATGGTAGGACCATGTCTGTCTATGTTACTACATTAAACTTATAGCGCCACTTTATCAATTGCCTTATGACTTTTTCTATTAGGGTCTTAATTTTTTAGCTTATTTTTAAGTGTTCTTTTATGTCAGACATACATAACATGTCAACATATATATAGCGTATACATAACAAAGTCCTGTGACACTTATTTGTGGTACTTTTTTCCTGTCATACAAATTTTCAATTTTTATTTAGTAAAATCATTTTTTTTTCTTATTTATATGTTTTGGTATTCAGCTTAGAAAGACCTTTCACCTCAAGATTATGTAGGTATTTAAACTTTTTTTTTTAAGTTCTTTTGTGATTTTTGTTTTGTTTTTCTAGTTCTTATGTGGTTTTATTTTACATTTAACTCTTAATCCTTTGCTAAACGCTTAAAGTACTTTGAAGGCCTAATCTAGGAAGTAGGAAAATACAGTTGTCCCTCAGTATTCACAATGAGGATTGGTTCCAGGGCATCCCCCACCTCCCAGCAGACAGCAAAATCTTTGCATACTCAAGTCCCACAATCCTGTGAAAACCAAGTATACAAAAAGCCGGCCCTCAGTATCTGCGGGTTTCACATCAGACAAATACCTCATTTTCCATCTGCCTTCAGTTGCAGATGCAGAACCCGTAGATGTGGAGTGCTGACTGTTTTTATTGAGAAAAAAAGCCGGGCGCGATGGCTCACACCTGTAATCCCAGCACTTTGGGAGGCCAAGGCGAGTGGATCACGAGGTCAGGAGTTCAAAACTAGCCTGACCAAGATGGTGAAACCTCATCTCTATTAGCCAGGCACAGTGGCGGGCACCTGTAATCCAAGCTACTCAGGAGGCTGAGGTTACAGTGAGCTGGGATCAGGCTACTGCACTCCAGCCTGGGTGACAGAGTCTCTGTCTCAAAAAAAGAAAAAAAAAAAGGAAAAAAGAAATCCAGATATAAGTGGATCTACACAGTTCAAATCTGTGTTATTCAAGGGTCAATTATGTATGCATAGGTAAACCCAATAGTTGTTACCTACTTTTTCTTTCTTTTTTTTTTTTTTTTTTTTTAGAGATGAGTCTCACTCTCACCAGGCTGGAGTGCAGTGGCACAATCTCGGCTCACTGCAACCTCCGCCTCCCGGGTTAAAGTGATTCTCCTGCCTCAGCCTCACGAGTAGCTGGGACTACAGGTGCATGCCACCATGCCCAACCAATTTTTGTACTTTTAGTAGAGATGGGGTTTCACCATGTTGTCCAGGATGGTGTCAATCTCTTGACCTCGTGATCTACCTGCCTCGACCTCCCAAAGTGCTGGGATTACAGACGTGAGCCACCACGCCTGGCCTGTTACCTACTTTTAAGTGTCCTGAAATGTAACTCTTCCAAGGTTTGAAAGTCTAAAGTTACAGAATCAATCATGTTATCTTAGTTTTTTGGTTTTGGGTTTTTTTTTTTTTTTTTGAGATGAAGTCTCGCTCTTGTCCCCAGGCTGGAGTGCAATGGCAAGATCTCAGCTCACTGCAACTTCCATCTCCCAGATTCAAGTGATTCTCCTGCCTCAGCATCCCAAGTAGCTGGGATTACAGGTGCCTGCCATGATGCCCGGCTAATTTTTGTATTTTTAGTAGAGATGGGGTTTCACCATGTTGGCCAGGCTGGTCTCGAACTCCTAACCTCAGATGATCCGCCTGCCTCAGCCTCCCAAAGTGCTGGGAGTACAGGCGTGAGCCATGGCGCCCAGCCTTTTTTGTTTTTTTTTTTTGTTTTTTTTTTTAAGGTTAGGTAATGAACCTTAGGTGCAGTAGTGAACATGGGAGCAAGAGAAGAATAAGGAGTTCAATCTGTTAACTGATTGTGAAGAGTCAATTAGGATTAGGATAAGTCTCTACCTTCAGACCAGGCTTATCTTAGTCTTTAGTGTCACCTTTGCTGAAAGTAAGAGAGGGGCTAATGGTAGAAAGCCTTCAGGGTCTGAAAAAGATTAAGGAAGACCACCAAAGAGCAACAATTTACATCTTAATTATTACTTTTAAAAGCTAGCCTTTGTTTATATTTTCTAAAGTCATCACACTACATAAACAAATATTCCAAGACATGTAGATATGAGAGATAAGTATATTGCCTATGTATATAAATACATAGAGTTCTCCTCTATTTTACATTACTTTTCTTCCCACTAATGACTTAAGTTCCCCCAAAGACTTTACATCTTGTCCTGCCATTGAGAAAAGGATTGAGATCTCAACTATTTCCTCCTGTTAACTAGGTCCCTTCTTGGTTTAGGGCTGCCCACTTACCAACCTTTGCCATTTGGCTCTCTATCCCTGTTATTAGAATAAATCCCTGGCTAGTGTACTGACTTAATTTTCAACTTTCTTTCATGCCTGGAGGGTTGGGGTGGGGGTAGTAGCAGAATATGGGGAATTTTTCTGGATCGTTTCTGCACTTTCCTGGAGATAAGGGAAGTTTTGGGGTTGGGTTTGGAGGTATTACCTCAGACCTCTTCCACCATTCTGTTGTGACAATCAAATCAGACTTCCTAGTACCAGTATTAGGTTTTTTCCCTCTACTTCAATAGAAGAAACCTTAGTTTAGTTCTCTGAATCCTCCTTTTTTTTTTTTTTTTTTTTTTTTTGAGACAGAGTCTTGCATCTTCCCCCAGGCTGGAGTGCAATGATGCGATCTTGGCTCACTGCAACCTCCACCTCCCAGGTTCAAGCAATACTCCTGCCTCAGCCTCCCAAGTAGCTGGGATTACAGGCATGTGCCAGCGCACCCGGCTAATTTTTGTATTTTTGGTAGAGACGGGGTTTCACCATGTTGGCCAGGGCTGGTCTCGAACTCCTGACACCAAGTAATCCGCCCACCTTGGCCTTCCAAAGTGCTGGGATTATAGATGTAAGCCACTGCGCCCAGCTGAATCTTCCTCTTCAGTATCTTTGTGGCACTGTTTTCTTCCCTTTCATCAGTTGGTAAATGCTTTAAGTACTTTGAAAGCCAAATCTAAAGCTTTCAAATAAGGAAGTAGAGGTATGGGTCAACACAATAGCCATTACCTATTTTCATTGTCCTAAAAATATTTCTTCACTCTTCCAATACCTAAAAGTCTAAAGTTAGAGAATCATTTAGCTCATCTTCGTTTTAGAATAGCATTTGCTGAAGGCAAGTATAGGAGATCAGAATATGCCACCCCAAAATATGTCACTCTGGCATAAGAATTATTTTGAGCTGAAGGCACTCGAGAAATAGCAAATGCAGGAAGAACTCTGTGACCTCTCAAATGTTCTTATCTAAAAGCAGGTTATAAAATTTCCCATGAGAAAAGTGTTCTTCCTGAACCAGGAATAGAAGAACATTCTTAACACTGGAGACTGGGAGTTACTGCCAAAAGAGAACTAAACAAACAAACTACACAAACTGAAAACAATCCTTATCTTCCACTGGTTTCCCCCATATATTTCCTGGTCACTGCCTCACAATGTACTGCCCCTAGCCTAATACCCTTTGTCTTGTATCCTCACAATTTATCATTCTTTGTTTTAAAAGGTATACACACTTTTGAGCCTAACTGCTTTTTCAGACATTCATTTTCCTTATGAGGGCTCCCATGCATGTAAAAATATTAAATAAAACTTGTATGCTTTTTCCCTGTTACTCTGTCTTATGTTAGTTTAATTCTCAGGCCCAGCCACAGAACCTAAGAGGGTAGAAGAAAGTTTTTCCTCCCCTATACAAGAAAGGGGCTTATTTCGTCTCCTGCCTTAAGCTGGTCAATGGTACTTCACACAGCTTGAGCTTCCAGTCTTCCAAACCAGACCTTTTTGGAACTGAAACAAAATCATATCATTTTTTTTTTCTCCTTGAATGAGTACCTAGATCTTAGAAATAGAAGTCATATTATGAAGATCTTATTTTGGAATTCTAAGCAAGAATTTAGCTCTTTTATTTTAGGTTTTATCTGTTCTCCTATATGAGAACAATATTTATAAATTAGGAGAAATGGTAAAAGAAAGTTAACAATGGGGAGTAAAAAGATCAACGTTTCAATATCTAAAAATATTCTGTTACAGTTGCTTTTATGATCATTTTGAAACAGGATACTTCTACTGCACTTACTGTGTGCAACTGTAGGAGAATTACATGTGACGTATCCTTTTAAGAACTTCTACTTATTTTTTGATCACATCTTCGATAACTTTGAATGTATAGTCTGAGGGTGTTTCCTTTTTATTTTGGCTATTTAATGAATTGGTTCTTATATAACTATAATGATCATGAATCTTCTTTGTAAATAAGTTACTTTCAGTTACACTCATTTAGGACTTGAAAATTGCAGACTGTAGTGATGGAAAGGGGGAAGTGAGAACTAGAGTTAAACAAAACAGAACAAGATTATGGTAATATCAACAGAAATTAAAAATAGGAGGTCAGGTGGCTTTTGTTATCTATGCCAGTTGTAGGGATTGTGTCTTTTCTTGCTGGTTTAGTAATTTTGGTGCCTATTGTTAAATGTGATAACATCCCTGGCCAGATTTTTGTTCAGGGCCCACTTACAAGTCTGCAATAGGGAAAGTGGGGACAGGCTGCATCTAAAAGGGCTTTACTCAAGGCCTTGTCCGTCGAGTTCACTAATATAATCCGAATATGTAGTAGAGTGGTTGGCATATAGGTGCTCAAATAATGATAATAATAAGATTAATAATAAAATCAGCTGACAGTTATATGATTCTTAGTACATATTGAGCACTGTTATAAGACTTTTAGATATAGGCCGGGCATGGTGGCTCACACCTGTAATCCCAGCACTTTGGGAGGCCAAGATGGGCAGATCACCTAGGTCAGGAGTTTGAGACCAGCCTGGCCAACATGGTGAAACCCTGTCTCTGCTGAAAATACAAAATTAGCCAGGCATGGTGGTGCATGCCTGTAATCCCAGCTACTCAGGAGGCTGAGGCAGGAGAATCTCTTGAACCTTGGAGGCGGAAGTTGCAGTGAGCCCAGATTGCACCATTGCACTCCAGCCTGGGTGACAAGAGTGAAACTCCATCTCAAAAAAAAAAAAAAAAAAAAAAAAACAAAGACTTTTAGATATATTGATTCATTCATTTCTCCCAACAATCTATGAGGTGATATTGTTAGTACAGTATCAATATCACCTCATTTTTACAGATGAGGAAATTGATGCACGTAAGTTAAGTGATTTTCCCAAGTTCTAATGGCTAACAGCTGGTAGAACCAAGATACAAACTTAAGCTGTCTGGCATTGGAGTCCACCTCTTAACCACTAAGCTGCATCTTTTGTTTGTTTATTGTTTATGATATTGATTGAATGAATGAATGAAGCCTGCAAGGGTATTGCCAACATGAAAACATTGTCAGAGAGAAAAGAAGTCAAGCTGATAGTTGAAAGAGATGAGGATGTATGTTGAGCCAGACAGGTCAAGTGAAGATGTAGTAGTAAAATGAACATCAAGGTTGGGGAATCCCTGTCAGTGGGAAGGCAAGAGAAGGAGAAAGAGAAGGAAAGAGATACAATCCAGATCAGGTATTTCTCAAAGAAACATTCCGCAAGTCTTTTTTCTTACCCTGTTGGTATAAACAAGTGGCACACCTACTTTATCAGATTATAAGAAAACAGCTATTTTCTCATAAGAAAATTGTTTAATGCATCCACATCCTTACACAATAGATTCTAAGTGGCATTATGATAAATTTGCATATGTACACACACTGTTTACTTAAATTTATGGTAACTATATTTTGCAAATGAAAAGATCAGAACATATGATAAGATCAGAACATATGATAAGATCAGAACATGTGATATGACCAAACTTCTTCTGGTTTGGTGACATGTTTATATAAGAAGTCTTACAAATACATACACATTAATATGCCTAGTGTTCCATTAATGGAATGCTAAGCATGTGGGAGTCATTTATATCCTACTGCTCAAGGTCATCACCAAGGTCTGACTGTAAAAATTCAAAAAATTGCAACCTCAGGCATAAATGGGTTAAATCACATTATGTTTGAATGTTATATATATTTAAAACTATGTTACAACTAACACATTTTTGCATCATTTTTATCATAAGTGACTAATTTTTTCCCAACATTTGTTGGCATATGTCAGAGTAATTTATTTGGAACACTGCAGTTTTATTGACCATCAGTGACTTTTCTGATATTCATTTATCAGCAAAAATGATCTCTGCATCCTTGCTCAGAATTAGACCAGGCAGTTGTACATTTTTGCATACTACTGATGTTTAAATTACCACAATATTTACATGCCCAATATCTTTGACCTCTAAAAAGTTTATCTTTAAACTATTCAGTTAGCAAATTCTTTTTTAAAAAAATATTTTTTATTTATGGACTTAGGGGTACAAGTACAGTGGTGTTACATGGATATATTGCATAGTGGTGAATGCTGGGCTTTTAGTGTACTCATCACCCAAATAGTGTACATTGTACTCCATAGGATCATGTTTCATCTGTACCTGCCTCCCACCCTCCCACCTTTTGGAGTCTCCAGTGTTCATTATTTACTCTGTATGTCTGCATGTACCCGTTGTTTAGCTTCCACTTATAAGTGAGAACATGTGGTTTTTAACTTCCTGAGTCATTTCACCAAGGATAATGGCCTCTAGTTGCATCTGTGTTTCTGTAAAAGACGTTCTTTCTTTCTTGTTTCGTATTTTGTTTTTGTTTTTTGTTTTTTTTGCTAGTATTCTATGGTATATATGTATACCATACTTTTAAAATCCAGTTATCCATTGATGGACACTTAACTTGATTCCACGACTTTGCTATTGTGAATAGGGCTGTGATAAACATACAAGTACAGATTTTTTTGATACAATGATGTCTTTTTCTTTGGGTAGGTACCCAGTAGTGGAATTGCTGGGTCAAATGGTAGCTGTATTTTTAGTTCTTTGAGAAATCTCCATACTGTTTTCCATAGAGGTTGTACTAATTTACATTTCCACCAGCAGTATATAAGTGTTTCTTTTCTCTGCATCCTCACCAATGTTTACTGTTTTTTGACTTTTTAATAACCGCCATTCTGACTGGTGTAAGATGATATTTTATTGTGGTTTTAATTTGCATTTCTCTGATGATTAGTGATATTGAGCGAGCAAATTCTTATTGGGATGTAATTTAAGAACACAAAATTTACCATAAACACCATCATGTGACAAAGTGGGAAGAGAAGTTTCAAAAAAGATTTGTATTTTTGCTAAGTCATCTCACTCAGGGTTGTTTAAAAACCAAATCCAATATAAATATCTTAAAAGTTAAGATAACTCAGAAAATTAACATAAAACTGATCTAAGTCACAGTGAATATTATTGTTTAGCCATTTGTTTTTTCTGGGTTTTTTTGCCTTCACCAAAAATTGTAAGTTTTATGTTCTAAATTTGGGTGTAAGAACAGATATTCGCATATGCTTCTCTATTTTGGAAATAACAGGATCCACAGTTTATTTAAAGATTATCAAAAAATATTTAAGAACAATGGGTCATTTTCAAATGATAATGCTCAAATCTTTGAACTTATTTTTACTAGTATATTTTCTTTTTTTTCTTTTTTTTTTGAGACGGAGTCTCGCTCTGTCGCCCAGGCTGGAGTGCAGTGGCGGGATCTCGGCTCACTGCAAGCTCCGCCTCCCGGGTTCACGCCATTCTCCTGCCTCAGCCTCCCAAGTAGCTGGGACTACAGGCGCCCGCCACTACGCCCGGCTAATTTTTTGTATTTTTAGTAGAGACGGGGTTTCACCGTTTTAGCCGGGATGGTCTCGATCTCCTGACCTCGTGATCCGCCCGCCTCGGCCTCCCAAAGTGCTGGGATTACAGGCGTGAGCCACCGCACCCGGCCTACTAGTATATTTTCAAGAGCACTTAGACTCCCAAATCTTATATACAAACATGAAAAAACTAGTGCTGCACTATAATAAAATCACAGATTTACATCATATACATATAAGAACATATTAATTTTTTTTTGAGATAGGGTCTCACTCTGTTGCCCAGGCTGGAGTGCAGTGGCACAATCATGGCTTACTGCAGCCTTGAACTTCTAGGCTCAAGCAATCCTCCTGCCTCAGCCTCCTGAGTAGCTAAGACTGCAGGCACACACAACCATGTCTGACTAATTAATTTTTTAATTTGTGGTAGAGATGGAGTCTCACTATGTGGTCCAGGCTGGTGGCAAACTCCTGACCTTAAGTGATCCTCCCATCTTGGCCTCCCAAAGTGCTGGGATCACAAGTGTGAGCTACCTCACCTGGCCAGTGTTAATATTTTTATGATAATTTCAATTCAGCTTGAAGAATATCAGACATGCTTTCAGTTATTAAATTTAATTCCGAGTTCAGGAGTTCAAGACCAGCCTGGCCAATATGGTAAAACCTTGTCTCTACTAAAAATACAAAAATTAACTGGGTATGGTGGCCTGCGCCTGTAGTCCCAGTGACTCAGGAGGCTGAGGAGGAGAGTTGCTTAAACCCAGGAGGTAGAGGTTGCAGTGAGCCGAGATCGCGCCACTGCACTCAGCCTGGGCAACAGAGGGGGACTCCATCTCAAATAAAATAAAATAAAATAAAAGTAATCCATGCTCACGATATAAGGTTCAGATGTTATAGAAAGTTTGGATGTGAGATGTTTAAACAAAATCTATTTTCTCTGACTCTTACTTCCGTTACATAGAAATTTTCTATGCTATACATATATATTCCTTTTGGTAGACAAATGACATCCGCTCCATTATTAACTTATATTTTGCAGATGTGTGCTTTGCAACCAATCCTCCCCCATATTTTATTACAGTTAAGACATAAGTTATAGAAAAGTTTTCAGAAATCTATGCCTTTTGTAGCTCTAAGATTTATCATTAGCAAACTAATTTATTAGTTAGTCAGCTTGCCACCAAAACCAGAGAAAACAGCCATTTAACTAGCCATTTGTCTCAACCACAATTTTTCATATGTAATTCTGTAGTTAAATAAGAAGATATTATTATATGATAGAAACCACTATGACAGTTTCCCAATTTCTATGATATAGCTTTTCTAGTTCCTATAGTAAGACTTTTTCAATTTTGATAACAGCTGTGAAAAATAGTTTTGAATAAGGAAAAGATGTTTGAGTAGCATACATTAAAATTAAGAACTCTCATTCATCAAAAGACAAAAAGAGTGAAAAGACAAGCTACTGTGAAAATATATTACATCTCACTCTGTCACCCAGGCTGGAATGCAGTGGTGCCATCTCAGCTTACTGCAACCTCCGCCTCCCAGGTTCAAGCAATTTTCCTGCCTTGGCCTCCCGAGTAGCAGGGACTACAGACGTGCACCACCACACCTGGCTAATTTTTGTATTTTCAGTAGAGACGGGGTTTCACCATGTTGGCCAGGCTGGTCTCGAACTCCTGACCTCAGGTAATCCACTCGCCTCAGCCTCCCAAAGTGGTGGGATTACAGGTGTGAGCCATTGCGCCAAGATATTTGCAACATGTAATTGACAAAGATATTTGCTACGTATAATTGACAAAGGATTAGTGTCTTGAACATATAAAAAATTCTTACCTATAAGTTAGTAAGAAGATGAGCAACACCATAAGGAACTGGGCAAGAGATTTGAAAAGCACTTCGCAAGTGGTTACTGATAATGGCCCATAAACAGTCTAAAAAATACTCAACCTCACTGTAATCAGAGAAGTGCATATTAAAACTACAAGTAAACTTAGCTGCTTGGCTTAAATTTAAAATTCTGAGAATATCAAACATTGACAGGAATATGGAGCAATTGGAACACATATACTGCTGATGAGCGTATAAATTGGTAAAAAGCACATTAGAAAATAATTTGACATAAATAATATAGTAATATTTAATTAAGTAATATTTAATTAAATATATATACACACATAACATATATATATATATATATATAACATTGAAGATCCCAACATTCCACATCTAAATGTGTGTGTGTATATACACAGACACACACACACATCCATTAGAACCTCTTGCATATGTGCACCAGGACAGTTGTGCAAAATGGTTGTAGTAGCACTGGGTAATATAAAGAACCGAAAAAAAAACCTCCAAATGTTCATCAACAGTAAAATGTATAAATATATTGTGATACCTTTATATAATGGAATGCTACATAGCAATAAAATGCATGAATTACAGCTGCATGAAAGAACTTGAATGAATCTCAGCAGTACCATGTTGAACAAAATAAAAGTAAATGAATACTTAAAGCATTATTTAATTAATACAAATTTCAGAATGTTCAAAAGTAAACATAAGTTGAGCTGCAACTGTATGTGGTACAGTTTTTCTTTAGTACCCTAAAGAAAAGCAAGAAAATAAAATACACAAAAGTGAGGAAAGTGGTGACCGCTAAGGGACAGAGGTGAAAGAAAGAAGCTCAGGAAGGGGTACACAGGACTTCAATTGTGATGTTATTTTTTTTCTTAAACTGGGTGATGGAATATAAATATTCATTTTTTGTTATTCATATGTTATATACTTTATAAATATTCTTTCCTGCCTACTCAACATTTAATAAAAATTATAAAAATAATTATATGAAACAAATTTAAATTTAACTTTCTAATATAATCAAAAAACCTGAAAATGATTATCTTGTAAAATTATACATGCTTTCCCTTCCTTAGGGATAGTAGCTACATTTCCTAGAAATAATGCTGTAAAAATGAGTTAGATAACCAACTGCTATTTCAGAAAGATGTGGTTACTTCCTTCATTAGAAATATTCCAAATAATTAGACTTTATTTAACAGATCAATTTATTCTTTGCCATAATTCTTAAATGTACACTGATTTTTTTTCAGAATTATAGTGGTATTTATACATTTCTCATTAGCAGTCCTAAGCATGCTTTAAATCATTAAGAAAATATTTAGAAATTGCCATTCCCAAATACTGATATTTTTCAAAAGTAAGTGCTACTATTGATACATTACTAGATTTTGCTGAGTAAAGCTCTTTCTACACACAAACATGTTGGCCACCTGCAACTGTTTGTCAGTGGACTTGGTTTGAGAACACTAGTAGTAATTGTAAACTTAGGAATGTGTGACAAGCTAACAGCCAGCTGTGCATATCCTGACTTTTCCCAGGTGTTAAAATAAATATGACCATTTGGTTCACTTGTAACTCAACAAAATATTTCATGATTCATTAGCTTGAAAATCCACTTACAGTTTTTTGAGTAGGTAATGTTATATTCATTTGAAATGAAAAACATATACCCAGAAATATTTGTGGTATTATTACTTATAATATTAAATGGTCTTTTCATAAAATGAAAATAATGTAACATTTATGTAGGTTTTTTTCATATTCTTTGTATAGGGAAACACCAGTGAGCCACTTCTGCCTATAGGCATCAAAAAGAATGAAAATGTGTTTCATATTCAATTAGAGTTCAACTTGCCTTGGCAGAACTGAGTTCCAAACTGATCTTACATTAATTACTATCTTTGTTACATATCACGTGTTTGATCATTATCTGATAACAATTATTATTGATTGAACACCGGCTGTTAGGTTGTTAGCTCAAGAGACCCAGATGCCTAAATCTTTCCTTGACTAAACTACCCATCCTTATAAGGTTTCTGAGGGAGAATATACATACAAAAGACAACTGCAACTGGGAAATACAAATCCATTTTACTATTAAATTATCATTGATCTGAAACTCCAAAGCTAGGGTTCCCAGATAAACTGGAGTGAAATACGTGGCTTAGGCAGCTCCTCCCCTCTTCTCCAAATTAATGAACTGAAGAACAGCAAAGAGGATGTAGTGAGCTGAAAGAGAGAAATGAGCTAATAGAGCTCCCTTGCCTCTGCCCCCTTCTATTACACACTTTTATTTCTTATCTTTTAACACAGTGATTACTAGGACCCAAGCTTATGATAAAGCAAGAGTGACTCTACCCCTTGAAAGAGAAGATTCATTCTGGCTTTTCTCAGATAAGAGGATAAGTTATCATAACTGGTCAGATTTCTGGCCCTAATTAAGCTTCTTTAATTTGTGGCAGAGACACACTGTATTTTTTTTTTAAAGATGTACACAGATGCAGCCTGCTTTCTTTCTCTTGAGTGAGATCTGCCATGTGGCTAACCAGAGGATAGTAAGGTCAGGGGAGTAAGGTCCCTGACCCCACCTTTGTGTACTTAACTCCCTTGTTAGTTACCACTGCTTTTTATAAAAGTATACTGGGCCTACAGAGATTCCTTTCTTGGAATCAATTAAAAGAGACTATTGGTTAACTCTGACTCCAGACTAGAAACAAAATGTATGCCCATTCTACTTTCCATTCCAAATATTGCCCAGCTTCACACTCTAGCCTATACCAGATTTTAGAAGTTGGCACTAGGGTTTTGCCCAGTCTTTGAGCAGTATTGTCTTTGATCAATATTTAGAAGTGCATAAATTCTGCCTCATTAGGTTTCAGGGGCAGTATAACATATAAGACAAGTGCGAGAAACAAAGTGGATTCCTTCTACTCCTTTTAATCAGGTCTTCATACCAGTTCCAGCCTTATAGAAGAGAAGGGAGGAACCCACACCCGTGTTCTTTGCACACATACATACCCCAATATAGAATCAGATTAATGTTTATTCCCTGGGAAGTGGGTGGAGAGGGCCAGGAGAAGGTGGAGGGAGCTCAGATATGGTCTCTACCCAAAAGACTAACTCAGTTATGCCAGACACTGCCAAATACACTGGCTTCACAGCATAGGAGTGCACTTATACTAGTTTATTGGTCTCAGAAATATACTTCAAATAAGACTGCCTTTACCATACAGAGAACAGTTTTTATTTTTTTAATACTAAAAGATACACCATTCCTGTTTCTGGGAAAAATCATATATAAATCTTATATAAAGCTCTTTAAAACATATATTTTATAGGTCAAAATTATGGTTTAATTTACCTCATAAGTCCCAGGTTCTTGACATTTTAAGGTGCTTTGTGACCTTAAAGTATCAGACTCGGCTGGGCATGGTGGCTCACACCTGTAATCCCAGCACTTTGGGAGGCTGAGGTGGGTGGATCATGAGGTAAGGAGTTCAAGACCAGCCTGGCCAACATAGTAGAAACCCTGTCTCTACTCAAAATACAAAAATTAGCCAGGCATGGTGGAGCACACCTGTAGCCCCAGCTACTCGGGAGGCTGAGGCAGGAGAATCACTTGAACCTGGGAGGTGGAGGTTGCAGTGAGCCCAGATCACACCACTGCACTCTAGCCTGGGTGACAGAGCGAGACTCTGTCTCAAAAAAAAAAAAAAGTATCAGACTCACCGAGGGTATATTTAAAACCACTTTGAAATTCAATGTATTTTCATACAAATGAATGGCCATTATTCTTGTTACAGAGAATTTTATCAATCTAATGGAAACTGTGAAAACCATATTAAAATACAGTCATGTGACACATAATGCTGTTTCAGTCAACAATGAACAGCATATATAATAGAGGTTCCATAAGATTATAATACATATTTTTACATATTTTTAAATATTGAGATATTTTTAGATACATAAATACTTACCATTGTGTTATAACTGCCTACAGTATTAAGTACAGTAACACACTGCACAGGTTTTTAGTCTGGGAGGAATAGGCTCTCTCATATAATGTAGGCATGCAGCTTATACCATCTAGGTTTGCGTAAGTATACTCTATGATGTTTGCCCAAAGATGCAATCCCCTGATGATATATTTCTCAGGATGTATCCCTGTCATTAAGTGACACATGGCTATATATGAATATGTTACTGTTAGAAACACTAAAGGCTAGAATTAATGATTATCTTCATTTTCAATATCATGATAAAGGAAGAAATGTAAAAAATATTGGAAAAGAAAAAACAAGAACTATTACTAACAGATAACGTGAGTTCTCCTAAACAAAAAATAATCAATTGAAAAACTTTTAGATCTGACCAAATCTAAGATAAATATATACCTTACACTATTAACAGTGGTTACCTCTGGGCAGAGAAGAGAGATGTTGGGTTGGGGGATAAAGGCTGACAATTACTTTTTAATCACTGTATTTTGATATTGTTTGAACTTTTACCATGAGGATGTATTTGTAATATTAAAAACTAAACTAGGTTAACTCTTTACATAACATTTATTTTTAAAATTTTAGCAAAGCACTATGTAAGATGCTTCACTTTGTGTATTGGATATTTTTTATAACTGGGACCCATTATAATACATATATATTACATTTATATGTATATATAATACAATATAGAAGAAATCACATTTTACATTATTTTGGATGCTGTTTGATAGCATTTTACCTGTAGTAAAACTTCTTTCAAAATTGGAGTCAATCTTCTCAAGCCCTGTTACTACTTTATCAACTAAGTTTATGGACTATTCTAAATCCTTTGTTGTCATTTTAGCAATGTTCATAGCATCTTCACCAGAAGTAGATTCCATTTCAAGTACCCACTTTTTTGCTCATCCATAAGAAGCAAGTCTCACCTGTTCAAGTTTTCTCATGAGATTGCAGCAATTCAATCACATCTTCGGGCTTCACTTCTCTTTTTTTTTTTTGAGATGGAGTCTCACTCTGTTGCCCAGGCTGGAGTGCAGTGGCCGCGATCTCCACTCACTGCAAGCTTCACCTCCCAGGTTCACACCATTCTCCTGCCTCAGCCTCCCGAGTAGCTGGGACTACAGGCGCCCACCACCACACCTGGCTAATTTTTTTGTATTTTTAGTAGAGACAGGGTTTCACCTCGTCAGCCAGGATGGTCTCGATCTCCTGACCTCGTGATCTGCCTGCCTCGGCCTCCCAAAATGCTGGGATCACAGGCATGAGCCACCGCGCCCGGCCCAGGCTTCACTTCTAATTGCTATTGCTACTTCTCTTGCTGTTTCCACCATATCTGCAGTTACTTCCTCCACTGACATCTTGAACATCTCAAAGTCAGCCATGAGGGTTGGAATCAACTTCTTCAAACTCCTGTGAATGTTGAGAGTTTGATTTCCTCCCATGAATCACAAATGTTCTTAATGGCATCTAGAATAGGAGGTTGTCAGTTTACTTTGCCCAGGTCCATCAGATAAATCATTATCTATGGCAGCTATAGCCTTCTATAATATATTTCTTTTTTTTTTTTTGAGATAGGGTCTTGCTCTGTCACCCAGCCTAGAGTGCAGTGGTGCGATCACAGCTCACTGCAGCCTCGACCTCCCAGGATCAAACAATTTTCCCACCTCAGCCTCCTGAGTAGCTGGGACTACAGGTGCATGCCACCACACCCAGTTAATTTTTGTATTTTTTCTACAGACAGGCTTTTGCCATGTTGGTCTCAAACTCCCAGGCTCAAGCCATCCACCACCTTGGCCTCTCAAAGTACTGGGACTGCAGGCATGAGCCACCAAAGCTGGCTTTAAAATGTGTATTTCTTAAATAATAAGACTTGAAAGTCAGAATTCCTTCTTAATCCATGGGCTACAGAATGGATGTTGTATTAATGGGCATGAAAGCAACATTAAGTGCCTTGTACATCTCCATCAGAGCTCTTTTTTGGGTGATGAGGTGCATTGTCAATGAGCAGTAGTATTTTGAAGGAAGTCTTTTTTTCCTAATAGGTCTCAACAGTGGGCTTAAAATATTCAGTAACCCATGCTCTAAACAGATGTACTGTTATCAAGGCTTTGTTGTTCCATTTATAGAGCACAGGGTAGATTTAGCATAATTCTTACAGGCCCTAGGATTTCAGAATGGTAAACGAGCATTGGCTTCAACTTAAATCACCAGCTGCATTAGCCCTTAAAAAGAGAGTCAGCCTATCCTTGAAAGCCTTGTTTCCAAGCACTGACTTCGCTTCTATAGCTTTAAAAGTCCTAGATGGCATCTTCTTCCAATAGAAGTATTTTTTGTTGATATTGAAAATCTGTTGTTTAGTGTAGCCACCTTCATCAATGATCTTAGCTAGATCTTCTGGATAACTTGTAGCTTCTACATCAGCACTAGCTGCTTCACCTTGTACTTTTATGTTATGGATATGGCTTCCTTTAAAAAAAATATGAACCAACCTATGTTAGTCTCAAACATTTCTCCTGGAGCTTCTTTATCTCTCTCAACTTTCACAGAATTTAAGAGAGTTAGGGCATTTCTCTGGATTAGGCTTTGGCATAAGGGAATGTTGTGGCTGGTTTGATCTTCTATCCAGACAACTCAAACTTCCTCCTTACTGCAATAAGGCTGAATCACTTATTATTTTTTATGTTCACAGAAGTAGCACTTTTAATTTCCTTCAAGAACTTTTCCTTTGCATTCACAACTTGGCTAACTGTTTGCCATAAGGGGCCTAGCTTTTGGCCTGTCTTGGCTTTAGACCTGCCTTGTTTACTAAACTTAATCATTTCTAGCTTTTGATTTAAAGTGAGAGACATGCAACTCTTCCTTTCACTTGAACAGTTAAAGGCCATTGTAGGGTTCTAAATTGGCCTAATATCAATATTGTTGCATCTTAGGGTATAGGGAAGCCCAAGGAGGAGAGAGACAGGGAATGGCCAGTTGGTGGAACAGTCAGAACACACACAATATTTATTAATTAAGTTTGCCGTCTTATATGGGCCCAAGTTGTAGCATCCCAAAACAATTACAAAAGTAACCTCAAAGATCATTGATTACATATCTCCATAAGACATATAATAATAATGAAAAAGATTGAAATACTTAGAGAATTACTAAAATGTGATGTACAGTCAAAGTGAGCACAGCTATTAGAAAAATGGTGCCAATATCCAGAATCTACAAGGAACTCAAACAAATTAGCAAGAAAAAAACCAACAGTCCCATCAAAAAATGGACCAAGTACATGAATAGAAAATTCTCAAAAGAAAGTGTACAAATGGCCAACAAACATACAAAAAAATCCTCAACAGCATGAATGATCAGGGAAATGCAAATCAAAACCACAGTGTGATACCACCTTACTCCTGCAACAGTGGCCACAATAAAAAAATAAAAAAAAAAATAGATGTTGGTGTGGATGTGGTGAAAAGTGAACACTTCTACACTGCTGGTGGGAATGTAAACTGGTACAACCACTATGGAAAACAGTGTGGAGATTCCTTAAAGAACTAAAAGTAGAACTATAATTTGATCCAGCAATCCCACTACTAGGTATCTACCCAGAGGAAAAGAAGTCATACAAAAAAGATACTTGAACACACATGTTTATAGAAGCACACTTTGCAATTGCAAAAATGTGGAATCAGCCCAAATGCCCATCAATCAATGAGTGATAAAGAAATTGTGGTATATATGTATGTATGTATGTGTGTGTGTGTGTGTGTATGTGTATATATATATGATGGTATACTACTCAGCCATAAAAAGGAATGAATTAATGGCATTTGCAGCAACCTGGATGGGATTGGAGACTATTATTCTAAGTGAAGTAACTCAGGAATGGAAAACCAAATATTGTATGTTCTTACTCATACGTGGGAGCCGAGCTGTGAGTATGCAAAGACATAAGAATGATACAATGGACTTTGGGTACCTGGGGGGGAAAGGGTGAGAAGGGGGTGAGGGAAAAAAGACTACAAATTGGGTTCCGTGTGTACTACTCAGGTGATGGGTGCACCAAAATTTCACAAATCACTAAATAACCTACCCATGTAAACAAATACCACCTGTTCCCCCAAAACCTATGGAAATAAAAAAAGACAATTAGTGCCGATAGACTTGCTCGATGCAGGTTTGCAATAAACCTTCAATTTGTAAAAAATGCAATACCTTCAAAGGACAATAAAGCAAACTACAAAAAATGAGATATGCCTGAATATAATATTTTGAAATGACACAATTTTAGAAATGAAGAACAGATTAGTGGTCACCAGGAGTTTGGGATGGGAAGAGGAGGCAAGAGGAAGGTGGGAGTTGTTATAAAAGGATAACATGTCTTCTTGTAAAGCAACTGTTCTGTAACCTGATTCTGGTGGCGGTTAGACAAACTTACACATCTGATAAAGAAACTAAATACATACACAAATAAGTAAACCTGGGGAAATCTGAATAAGATTAGTAGATTGTATCAATGTCAATATGGTATGCTGGTTTTGATATTGTGCCATGATTTTGCAAGACAGTTCCACTATTAGTGGAACGTGCATAGAGATATATATTACTTCTTACAATTTTATGTGAATCTATAATTATCTCAATACAAATTTCAATTAAAAGGATAGCCAAGAAGTTAAGAAAAACCAATGCACAGACTCAGGTAGCTCAGCTAATCCCTAAGTGAAATAGTAAAGAAAACCTGCAACTAGAATGGTAAGACAGCTAAGTATTCATTCATTAAATTGCAATTTCCCTTTCTGCATAGTAATAGAAGTACCGATACATGGCTTCTCAAATACTCTACATTCTTCATTCTTCCTTATGGGTAAGTGTGACTTTGTACATAATTTCTTACCATTATAATGCTTTCAGCTGGGACCTTGTTTATTTATAAGCTATCTCCATTTTCCTTCCTCCTCCTATAAACCAAAGCAAGAATATGCCTGTGACCTGGTTTTCACCGTGGGTGGCAGAGAAACAAGATAGAAGAAACCTGGGTTCCTGGATAGCAATGTGGACCATAGCCACCTATCAACCTGGAATAGGGAACCTAGGTTGTCATTTTGAACTATTGTATTTTTAGCTTTCCTTGTTGTATATCTACAGTTTCCCTGAACTTGTACACCTAGACACATCAGGGTGTAACTTCAAAACCAAAAAGAAAAGGAAACTGCTAAAGGAGCTATGTTTTTCTGTCAACACAGACTTTGGAATGATATTTTTAATGAGCTAAAATAAAATCACCACAAACCTAAAATTCTACACCTGATGAAAAGATTCTTCAAAAACAAGGGTGAAATAAAACTATCGGACTAAAATAGAGATTATTATGAGAGAATGTCACCAAAAGAAATTCTCACAGATATACTTCATTTAGAAGCAAAATGATCCTATATAAAAGATTTGAGATGCAAAAAGAAAGCAGCTGTGCACAGTGGTGCACACCTGTAGTCCCAGCTACTTGGGAGGCTGAGGCAAGAGGATCACTTGAGCCCAGGTGTTCAATGGTATAGTGCACTATAATCACACCTGTGAATAGCCATTGCACTCCAGTCTGGGCAACATAATGAGACCCCATCTCTAAAAAAAATAAAAATAAAAATTTGAAATTAAAAAAAAAAAAGGAACATTGTCTAAAGTCATAATAAAGTTAAATGGTGAAAAAAGATACAGTTAAAATATTGGAGAGCAATAGCATATAAGTTGGAGGAAGCAAATGTTCTGTGTAATTCAGGAAAAAAAATTTTGATTAACATAAAGTGTTGATAAATTTGCACGTTGTGTGGAATATCACAGTTACCGCCAGAAGAATAAGGAACAGTGTGTTGTAAGTTGAGAGAGAAAAACAGAATGATCAAAAGTACTTAATTCAAAGGTAGATAAAAAAGGAAAGAAAGAAATATAGAAGAAGTGGGACAAATATCAAAGTGATAGATATAATTTCTGAGTTATAATAAGTGTGAACAGATTAAATGATATAGTTAAATATTCTATATTTATTTACTTATTGTAGAGACAGGGTCTTGTCCTGTTGCCCAGGCTGGAGTGCAGTGGCCTGATCATAGCTCTCTTTAGCCTCAAATTCCTGGACTCAGGCAATCCTCTTGCCTCAGTCTCTGGTGTAGCTAGGACTACAGGCAAGTACGACTATGCCTGGCTAAATTTTAAAATTGTTTTGTAGAGATGGCATCTCACTATATTGCCCAGGCTGGTCTTCACCTCGTGGCCTCAAGTGATTCTCCTGCCTTGGCCTCCAAGAACACTGGAATTATAGACATGAGCCAGTGCGCCTGGGCTAAATGCTGTAGTTACATATTTTTTACTGTACTTAAGCAACAAAGATTGTCTGGGATAAACAAAACATAGCTATGCACTACATACAATAAGCACATCTAAAATAAAAGGGTGCAGAAAGGTTGAGAGTAGAAGAATGAAAAAAGAAAAATTTTGCAAATACAAAGGCCCCCTTCATAAGCCCCCACTCCAAAATGTTTAAGACAAGAGCATTACTAGGATTGGAAGGTTTCTATCTAATTTTTAAAATTTCACTTCACCAGGAAGAGTAAGTTTCTTTTA
This sequence comes from Homo sapiens, assembly GCF_000001405.40. Lineage (NCBI taxonomy): Eukaryota > Metazoa > Chordata > Mammalia > Primates > Hominidae > Homo > Homo sapiens. Next base: position 189,968,820 of record NC_000002.12, read on the forward strand.
TATACTCTAATCAAGAAAGTTTTTTATAAAAATAGATATTTGTTTATTATACAAATAATACAAATTTATCATACAAATAATATTTCCTATAGTATAATACATATTATAGAAAAAATTAGAAAATACTAATATCTAAATAGGAATTCTTTTTCTGTTATCCAAATACCTGCAGAGTCAAATAGTATGAATATACTTAAGGCTTTCAAAACATATAGCACATGTATCATATACAAATATTTACTGTATAGGCAAATATACCATAAAAGCAGTACCAATTTGCCTTTTTACTTTCTTGCCCAGATCCAACTATGATCTAAGTGTTTTTTTCCCCAAAATCATATGTTGAAACATGTCAGCCCAAGGTGATAGTATTAAGAGTAGGTCCTTTGGGAGGTGATCAGGTCATGAGGGTGGAGCCTCATGGGGTCCCAGAGAGCTGCCTTGAGCCTTTCATCATGAGTTTATAGTGAGATGACTGCCTCTATGAAGGAAGCAAGCTCTCACCAGACGCTGAATCTGCTGGCACCTTGACCTTGGAATTCTCAGCCTCAAGAACTGTGAGAAATGTTTGTTGTTTGTGAACTATCTGGTTTATGTTATTTTGGTATCACAGCTTGAACAGACTAAGACACACCCACTCTACCATTACTAAAAATGATAAAATTTCTTGGGAGGCTGAGGCGGGTGGATCACGAGGCCAGGAGTTCACGACTAGCCTGGCCAAGATGGTGAAACCCCGTCTCTACTAAAAAATACAAAAGTTAGCAAGGCATGATGGCGGGCACCTGTGATCCCAGCTACTGGGGAGGCTGAGGGAGAAAGTTGCTTGAACCCAGGAGGCAGAGGTTGTGGTGAGCCAAGATCGCACCACTGCACTCCAGACTGGGCGACAGAGCAAGACTCCATCTCAAAAAAAAAAAAAAAAAAAAAGATAAAATTTCATTGAATTAATGTTATAAACATTTTGACCTAAGTTTTAGAATTATAGGTCCTTCCTTCCTCTTCTCTTCTCTTTTTCTCTTTCTTCTCTTTTTCACTTTCTTCTTCTTCTTTTTTTTTTTTTTTTTTTTGAGACAGGGTCTCACTCTGGTTGCCCAAGCTGGAGTGCAGTGGCACAATCTCAGCTCACTGCAGCCTCAATCTCCCAGGCTCAGGTGATTCTCCTACTTCAGCCTCCCAAGTAGCTAGGACTACAGGTGTGCATACACGGCTAATTTTTTGTACTTTTTATAGAGATGGGGTTTCACCATGTTCCCAGGCTGCTCTTGAACTCCTGGACTCAAGAGATCCACTTGCCTTGGCCTCCCAAAGTGCTGAGATTACAGGCATGAGCCACTGAGCCCAGCCATCAAGATACTCATTTCTATAGACATATGTAGTATATGTAGCATATGTCTATAGAAATATGCTATATGTCTAGCATATAACACAATGAATACCTATATATTCCCTCACCCAGCTAAGACATAAAACATTGCTAATGTTGAAACTCTGTGTAATTTTCCTGGATTATATTCCCTTTCAATCACTTCTCTAGGAGTTACCATTATATTTTATTTGATATTTATCATTCCCATATTTTTAGAATACTTTTATTAGTTATTTATCTCTTAGCAAATGATATTATTTTGCAAGTTTTTAAACTTAAGGTAAATGGCATCACAATGTATGTATTCTTCCACAGCTTGCCTTTTTTCATCAATACTGTGTTCGAGATATATATATATTAAAATGCATAACCCTATTTCATTCATTTTTACTACTGAGTAATAGTCCATGGTAATTTCATAATCTGTTTTTCTGTTGATAGCAATTTAGCTTATCAAGAACACTGCTATGTTAAACAATAATTCTATCAATATTTTTCCACAAATCTCCTAGGCAAGAGTATCTTTTGGTTAATGAGTGGAAATACTGGTCACAGGCTGTACGTATTTTCATAGAATGTTGCCACAGTATTTGTAGCAATTTCCATTCATCAGCATATAAAAGTTTATTTCTATACATCCTCACTAATACTTAGTATCGTCAGACATTTACAAATTTGTCATTTTGGCAGGCATAAAACAATATCGCCCTATGGCTGTAATTTGCATTTTTTGATTACTTATGAGGTTGATCATCTTTTTACTTGTTTATTGACCATTTGTTTTTCTTTTTTATTCTCTTTTTTTATTATTATACTTTAAGTTCTAGGGTACATGTGCACAATGTGCAGGTTTGTTACATATGTATACGTGTGCCTTGTTGGTGTGCTGCACCCATTAACTCATCATTTACATTAGGTATTTCTCCTAATGCTATCCCTCCCCACTCCCCCAACCCCACGACAGGCCCCAGTGTGTGATGTTCCCTGCCCTGTATCCAAGTGTTCTCATTGTTCAATTCCCACCTATGAGTGAGAACATGTGGTGTTTGGTTTTTTGTCCTTGCGATAGTTTGCTGAGAATGATGGTTTCCAGCTTCATCCATGTCCCTACAAAGTACATGAACTCATCCTTTTTTATGGATGCATAGTATTTCATGGTGTATATGTGCCACATTTTCTTAATCCAGTCTATCATTGATGGACATTTGGGTTGGTTCCAAGTCTTTGCTATTGTGAATAATGCTGCAATGAACACATGCGTGCATGTGTCTTTATAGCAGCGTGATTTATAATCCTTTGGGTATATACCCAGTAATGGAATGGCTGGGTCAAATGGTATTTCTAGTTCTAGATCCCTAAGAAATCGCCACACTGTCTTCCACAATGGTTGAACTAGTTTACAGTCCCACCAACAGTGTAAAAGTGTTCCTATTTCTCCACATCCTCTCCAGCACCTGTTGTTTCCTGACTTTTTAATGATCGTCATTCTAACTGGTGTGAGATGGTATCTCATTGCGGTTTTGATTTGCATTTCTCTGATGGCCAGTGATGAGCATTTTTTATTGTGACTTTTGGCTGCATAAATGTCTTCTTTTGAGAAGTGTCTGTTCATATCCTTCACCCACTTTTTGATGGGGTTGTTTGATTTTTTTTTTGTAAATTTGTTTGAGTTCTTTGTAGATTCTGGATATTAGCCCTTTGTCAGATCAGTAGATTGCAAAAATTTTCTCCCATTCTGTAGGTTGCCTGTTCACTCTGATGGTAGTTTCTTTTGCTGTGCAGAAGCTCTTTAGTTTAATTAGATCCCATTTGTCAATTTTGGCTTTTGTTGCCATTGCTTTTGGTGTTTTGACATGAAGTCCTTGCCCATTCCTATGTCCTGAATAGTATTGCCTAGGTTTTCTTCTAGGGTTTTTATGGTTTTATGTCTAACATTTAAGTCTTTAATCCATCTTGAATTAATTTTTGTATAAGGTGTAAAGAAGGGATCCAGTTTCAGCTTTCTACATATGGCTAGCCAGTTTTCCCAGCACCATTTATTAAATAGGGAATCCTTTCCCCTTTTCTTGTTTTTGTCAGGTTTGTCAAAGATCAGATGGTTGTAGATGTGTGGTATTATTTCTGAGGGTTCTGTTCGGTTCCATTGATCTATATCTCTGTTTTGGTACCAGTACCATGCTGTTTTGATTGCTGTAGTCTTGTAGTATAGTTTGAAGTCAGGTAGCATGATGCATCCAGCTCTGTTCTTTTGGCTTAGGATTGTCTTGGCAATGCGGGCTCTTTTTTGGTTCCATATGAACTTTGAAGTAGTTTTTTCCAATTCTGCAAAGAAAGTCATTGGTAGCTTGATGGGGATGGCATTGAATCTATAAATTACCTTGGGCAGTATGGCCATTTTCATGATACTGATTCTTCCTATCCATGAGCATGGAATATTCTTCCATTTGTTTGTGTCCTCTTTTATTTCGTTGAGCAGTGGTTTGTAGTTCTCCTTGAAGAGGTCCTTCACATCCCTTGTAAGTTGGATTCCTAGGTATTTTATTCTCTTTGAAGCAATTGTGAATGGGAGTTCACTCGTGATTTGGCTCTCTGTTTGTCTGTTATTGGTGTATAAGAATGCTTGTGATTTTTGCACATTGATTTTGTATCCTGAGACCTTGCTAAAGTTGCTTATCAGCTTAAGGAGATTTGGGGCTGAGATGATGGGCTTTTCTAAATATACAATCATGTCATCTGCAAACAGGGACAATTTGACTTCCTCTTTTCCTAATTGAATATCCTTTATTTCTTTCTCTTGCCTGATTGCCCTGGCCAGAACTTCCAACACTATGTTGAATAGGAGTGGTGAGAGAGGGCATCCCTGTCTTGTGCTAGTTTTCAAAGGGAATGCTTCCAGTTTTTGCCCATTCAGTATGATATTGGCTGTGGGTTTGTCATAAATAGCTCTTATTATTTTGAGATACATCCCATCAATACCTAATTTATTGAGAGTTTTTAGCATAAAGGGCTGTTGAATTTTGTCAAAGGCCTTTTCTGCATCTATTGAGATAATCATGTGTTTTTTTGTCTTTAGTTCTGTTTATATGCTGGATTATGTTTATTGATTTGTGTATGTTGAACCAGCCTTCCATCCCAGGGATGAAGGCCACTTGATCATGGTGGATAAACTTTTTGATGTGCTGCTGGATTCGGTTTGCCAGTATTTTATTGAGGATTTTTGCATCTATGTTCATCAGGGATATTGGTCTAAAATTCTCTTTTTTGGTTGTGTCTCTGCCAGGCTTTGGTATCAGGATGATGCTGGCCTCATAAAATGAGTTAGGGAGGATTCCCTCTTTTTCTATTGATTGGAATAGTTTCAGAAGGAGTGGTACCAGTTCCTCCTTGTACCTCTGGTAGAATTTGGCTGTGAATCCATCTGGTCCTGGACTTTTTTTGGTTGGTAGGCTATTAAGTATTGCCTCAATTTCAGAGCCTGTTATTGGTTATTCAGGGATTCAACTTCTTCCTGGTTTAGTCTTGGGAGGTTGTATGTGTCCAGGAATTTATCCCTTTCTTCTAGATTTTCTAGTTTATTTGCATAGAGGTGTCTATATTATTCTCTGATGGTAGTTTGTATTTCTTTGGGATTGGTGGTGATATCCCCTTTATCATTTTTTATTGCATCTATTTGACTCCTCTCTCTTTTCTTATTAGTCTTGCTAGCAGTCTATCAATTTTGTTGATCTTTTCAAAAAACCAACTCCTGGATTCATTGATTTTTTGAAGGTTTTTTTGTGTCTCTATTTCCTTCAGTTCTGCTCTGATCTTAGTTATTTCTTGCCTTCTGCTAGCTTTTGAATTTGTTTCTTCTTGCTTCTCTAGTTCTTTTAATTGTGATGTTAGGGTGTCAATTTTAGATCTTTCCTGCTTTCTCTTGTGGGCATTTAGTGCTATAAATTTCCCTCTACACACTGCTTTAAATGTGTCCCAGAGATTCTGGTATGTTGTGTCTTTGTTCTCGTTGGTTTCAAAGAACATCTTTATCTCTGCCCTCATTTCGTTATGACCCAGTAGTCATCCAGGAGCAGGTTGTTCAGTTTCCATGTAGTTGAACGGTTTTGAGTGAGTTTCTTAATCCTGAGTTCTAGTTTGATTGCACTGTGATCTGAGAGACAGTTTGTTATAATTTCTGTTCTTTTACATTTGCTGAGGAGTGCTTTACTTCCAACTATGTGGTCAATTTTGGAATAAGTGTGATGTGGTGCTAAGAAGAATGTATATTCTGTTGATTTGGGGTGGAGAGTTCTGTAGCAGTCTATGAGGTCTGCTTGGTGCAGAGCTATGTTCAATTCCTGGATATCCTTTTTAACTTTCTGTTTCGTTGATCTGTCTAATGTTAGCAGTGGGGTGTTAAAGTCTCCCATTATTATTGTGTGGGAGTCTAAGTCTCTTTGGTCTCTAGGTCTCTAAGGACTTGCTTTATGAATCTGGGTGCTCCTGTATTGGGTGCATGCATATTTAGGATAGTTCTTCTTGTTGCATTGATCTCTTTACCATTATGTAATGGTGTTCTTTGTCTCTTTTGATCTTTGTTGGTTTAAAGTCTGTTTTATCAGAGACTAAGATTGCAACCCCTGCCTTTTTTTGTTTTCCATTTGCTTGGTAGATCTTCCTCCATCCCTTTATTTTGAGCCTATGTGTATCTCTGCACGTGAGATGAGTCTCCTGAATACAGCACACTGATGGGTCTTGACTCTTTATCCAATTTGCCAGTCTGTGTCTTTTAATTGGAGCATTTAGCCCATTTACATTTAAAGTTAATATTGTTGTGTGTGAATTTGATCCTGTCATTATGATATTAGCTGGTTATTTTGCTCGTTAGTAGATGCAGTTTCTTCCTAGCACTGATGGTCTTTACAATTTGGCATGTTTTTGCAGTGGCTGGTACCAGTTGTTCCTTTCCGTGTTTAGTTCTTCCTTCAGGAACTTTTGTAGGGCAGGCCTGGTGGTGAAAAAATCTCTCAGCATTTGCTTGTGTGTAAAGGATTTTATTTCTCCTTCACTTATGAAGCTTAGTTTGGCTGGATATGAAATTCTGGGTTGAAAATTCTTTTCTTTAAGAATGTTGAATATTGGCCCCCACTCTCTTCTGGCTTGTAGAGTTTCTGCTGAGAGATCCCCTGTTAGTCTGATGGGCTTCCCTTTGTGGGTAACCCGACCTTTCTCTCTGGCTGCCCTTAACGTTTTTTCCTTCATTTCAACTTTGGTGAATCTGACAATTATGTGTCTTGGAGTTGCTCTTCTCGAGGAGTATCTTTGTGGCGTTCTCTGTATTTCCTGAATTTGAATGTTGGCCTGCCTTACTAGGTTGGGGAAGTTCTCCTGGATGATATCCTGCAGAGTGTTTTCCAACTTGGTTCCATCCTCCCCATCACTTTCAGGTACACCAATCAGGTGTAGATTTGGTCTTTTCACATAGTCCCATATATCTTGGAAGCTTTGTTCATTTCTTTTTACTCTTTTTTTTCTCTAGACTTCTCTTCTCGCTTCATTTCACTCATTTGATCTTCAGTCACTGATACCCTTTCTTCCAGTTGATCGAATCGGCTACTGAAGCTTGTGCATTCGTCAAGTAGTTCTCGTGCCATGGTTTTCAGCTCCATCAGGTCATTTAAGGACTTCTGTACACTGGTTATTCTAGTTAGCCATTCGTCTAATCTTTTTTCAAGGTTTTTAGCTTCTTTGTGTTGGGTTCAGACTTCCTCCTTTAGCTCAGAGAAGTTTGATCGTCTGAAGCCCTCTTCTCTCAACTAGTCAGTCATTCTCCGTCCAGCTTTGTTCCATTGCTGGTGAGAAGCGGCGTTCCTTGGAGGGGGAGAGGTGCTCTGATTTTTAGAATTTCAGCTTCCTGCTCTGTTTTTTCCCCATCTTTGTGGTTTTATCTACCTTTGGTTTTTGATGATGGTGACGTACAGATGGGGTTTTGGTGTGGATGTCCTTTCTGTTTGTTAGTTTTCCTTCTAACAGTCAGGATCCTCCACTGCAGGCCTGTTGGAGTATGCTGGAGGTCCACTCCAGACCCTGTTTGCCTGAGTATCGGCAGCAGAGGCTGCAGAACAGCGAATATTGCTGAACAGCAAATGTTGCTGCCTGATCATTCCTCTGAAAGCTTCGTCTCAGGGGGGTACCAGCCATGTGAGGTGTTAGTCTGCCCCTACTGGGGGGTGCCTCCCAATTAGGCTCTTCAGGGGTCAGGGACCCACTTGAGGAGGCAGTCTGACCATTCTCAGATCTCCAGCTGCGTGCTGGGAGAACCACTACTCTCTTCAAAGCTGTCAGACAGGGACATTTAAGTCTGCAGAGGTTTCTGCTGCCTTTTGTTTGGCCATCTCCTGCCCCCTGAGGTGGAGTCTACAGAGGCAGGCAGGCCTCCTTGAGCTGCGGTGGGTTCCACCCAGTTCGAGCTTCCTGGCTGCTTTGTTTACCTACTCAAGCCTCAGCAATGGCGGGCGCCCCTCCCCCAGCCTCGCTGCTGCCTTGCAGTTCAATTTCAGTCTGCTGTGCTAGCAATTAGTGAGGCTCTGTGGGCTTCGGACACTCTGAGCCAGGTGCGGAATATAATCTCCTGGTGTGCCGTTTACTAAGATTGTTGGAAAAGCGCAGTATTAGGGTGGGAGTGACCCAATTTTCCCGGTGCCGTCTGTCACAGCTTCCCTTGGCTAGGAAAGGGAATTCCCTGACCCTTTGTGCTTCCTGGGTGAGGCGATGCCTTGCCCTGCTTTGGCTCACACTCGGTGGGCTGCACCCACTGTCCTGCACCCACTGTCCAACAAGCCCCAGTGAGATGAAGCTGCTACCCCAGTTGGAAATGCAGAAATCACCCGTCCTCTGCATCGCTCACGCTGGGAGCTGTAGACTGAAGCTGTTCCTATTTGGCCATCTTGGAACTGCCCCCAACCATTTGGTTTTCTTCCTTGATAAATTGCTTTTTATCCCACATTAGTATTTCATCTTCAAAAGTAGACTGAAAGGCTAGTACAAATTTGTTCATTTAATTAGCAAATAGTTCCTGAGTGCCTTCTATATGTCAGTCACTGTGCTGAATATATAATGTAAGTAACATAGCCACTCTCCTTGCCCTAATAGAGCTTACAAAGTGAGTTACTTTTTTTCTTTTTCATCTTATGGTGTTGAAATATAATTGAATATTTTCCTTTAGACAAACTCAGTTTGATAACCATCACTTTCATTCAAATATCTACTTTTGGCTCCAGGCATCCAGTAGGGTTTCCTAGAATAAAGTCACCTCAGACTGATATTACAATTTCAAATATTGAATGCTGTTCTTGAAAATGATGTTTTTCTAAAAAATGGTGTCTGATATGCCTATTAGGCACCCAAAGAGATAAGCAGTTGACCACTCAGGTCTGGATTTAGAAGATAAATTTAATTTAATTTTGGTAGTCACATGTTTCTAAATGATATTTAAAACTATAAAACAAGATGTAACTGCTGGAGTGGTGTAGGTAGAGAATAAAAGAGGTCTTGGACTGAATCTTGGGGTACTTGAACATTTTGAAGTTGTGGAGATATTAAAAAAGAGAGTTGACAAGCTAAGGGTTATGGAAACACATACACATATTTACAAAGTCCTTGACTTACAATGATTTGAATTACAAATTTTCAACTTTTGCCATAACAGTACACATTCAGTAGAAACCATACTGCTAGTCTTCATACAACCATTCTGTTTTTCACTTTCAGTACAATATTCAATAAATTACATAAGCTGTTCAACACTTTATTATAAAATAGGTTTTGTGTTAGAAGATTTTGCCTAATCATAGCCTGATTTAAGTGTTCTGATCATGTTTAAGGTGGGCTAGGCTAAGCTATCCTATTTGATAGGTTAAGCATATTAAATGCATTTAAAAAATACACTCAGAGGTACATGTGCTGGTTTGTTACACGGGTGTATGGTGTAATGCTTGGGGTTTGGGCTTCTAGTGAACCCATCATCCAAATAGTGAACATAATACCCATTAGGTAGTTTTTCAGCCTTTACCCCATCTCTTCTTCCCTCCTTTTGGAGTCCCCTGTTTTTATTATTTCCATCTTTATGTTCCTGTGTACACATTGTTTAGCTCCCACTTATAAGTGAAAATTTGGGCTGGGCATGGTGGCTCATGCCTGTAATCACAACAGTTTGGGAGGCTGAGGCGGGCAGATCACTTGAGGTCAGGAGTTCAAGACCAGCCTGGCCAACATGGTGAAACCCCATCTCTACTAAAAATACAAAAACTAACTGGGCATGGTGGTGCATGCTTGTAGTCCCAGCTACTCGGAAGGCTGAGGCATGAGAATTGAACCTTGGAGGCGAAGTTTGCAGTGAGCTGAGATTGCACCACTGCACTCCAGCCTGGGCAACAGAGTGAGACCCCATTTCAAAAACAAAATTAAAAAATAAGTGAAAACATGGTATTTGATTTTCTGTTTCTGCATTAATTCACTTAGGATAATGGCCTTCAACTACATCCATGTTGCTGCAAAGGATATGATTTCATTCTTTTTTATGGCTATGTGGTATTCCATGGTGTAGGATTTCCATACATCAATAGCATCCAAGCTGAGAACGAAATAAATAACTCAATCTCACTTATACTAGCCAAAAAAAATTACCTTGTAATTAACTACCTGGTAAAAAGTTACCTGGTAATTACCAGGTAATTAAATGTATACCAAACACTGATGAAAGAAATCATAGATGACACAAATAGAAAAACATTCAATGCTTATAGTTGAAAGAATCAATATCATTAAAATGACCATACCACCCAAAGCAATCTATAGATTCAATGTCATTCCTATAAAATTACCAAAGTCATTTTTCACAGAAGTAAAAAAAAAAAATTCTAAAACCCATGTGAAACCAAAAAAGAGCTCAAATAGCCAAAGCAAATCTAAGCAAAAAGAACAAAGCTGGAGGCATCATATTACCTAACTTCAATCTATACTACAAGGCTATAGTAACCAAAACAACATGGTACTGGCACAAAAATAGATGCATGTATTAATGAAACAGAAGAGAACCCAGAAATAAAGCCCACACCTACAACCAACTGATCTTAAACAAAGTCAACAAAAATATACAATGGGGAAAGAACACCCTATTCAATAAATGGTGCTGGGAAAACTAGCCAGGCATATGCAGAAGTATGAAACTTGATTCCTACCTCTCATCATATACAATAATTAACTCAAGATGGATTAAAAACTTAAATATAAGACCTCAAACTATAAATGTCCTAAAAGAAAAAGTAGGAAAAACTCTTCTGGACATTGGCCTAGACAAAAAAATTATGACTAAAATCTTAAAAGCAAATTCAACAGAAACCAAAATAGATACATGAGACTTAATTAAACTAAGGCATCTCTGTATAGCAGAATCAACAGAGTAAACAGACAACCTACAGAATGGGAGAAAATATTTGCAAACTATACACTTGACATAGGAGTAATACTTAGAATCTATAAGAAACTTAAACAAATCAACAAGAAAAAACTAATAACCCCTTCAAAAGTGAGCCAAGGACATGAACAGACACTTCTCAAAAGAAGACATAAAAGCAGCCAATAAACATGAAAAAATGCTCCACATCACTAACCATCAGAGAAACACAAATTAAAAGTATGATGAGATACCATCTTCTACCAGTCAGAAAAGCTACTATTAAAAAGGCAAAAAATAACAGATTTGGCAAGTATGCAGTGAAAAGGGAACACTTATACACTGCTGGTAGGAATGTAAAGTAGTTCAACTGTATGGCAAATAGTATGGAGATTTCTCAAAGAGCTTAGAACTATCATTCAACCCAGCAATCTCACTAGGGGGCACCTACCCAAAGAAAAGGACATCATTTTATCAAAAAGACACCTGCACTTGTCTGTTTATCACAGCATTATTTATAATAGCAGTCATGGAATCAACCTAAGTGTCCATTAATTGTAGACTGGATTTTTAAAATGTGGTACATATACACCATGGAATACCACACAGCCATAAAAAAGAATGAAATCATATCCTTTGCAGCAACATGGATGTAAATGAAGGCCATTATCCTAAGTGAATTAATGCAGAAACAGAAAATCAAATCCATGTTTTCACTCATTTTTTAGTTTTGTTTTTGAAATGGGGTCTCACTCTGTTGCCCAGGCTGGAGTGCAGTGGTGCAATCTCAGCTCACTGCAACCTTCGCCTCCAAGGTTCAATTCTCATGCCTCAGCCTTCCGAGTAGCTGGGACTACAAGCATGCACCACCATGCCCAGTTAGTTTTTGTATTTTTAGTAGAGATGGGGTCTCACCATGTTGGCCAGGCTGGTCTTGAACTCCTGACCTCAAGTGAGCTGCCCGCCTCAGCCTCCTAAAGTGTTGTGATTACAGGCATGAGCCACCATGCCCAGCCCAAATTTTCACTTATAAGTGAGAGCTAAACAATGTGTACACATTTTGTACGTTGATTTTGTATCCTGAAACTTTACTGAATCCATTTATAAGTTCCAGGGTCTTCTGGAAATCTCTTGATTTCTGCCTTAATTTAATTGTTTACCCAAAATTTATTCAGGTGCAAGCTGTTTAGTTTCCATGTATTTTTGTGGTTTTGAGAGTTCTTCTTGGTATTGATTTCTAATTTTATTTTATTATGGTTCAAGAAGATGCTTGATATGATTTGGATATTTTTGAATTTATTGAGACTTCCTTTATGACAGAGCATGTGGTCAAGTTTAGACAATGTTTCATGAGCAGATGAGAAAAATGTATACGCTGTGGTTTTGGAATAGAGTATTCTGTAGATGTTTGTTAGGTCCATTTGATCAAGAGTCCAATTTAAGTCCAGAGTTAGTTTTCTGCTTCAGTGAACTGTCTAATGCTGTCAATGGGGTTGTTGAAGTCCCCCACTTATTAATGTATGGCTCTCTCTTAGGTCTAGCAGTATTTGTTTTTTAAACCTGGATGCTCCAATGTTGGGTGTATATTTATTCAGCAGAGTTAAATCTTCTTGTTCAATTGAACCCTTTAATGTTACATAATACCCTTCTTTGTCTTTTTTTTTTTTTTTTTTGCTGTTGTTGGTTTGAAGTCTGTTTTATTTGGTATAAGACTAGCCACCCCCACTTATTTATATGACAGATCTTTCTCCATCCTTTACTTTGAGCCTGTGGGTGTCATTACATGTGAGATGGATCTCTTGAAGATAGCAGAAGTTTGGGTCTTGTATTTTAATCCAATTAAGTACTTGTGTCTTCTGAATGGAACATTTAGGCTGTTAATGTTCAAGGTTAATATTTACATGTGAGGTTTTGTTCCTGTCATAGTGTTGTTTGCTAGTTGCTTTGTGGTCACAATTGTGTAATTGCTATATGGGATCTGTGCATTTTGCACTTATGTGTGCTTTTATGGTAGCACATATCATTCTTTCATTTCCATGGTTAGAACTATTTTTAGCATTTCTTGTAGTTTCAGCCTGATGAATTCCATTAGTGTTTGCTTGTCTGAGAAAGACTTTATTTCCTCTAGAATATGTTTATGAAGCTTAGTTTGGCAGGATATGAAATTTTGGGCTGGCTTTTTTTATTCTTTAAGAAGGCTAAAGATAGCCCCCAATCTCATCTGGTTTGTAAGGTTTCTGCTGAGAAGTCTACTGTTAGTCTGACAAGATTTCCTTTATAGGTAATTTGGCTCTTTTCCTTAGCTGCCTCTAAGATTTTCTTCTTTCACATTGACCTTGGATACTCTGATAACTACATCTCTTGGGGATGGTCATCTTGCATGGCATCTTGCAGGTGTGCTTTAAATTTCTTAAATCTGGGTGTTGAACTGTCTACCCAAGATTAGGGAAATTTTCCTGAATTATTCCCTAAAATATATTTTTGAAGTTGTTTTCTAGCTTTTTCTTTTCTCTCAGGAATGCTATTACATTATAGGTTTGGTCACTTTACATAATCTCATGTTTCTTGGAGGTTTTGTTCATTTTTTAAAAATTATTTTTCCTTTATTTTAGTGTGGGTTAATTCAAAAGATTAATCTTCAAGCTCTGAAATTCTTTCTCTGATTTAGTCTATTGTTAAAGTTTTCAACTGTATTTTGAAATTCTATTAGTGAATTTTTCAATTCCAGAAGTTTTCTTTGTTTTTTTCTTAATATTATTCTCTTGTCTTTCATATCCTGAATCATTTTTCTGGTTGGTTTGTATTGGATTTAAACTCTCTTGGATCCTGTTGAGTTTCTTTGCAATCCATATTTTGAATTCTTTATCTGTCATTTCAAACTTTTCAATCTGGTTAGCATCCATCGCTAGAGCTAGTGTGATCCTTTGGAGGTGTCAAGACACTTTGACTTTTTGTACTGCCAGAGTTCTTGTGTTGATTCCTCCTCATTCAAGGTTACTGTTACTTCTTATTTTTGAATTTGCTGTTGTTTGGATGGAACCTTAACTTTTTTTTTTTTTTACATTTTTTAATCCTTTTTTCCCTTGAGCATATGACTGTAGTTTATGTTGTATATGATCATTCAGATTCATTCCTTATTGCTTTTAGGGGGCCAAGGCTCTGTAGGGGCTCTTTGGTTCTGGGTAGTATCTGTGTGATGGCTTTCTCAGATGCTGCTTGTTGTAGTGGTGTACTGGACATATGAGCCAACGTACTGTTGCCTAAAAGGCTGACAGTGTGGAGGTCTCAGGAAGATTATGGACTAGCATTAAGCGCCTCTGATAGCAGGTTTTTTGTTTAGTGGTGCAGTTCAGCCTGTAATCCAGTAGATGGCACTGAAGAGTAAGAGATAGCTTACCCTGGGTTAGGCTAATGTTGAGTGGAAGCACCCACCCTGATTGGGGCTGACGGGTGGAAAGATATCATGTTGGGGTGCATTGAGGTCTTAGGATAAGGGGTGAGGGTGCACAGTTCCTCATCCTGAGCCAGCAGGAACCTAATCTGCTTCCTTATTATGCTCCTGTTGCAGGGCTCACAACCTTCGGTACATAAAGATTTTGTTCTTTGGATCCTGGCCACAGTGTTGCTGCATGCTACAGATGCACCCTCTGAGGGCTACCATCAAAATGGGCTTGTGGCAGCGCCTCTTTTCCCACTCCAGAGCAGGCAACTCTTTGACTTGTCTTGCCTCTATTACCAGGATGCTGCCATTCTATGTAGGGAGGGTGAGTTGGGCCCTACCATTTGTGGAAGCCTAAGCTACCAGGGCTCACTTTCAGCAGGGGTAGAGCTGGCATGAAAAGCATGAAAACACTTTCTCCACGTGCATGCATGCTGGTCTTTAGTGAGAAGAACAACTGCTGTATCTGCAACAATATGCAAGGAAACGCAGTAAATAACCCCTTCCCCACATCTGTTCCCAGGCATAGGTGCTGCCCACTTCAATGATTGGTGCTGCACTTGCATTTCCTTTGTCCCAAGGGAGCTGTGCTCCACCGTCTTTTATGGGTGGCCCATCCTGAGGGTTAGATCTCACAGGGTTCTGCAACTTCCTGGGAACCCATTGGTCCCTTGTGCTTGCAGAAGTCAGAGTGACTTGAGTATGTTTTTGGTTTTGGGGGAACTGCCCCGAAAATCATGTAGGTTCTTTTCTATTTTCCTAAGCGTTGGCAGGCTTGTGAAATAAAGGGACAGAGTACAAAAGAGAGAAATTTTAAAGCTGGGCATCCAGGGAAGACTTCACACATTGGTAGGATCCGTGATGCCCCACAAGCCACAAAAACCAGCAAGTTTTTTTTAGGAATTTTCAAAAGGGGAGGGAGTGTGTGAATAGGTGTGGGTGACAGACATCAAGTACTTAATAGGGTAATAGAATATCACAAGGCAAGTGGAGGCAGGACGAGATCACAGGACCACAGGACGGAGGCAAAATTAAAATTGCTAATGAAGTTTCAGGTACCATTGTCATTGATAACATCTTATCAGGAGACAGGGTTTTGAGATCAACCTGTCTGACCAAAATTTATTAGGCAAGAATTTCCTCTTCCTAATAAGCCTGGGAGCACTATGGGAGACTGGAGTCTATCTCACCTCTGCAATCTCGACCATAAGACACAGGTACACCCTGGGGGGGCCAGTTCAGAGACCTACCCCTAGGTGCGCATTCTCTTTCTCAGGGACGTTCCATGCCGAGAAAAAGAATTCAGCAATATTTCTCCCATTTGCTTTTGAAAGAAGAGAAATATGGCTCTGTTCTGCCCAGCTCACCGGTGGTCAGATTTTAAGGTTATCTCTCTTATTCCCTGAACAATTGCTGTTATCCTGTTCTTTTTTCAAGGTGCTCAGATTTCATAATGCACAAACACACATGCTGTACAATTTGTGCAGTTAATGCAATTATCACACAGTCCTGAGGCGACATACATCCTCCTCGGCTGACAGGATTAAGAGATTAAAGTAAAGACAGGCATAGGAAATCACAAGGGTATTGATTGGGGAAGTGATAAGTGTCCATGAAATCTTCACAACTTATGTTTAGAGATTGCAGTAAAGACAGGCATAAGAAATTACAAAAGTATTAATTTGGGGAACTAATAAATGTACATAAAATCTTCACAATCCACGTTCTTCTGTCATGGCTTCAGCCGGTCCCTCTGTTTGGGGTCCCTGACTTCCTGCAACATTTTGGGGGATCTAGTGGTGCGATGACGCAAAGGCAGAGAATCTCCAGGAAGGGCAGAGGCCCACCAAGAGTACACAAGCAGAGTGGCACCCACCATCTCAGTTCAGCTCTGAGAGGAGTGCAGACACACCTATGCAAGCTGGCCACTCTCTGTCCTTGGGAAAATCTCAAATTGCCACTGATAATGTTGTCCTGGGTCATGAAGGCAGAGGACCTCCCCAACAGTTTGGCAGTTTGGCAGATTGTCAACAAAGTAAAAGGAGCAGAGCAGCAGTCCAATCCACCCTTTCTGTAGGGCTCCAAGTTCTTTGGGGTCAATCTCTTCCAGACTCACTGCTTTTCTTTTCTGCATCCCAACTTCTTACTGTGGGCACTCCAACAGATCCTGGTTCTGTTCCCTCAGTTTTCCATACAGAGCTTGTCCATTCACTTGTATGTTTGAGCTTTTTTTTCTGAGGAGAACTGGCATTTGATTTCCTTAGTAGCCATCATTTTCCATCTTCTTGCATTTTCAACTTACGATATTTTCAACTTATGATGGGTTTATTGGCACATAACCTCCTCATAAGTTGGCAAGCATCTACATATCTTTCTTCAGCTGGTTGCAGAAGAAGAGTCAGAGAGACACTCTCTGGATAGTCGGGAATGCATATGTCCGTTGCTTTGAACTGCCTGTGAAGGCCATGTGGAAAGAACCTGAGAGTGGCCTCTAAGAGCTGAGAATGGCCTCTGGATGATAGCTAACAGGGAAAGGGGAACCTTAGTCATATATCCCAAGGAACACAATTCTGCCAACAAAAAGAATGAGCTTGGAAGCAGATTCTTCCCCAGAACTTCCCTGATAAGAACTCAGTCCAGCTGACAGCTTGAGTTCAGATTTGTAATATTCTGAGCATACCCCTCTGTGCTGTACCAAATTTCTGATCTACCGACTGTAAGCTAATGAATGGGTGTTTTTTAAGCTGCTAAGCTTGTGGTAATTTGTTATACAACAATAGAAAATGAATATAATACAAAAAAGGTACACATAAATTGGCAAACATGTAGGTAAATCTAAACAAACATTGTATAAAAATAAAAAAATTATCTACTTGGGTGTCCTCAAAAAAAGATGAAGTAAAATTTGGAGCAAAAAAATATATGTACAACTTTTATGAACCCATAAAAATTAAAAAGCAATTTACAAAAGCAAAAAAATTTGAGAGAGGCTAGCCATAGTTAAAATATTCTAAGATCTTTATATTTGGGGGGCAGGAATTTGCGGGTGTGGTATCTCCTAAAATCTAAACTACCCTCCTTCTTGGGCAAATGGCCACCAGCCAGAGACCACAGTTCCCTGCCTCCCATTTTGACTAGGTGTGGCCATATCTAAAGTTCTAATCAATGTGAGTTGGAGTCATGTTTGTGACCTTCGCTTTTTTTGCTTAAAGGGAAATTGCTTGCCATGGACTTTTCTCTTCCTCTTTCCTGATGTTTGAAACATGAACAATTTTGACTATACAAATGCAGCCTGTAAGGGATGGGGGAGCAAAAAAAAAACAAAAACAAACAACAAAAACAAAACACAAAAAAGAAAAACAAAAAAAAAAAGGAATCATCTGGGTCCCTGAATGACTAAGTAGAGCAGAGGCATACTGCTAACCTGACTGGATATCCTGGAACTGGAGTGCTACAATCACAGAAATCTAAAATATAGGGGCATTTGGCTTAGCAAAATTTAGGGCTTAGTAGTGAGGCAGTAGCTCTTGTGTTGTTTAGGATACAGAAGCAGTTGGCTTTTCCAGCCTGTAAGGCTCAAATTTCTGGATTCTCTATCCCCTTACTTCTCTGCTTGCAAATTGGCATATTTTTGCCTTAGCTCATCTTTTTCTTATAATACCTTGCTAAAAGCAGCAAGAGCAGCCATTCATATCCTTGTCACTTTTAGTAATGTATTATAAGAAATAGCATGAGATAAGACTATGGCTCAAAACCTTTCCTAAAGCCTCCTTCAAGAAAGGAAGAAAATTCTTTGCAAAGGTCAAATTAAGGATGTTGCCTTCCAACCTAAACCTGTTGTTTCAGATGGCCTCAAAGTAGCCGTTATTAGAATGAGAAAGAAGGAGACAGGAAGCCAAGAAGTCAGGAAAAAGGCAGGCTTAGAAAACATGTCCAAAAAACCCCGTAAAACTTTGATGTAGTTACTGGCATATAAAGGAACAGGAAATGAACAGAAGCCTACTGATATGGTTTGGCTGTGTCCCCACCCAAATCTAAGCTTGAATTGTATCTCCCAGAATTCCCACATGTTGTGAGAGGGACCCAGGGGAAGGTAATTGAATCATGGGGGCCGGTCTTTCCATGCTATTCTTGTGATAGTGAGTAAGTCTCACAAGATCTGATGGGTTTATGAGGGGGTTTCTGCTTTTACTTCCTCATTTTCTCTTGCTGCCGCCATGTAAAGAAATGCCTTTTGCCTCCCACCATGATTCTGAGGCCTTCTCAGCCATGTAGAACTGTAAGTCCAATTAAACCTCTTTTTCTTTCCAGTCTTGGGCATGTCTTTATCAACTGCATGAAAATGGACTAATATACCTACTAAGGTTTTTGGGGAATTACACTGCCAATGGGTCTATAAGTAAGATCTTGTGAGAGGCCATGATCTTTCAGTCCTTAAAGCAACCCTCAGCCTCCCAAATCTGCCTTAGCAAAGAAGTGGGCTATTAAAATAGTGCATTCTCCTATTCCCACTCTGTCCTACCTAAACTCCCTCCAAAATCAGTTATGGCCACAGAAGATTATGAACAAGGATGAAGCTCTAGAAGGCAAAAGGAGATGCCATAAGTAAGGGGATTTTTCTAAAATATCAGACCAGATGTAACCAAGAAATCCTCTCTACTATTAGATCAAGGGGATCTTTATAATTTCTGCCCAGCATAACTTTCATTATGTCTATGAATCAGTGACTCTTCTGTATTTCCCATTCTTCCTTTTGTAACCACCCAAGGGGTTCACCTTGCCCGCTGCCTAGACAGAGCAAATTTATCAGGTCAGGGCAATTGCAATACAGAAAGAGTAATACATGCAGAGCTGGCTGTGCGGGAGACCAGATTTTTATTATTACTCAATTCAGTCTCCCCAAAAACTCAGGGATCAGAGTTTTTAAAAACAATTAGGTGGATGGGGGTGGTGGCGGGGGGCAGTGAATTGAGAGTGCTGATTGGTTGGCTCAGGGATGAAATCTTAGGGAGTCAAAGCTGTTCTCTTCTGCTGAGTCAGTTCCTGGGTGGGGGCCACAGAACTGGTTGGCAGGTCCAGGTGGGGCCATCTGGTTGTTAGAAATGCAAAAATTTGAAAAGATATCTCAAAAGGCTGATCTTAGGTTCACAATACTGATGTTACCTTCAAGAAAAGCCAAGAAGTCAGGAAAAAGGCAGGCTTAGAAAACATGTCCAAAGAACCCCGTAAAACTTTGATGTAGTTACTGGCATACAAAGGAAGGGGAAGTTGCAAATCTTATGACCTCCAGAATGATGATTGTTAATATTTAGAATTCCATCCCCTCTCATTTAACTTGGTGGCTGGTGGCCTTTCATTTGTTTTACAAGAACAGTTTAGCCTTTTGGAAAGGGCTATTATATAAACTATACATTAAATTCTTTCCCAAAGCTAGTTCAGCCTATGCCCAGGAATGAACAAGGACAGTATATTGTTTCCTCATATGAGAAGCCTCATATGGACTCAACAGAGAGAATCTTGCATCTTCTAGATATCTTGGACTTTGGACTACATGGAATATTACATTGTGTTCCATAGAGAGGGAGCGAATCTTTTCTATGTGTGGGACAAAGGTCTGCATGGATATTTGGATGGCCAGACTTCTAGTTTTCCACAAAAGACTGACTCTCCTTCTTCCGAAGTATATAATCTATTTCCCCCTCCTTCCTTGGTACTGGCAAGAGACTACATTTCCCAGTCTGACTTGCAGCAAGGTATTGTCATGTACTAATTTCTCTCTATTGGACAGAAGTTCTTTGTGCAACTTCTGCCTCATTGGCTTTTAAGAAAATTATTTGTACTGATTTTCTCTCTTTCTTCTTCCTTTGGAATATAGACAAGGCAGCAGTCTAGTTTTGACCATGGAGATGAGGACAACATCCTGGCATATGTCAATGCAATGAGATGGGCTAGGGCCCTGAGTAATCTAATGGAGCAGAACTGTCATATTTGCCTAGACTGTTCTTTTAGATTGTTATGTGAAAAAGAAATAAACATTTTGTTAGCCACTATATCTTTGTTAGAGTAGTTTAGTCTTTTCCCTAATTAATTTAGAGGGCTAAGATAGTGTCTAAGCTTAGACTTTATTAAGCATGCATGAGAACATCTCAAGGATAACTACTGAAATAATAGAAATAGTGTATCTAGCTTCTAGTAGAAACAGCTTAATCCCTACCTTCCCCGCAAAAAAAAAGGAAAAAAAGGAGTAGAGCAAAGGAAAAGCAGAACAAATCACACAAAGTAAGATGACAGAAACAAATCCAGAAATATAAGTATTTTCAATAAATGTAATGAACTAAATTCATCAATTAAAACTCCTAAGAGCACAGAAAGATTAAAAATTAAAAAAAAAGAAATGAAAAAATATACTAGGCAAATAACCAAAATGAAGTTAAGGTAGTTATATTTTTGTCAGACAAAATAAGGTAGTTATATTTCTGTCAGACAAAATGTTCTGTCAGAACATACAAAAAAAATTGGGGGTAGAAAGGGTCACAACATAAAATGTTAAATTTTAAAGGAAGATATAACATTTCTAAATGTATATTCTCCTAATAATACAACTATGACAAATATGGAGATTATTTTAAAAGAAGTAGAACCCCATCTGGAAAAGTCTCTTTGATTCAGGATGTAGAAAATCTCAAAGAATCCTCAAAAAAGTTCTGGAATCCTAAATAAATTGAGCAAGGTTGTTCAATAAGTTTAACAAAAGAAGTGCAAGAGTTGAATAGTAAAAATTTTAAAATATTACTGAGAGAAATTAAAGATCTAAATTAGAGAGACATTCTGAGTTCACGGATTGGAAGACAAAATATTGTCAAAATGGCATTCTCTCTGAACTGATCTACAAATTCAATGCAACCCCTATTAAAATCCTAGCAGGCTTTTCCCTTTTTTCCCAGAAATCGACTGACTGATCCTAAAATTTACATAGAAATCCAAGGACTTGGAATAGCCAAAATAATTTTGAAAGAGAAGAAAACACAGTTTACTTTTTCCTTTGCAATCTGATTGCTTTAACATCTTTGTTGCTTGTTGCACTAGCTTTTAGAACCTCCAGTAAAATGTTGATAGAAATACTAAAAGCAGACATTTTTGCCTTGCTTTTTTTGATTTTAGGATGAAAGCATTTACTATCACATATGATTTTACCCTTGAGTGTTTTATAAATGCCCTTTATCAGATTGAGGACACTTTCTTTATTTCTGATCAATCCTTTGCTCCTATTCTTTATTCCAAATCATATTGGATTTTGTAGGATGTTTATGATACATCTACTGAGATGGTTGTGTGGTTTTTGTCGTTTATTCTATTAGTATAGTATATTGCATTAACTCATCCTCAAATGTTAACCAACCTTATATTCCTGAGATAGATCCCCCTTGGTCAGAGTGTATAGTCCTCTTTATGTGTTGTTGGATTCTACCTGATAAGGATGTTTGTTTTAATATTTTTAAGGAATATTTATCTCTATTTTCCTTGTGATGTCTTTACGAGGCTTTGGAATTAGGATAATACTGGCCTCATAGAATAAGTGGAGAAGGGTTATTTCTCTTCTTTTTTCTTAAAGAGCTTATGAAAACTGAGTATTATTTATTCTTTTTAAAAATTATTTATTTTATTTCAAAAGTTTTTTGGGGAACAGATGGTGTTTGGTTGCATGGAAAAGTTCTTTAGTGGTGATTTCTGAGATTTTGGTGCACCCATCACCTGAGCAGTGTACACTATACTCAATGTGTAGTTTTTGATCCCTCACCATCCTTCCACCCTTTCTCCTGAGTCCCCAAAGCCCATTATATCACTCTTATGCCTTTGCATCCTCACAGCTTAGCTCCCATTTATAAGTGAGAACATACAATGTTTGGTTTACTTCACTTAGAATAATGGTCTCCAACTCCATCCAGGCTGCAGCAAATACCATTATTTTGCTCATTTTTATGGCTGAGTAGTATTCCATGGTATTATATATACCACATTTTCTTTATCCACTCATTGGCTGATGAGCATTTAGACTGGTTTTATATTTTTGCAATTGCAAATTGTACTGTTATAAACATGTGTATGCAATTTTCTTTTTCAAATAATGACTTCTTTTACTCTGAGTAGATACCTAGTAGTGGAATTGCTGGATCAAATGGTAGTTCTACTTTTAGTTCTTTAAGGAAACTCCATACTGTTTTTGATAGTAGTTGTGCTAGTTTACATTCCTACCAGCAATGTAAAAGTGTTCCCTTTTTACCATATCCACTGCAACATCTATTATTTTTTGATTTTTAAATTATAGTCATTCTTGCAAGAGTAAGGTAGTATCTCATTGTAGTTTTGATTTGCATTTCCTTTGTAATTAGTGATGTTGAGAATTTTTTCATATGTTTGTTGGCCATTTGTATATCTCTTTTGAGAACTGTCTATTCATGTCCTTTGCCCACTTTTTGATGGGATTATTTGTTTTCTTTCTTGCTGATTTGTTTGAATTCTTTATAGATTCTGGTTATTAGTCCTTTGTTGGAAGTATAGTTTGTGAGTATTTTCTCCCACTCTGTGGTTGTCTGTTTACTCTGCTGATTATTTCTTTTGATGTGCAGAAGCTTTTTAGTTTAACTAGGTCCCATCTATTTATCTTTGTTTTTGTCACATTTGCTTTCGGGTTCTTGGTCATGAATTCTTTGCCTAAGCCAATGTCTAGAAAAGATTTTTTGAAGTTATCTTCTAGAATTTTTATGGTTTCAGGTCTTAGATTTAAGTGTTTGATCCATGTTGAGTTGATTTTTGTATAAGGTAAGAGATGAGGATCCAGCTTCATTCTTCTACATGTAGCTTGCCAATTATCCCAGCACCATTTGTTGAATAGGGTGTCCTTTGCCCAGTTTATATTTTTATTTGCTTTGTTGAAGATCAATTGGCTGAGTCTATAAAAATAGATGAATTTTTATACTCACCTATTAAATAGATTTTTTTTTTTTTTTTTGAGATGGAGTCCCACTTTGTTGCACAGGCTGGAGTGCAGTGGTGCGATCTCTGCTCACCACAACCTCCACTTCCACCTCCTGGACTCAAGCAATTCTCCTGTCTCAGCCTCCCGAGTAGATGGGATTACAGGCACCCCCCACCATGCCCAGCTAATTTTTGTATTTTTAGTAGAGACAGGTTTTCACCATGTTGGCCAGGCTGGTCTAGAACTCCTAACCTCAGGTGATCCACCTGCCTCAGCCTCCCAAAGTGCTGGGATTACAGGCGTAAGCCACCACTCCTGGCCACAATTTTTATACTAGTATAAAAATAACGTGTATGTAGTATAAAAATACCATGCTGTTTTGGTAACTGTAGCCTTGTAATATAATTTGAAGTCAGGTAATGTGATGCCTCCAGTGTATTCTTTTTGCTTAGTCTTGCTTTAGCTATGTGGGCTCTTTTTGGTTCCATATAAATTTTAGGATTTTTTTTGTAGTTCTGTGAAAAATGATGATAGTATTTTGATGATAATTGCATTAAATCTTTAGATTGCTTTTGGCAATATGGTCATTTTCACAATACTGATTCTACTCATCCATGAGCATGGGATGTGTTTCCATTTGTTTGTGTCACTGATGATTTCTTTCAGCAGTGTTTTTAGTTTTCTATGTAGAGGTCTTTCACCTCCTTGGTCAGGTATATTCCTAAGTATTTTTTTTTACAGCTGTCATAAAAGGAGTTGAGTTCTTGATTTGATTCTCAGCCTTGTTGTTGGTGGTGTATACCAGTGCTACTGATTTTTGTACATTGATTTTGTATCCTGAAACTTTACTGAATTCATTTATCAGATATAGGAGCTTTTTGGATGAATCTTTAGGGTTTTCTAGTTATACAATCATATCATTGGTGAACAGTGACAGTTTGACTTCTTCTTTACCAATTTGAATGCCTTTTATTTCTTTCTCTTGCCTGATTGCTCTGGCTAGGACTTCCAGTATAATATTGAATAGCAATGGTGAAAGTGGGCATCCTTGTCTTGTTCCAGTTCCCTGGGGGAATGCTTTCAACTTTTCCCTGTTCAGTATAATGTTGCCTGTGGGTTTTTCATAGATAGCTTTTATTACTTGAGGTATATCCCTTCTATGCGGATTTTGCTGAGGGTTTTAATCATAAATGGATGCTGGATTTTGTCAGATGCTTTTTCTGCATCTATTGAGATCATATGATTTCTGTTTTTAATTCTGTTTATGTGATATATCACATTTATTGACTTCCATATGTTAAACTATCCCTCCATCCCTGGTATGAAACCCACTTGATCATAATGTATTATGTTTTTGATATGCTATTAGATTCAGTTAGCTAGTATTTTTGCATCTATGTTCATCAGGGATATTGGTCTGTAGTTTTCTTTTTTCGTTATGTCCTTTTCTAGTTTTGGTATTAGGGTGATACTGGCTTTATAGAATGTTTTAGGGAGGATTTCCTCTTTCTTTATCTTTTGGAATAGTTTCAGTAAGATTGGTACCAATTCTTCTTTGAATGCCTGATAGAATTCAGCTGTGAGTCTGTCTGGTCCTGGACTATTTTTGGTTGGCAGGTTTTTTTATTTTTTATTATTGTTTCAATCTCATTACTTGTTATTTGTCTGTTCAGTTTCTATTTCTTCCTGATTTAATCTAGGAGGGTTGCATATTTCCAGGAATTTATACATCTCCTCCAGATTTTCCAGTTTGTGCACATAAAGGTGTTCATAGTGGTCTTGAATGATCTTTCGTATTTCTGTGGGGTTGGTCGTAATACCTCCCATTACATTTCTAATTGAGCTTATTTTGGATCTTCTCTCTTCTTGATTAATCTTGTTAATGGTCTATCAATTTTGTTTGTCTTGTCAAAAAGTCGGCTTTTTGTTTCATTTATCTTTTGTATTTTTTTAATACAATTTCATTTAGTTCTGCTCTGATCTTTTTTTTTTTTTGAGTTGGAGTCTTGCTCTGTTGCCAGGCTGGAGTGCACTGGCGCGATCTCAGCTCACTGCAACCTCCACCTCCTGGGTTCAAGCGATTCTCCTGCCTCAGCCTCCCAAGTAGCTGTGATTACAGGCACCTGCCACCACGCCTGGCTAATTTTTTGTATTTTTAGTAGAGACAGGGTTTCACTATGTTGGCCAGGCTGGTCTTGAATTCCTGAACTCAGGTGATCCACCTCCCTCGGCCTCCCAAAGTGCTGGGATTACAGGTGTGAGCTGCCGCGCCCAGCCTGATCTTTTGTTATTTCTTTTGTTCTGCTTGGTTTGGGTTTGTTCTTGTTTCTCTAGTTCCTTGAGGTGTGACCTTAAGATTGTCTGTTTATGCTCTTTCAGAATTTTTGATGTAGGCATTTAATGTTGTGAACTTCCCTCTTAGCGCTGCTTTTGCCGTATCCCAGAGGTTTTCCTAGGTTGTGTCACCATTATCATTCAGTTCAAAAGAATTTTTTAACTTCCATCTTGACTTTGTTGTTGACCCAAAGATCATTCTGGAGCAGATTATTATTATTATTGTTATTATTATTATTATTATTTTTGAGATGGAGTCTCATTCTGTCACCCAAGCTGGAGTACAGTGGTGCCATCTTGGCTCACTGCAACCTCCGCCTCCTGGGTTCAAGCAATTCTCCTCCCTCAGCCTTCCGAGTAGCTGGGATTGCAGGTGTGTGCCACCACACCCAGCTAATTTTTGTATTTTTAGTAAAGACAGGGTTTTGCTATGTTGGCCAGGCTGGTCTCAAACTCCTGACATCAGGTTATCCAACTGCCTTGGCTTCCCAAAGTGTTGGGATTACAGGCGTGAGCCACCATGCCTGGCCTGGAGCAGATTATTTAATTTCCATTATTTGTATAGTTTTGAGGGTTCCTTTTGGAGTTAATTTCCAGTTTTCTTCCACTGTGGTCTGAAAGGGTAGTTGATATAATTTTGATTTTCTTAAATTGAGACTTGTTTTGTGGCCTATCATATGGTCTGTCTTGGAGAATGTTCCAGTTTCTGCTGAAAATAATGTATATTCTGTGGTTGTTGGTTAGAATGTTCTATAAATATCTGTTAAGTCCATTTGTTCTAGGGTATAGTTTAAGTCCATTGTGTCTTTGTTGACTTCTGTCTTGATGACCTGTCTAGTGCTGTCAGTGGAGTATTGAAATCCCCCACTATTAATGTGTTGCTATCTATCACATTTCTTAAGTCTGTTTTATAAATGTGGGAGCTCCAGTATTAGGTGCATATGTATTTATGATTATGATATTTTCCCGTTAGACTGATCCTTTCATCATTATATAATGTTCCTCTTTGTCTTTTTTAACTGTTGTGGCTTTAAAGTCTGTTTTGTCTGATTTAAGAATAGCTACTCCTGCTCACTTTTGGTTTCCATTTGCATAGAATATCTTTTTCCACCCTTTTACCTTAAGTTTACATGAGTCCTTATGTGTTAGATGAGTCTCCTGAAGATAGAAGATACTTGATTGGTGAGTTCTTATCTATTCTGCCATTCTGTATATTTTAAGTGGAACTTTTAGGCCATTTACACTTAACATTAGTAATAAGATGTGAGGTACTGTTCTATTCATCATGCTAGTTGTTGCCTGAATACCTTGTGTGTTTTTTTTTTCACCGTGTTGTTGTTTTATAGGTTCTGTGAGACTTGTGCTTTAAGGAGGTTCTATTTTGGTGTATTTCAAGGTTTTGTTTCAAGATATAGAACTCCTTTTAGCATTTCTTTTAGTGCTGGCTTGGTAGTGGTGAATTCTCTCCACTACCTTCATTTATGAAGCTTAGTTTTGCTGGATATAGAATTCTTGGCTGACAATTATTTTGTTTGAGAAGGCTAAGGATAGGACCCCAATCATTTCTGGCTTTTAGGGTTTCTGCTCAGAAATCTGCTGTTAATCTGATAAATTTTCCTTTATAGGTTACCTGATGCTTTTGCCTCACATCTCTTAAGATTCTTTCCTTCGTCTTGACTTTAGATAACCTGATGACTATGTGCCTATGTAATGATCTTTTGCACTGAATTTCCGAGATGTTCTTTGAGCTTCTTGTATTTGGATGTCTAGATCTCTAGCAAGGCCAGGGAAGTTTTCCTCAATTATTCTCTCAAATAAGTTTTCCAAACATTTAGATTCCTCTTCTTCCTCAGGAGCACTAATTATTCTTAGATGTGGCTGTCTAACATAATCCCAATTTTTGGGGGAGCTTTGTTCATTTTTTATAATTCTTTCTTTGTCTTTGTCTGATCGGGTTAATTCAAAAACCTTCCCTTTAAGCTCTGAAGTTCTTTCTTCTACTTGTTCTAGTCTATTGTTGACACTCTACAGTGCAGTTTGTATTTCTCTGTGTCTTTCATTTCCAGAAGTTGTGATTGTTTTTTCTTCATGGTATCTATTTCTCTGGAGCATTTTTCATTCATATCCTGTATTGTTTTTTTAAAATTTACTTAAGTTGTTTTTCACCTTTCTCTGGTATCTCCTTGAATAAGTTAATAATTAACCCTCTGAATTCTTCATCTGGTAATTCAGAGATTTCTTCTTGGTTTGGATTTATTGATAGGGAGCTAGTGAAGTCTTTTGGGGTGTTATAGAACTCTGTTTTGTCATATTATTAGAATTACTTTTCTGATTCCTTCTCATTTGGATAGACTATTTTAGTGGAAAAATGTGAAACCCAAGGGCTGCTGTTCAGATTCTTTTGTCCCACAGGGTGATCCCTTGTTGTTATGCACTCTGCCTTCCCCTAGGAATAGGGTTTCCTGAGAGCTGGACTGCACTGTTTGTTCTTGCTTTTCTGGGTCTAGCCACCCAGCAGGGCTACCAGGCTCTGGGCTGGTGTTGGGGAATGTCTGCAGAGACTCCCAAGATGTGATCTGTGTTCAGGTCTCCCAGCCATGGATACCTGCACCTGCTCTGGTGGAGGTGGAAGAGGAGTGAAGTAGACGGCAAGAGTCCTTGGTTGTAGATATGTTTAATGTGCTGGCTTTCTCAAATGTTGGTTATGCTAGCAGTGAAGTTGTCATATGGAGAGACTCAGGACCTCTGGTTAGCCAGGGTGTTGCAGGCAGTGGAGTTAGCTGTTGGTTTCTCCTTCTTTGGAGCAGGATTATTCTGTCATGAGTAGCTGTAATGTCCTGAGTTGGTTGGCCTCCAGCCAGGAGGCACTTTCAAGACAGCACCAGCTGCAATATTAGAAGGGGAATATAAGCTTGCCCTAAGTTGGCCAGGATAAATATTTGGGTTTCTCAGGTGATGGATGGGGCCGTAAAGCTCCCAAGAGTTTATGCCTTTTGTGATCAGGTACTGGGGCAGGTAGAGAAATACCATCTGGTGGGGTACAGGGTTAGGCAGGTCTGAGTTCAGACTCTCCTGGGCAGGGCTTGCCACAGCCATTGTGAGGGATGGGGTGTGGTTCTTGAGCCAATAGAGTTATGTTCCAGAGGGGATTATGGCTGCCTCTGTCACTAGGGAAGTGGAGGAAAGCCAGTAGTGATAGGCCTCACCCAGCTCCCATGCAGCTGGCGAAGCTGGTCTCGCTCCCACCATGCCCCACTAACAGCACCAAGTTTATCTCCAGGCAGGCTGTGCAAGAGCCTCAGACCTTGCCCCAGGATATAAACTTTCCTACTGAGAAGACAAGCACAGGTTTCAGGCCTTACCTCTCCCTGTCTGCCCACACAATGGGTGGTGGTCTTGCACTCCTTTCTGCAGCAGTTCCTGTTTGCCCCGCTAAATTCTGCTCAAGAGAGTTTGTTCCTAGTCAAAATTATTACAAAGTTCGGTTGAAAGTTTCTTTCACCCTGCATACCTCCCAAATTCTGCCAGCTGCCTTCCCCAAAGGCCCCTGTGAAATATAGTGAGGGATGGCTTCCCTAGGTTTGAGCTGGAGAATGGGAGTGCCTACAAGCCTCTTCCCACTGCTGCTTTTACTTTTATATTTTGTGCTAAATCTGTTTCAGCTCTAGGAAAGCTTAAGTCCTCCCATAATCTGGATTTTTCCAGTTCCCCAGTGAGTATGTGTTTTTGGAGGTAAGATTTCCCCCTTTCATACTTTGGAAAGTCACAGTTTTTTGTCTGTCTTACAGAATTTCCAGTGGTGTGCACTTCTTTCAAAGAATCTGTGAATTCTCTCAGTTTTCCTGGTATGTTCCTGTGGTAGTTCTTGGAGCAAAAGTCCATGGTGTCAGTCTCCACATGCTGTTCTGTCCATCCAAATGGGAGCTGCATGTTAGCCCTGTCACTTGTCCACCATCTTCCCTGACTGCTGCTATTTCTTCACCGTCTGATAGATTTAACTAGTGCAGCCATCTGGGCCTGGGATTTTCTTAATGAAAAAAAAATTTAATAATTAACTCAATCTCTTTCCTTATTACAGATCTATTCAGATTTTTCTACTTCATTTAAAATTAATTTTTGGTAATTTGTATGTGTGCAGGAATTTGCCCATTTCATAAAAGTTGTCTAACTCATTGGTATAAAGCTGTTTATGAGATTCCTTTATAATCCTTTTAATTTCTCTAGGGTAAGAGTTAATGTACTCTTTTGGTGATTTGTTTCTTCTCTTTATTTTTTGATCAGTCTAGATGAAGTTTGTAAATATTAATGTTTTCCAAAAACCAATTTTTTACTTCAATAATTTTATTTATTGCTTTTCTATTTTTTCTTTTTACTTTTCTCTTCTTTCTTTCTTTCTTTCTTTCTTTTTTTTTTTTTTTTTTTGATATGGAGTCTTACTCTTTCACCCAGGCTGGAGCACAATGATGCAATCTTGGCTCACTGCAACCTCCACCTCCCAAGTTCAAGCAATTTTCCTGCCCCAGCTGCCAAGTAGCTGCGATTACAGGTGCCTACCACCATGCCTGGCTAATTTTTGTATTTTCAGTAGAGACAGGGTTTTACCATGTTGGCTAGGCTGATCTCAAACTCCTGGCCTCAAGTGATCTGCCCACCACAGCCTCCCAAAGTGCTGAGATTACAGACGTAAGCCACCACACCCAGCCTATTTTTTCTTTTATTGACTTCTCTTCTAAGCATTATTATGTTTTTCTGCTTACTTTTGTATAGTTTGCTCTTATTTTTCCAGTTTTTTTTTTGTAGAAATTTAGGTTATGGATTTGAGATGTTTCTTTATCAATGTATGTGTTTAAAGCTAGAAATTTACCTGTAAGCACTGCTTTAGCTGCATCATATACATTTTGGTGTGTTTCGTTTTCATTTATTTCAAGATATTTGCTAATTTACCTTGTGATTTTTAACTTTAACTTCTGGGTTATTTTGAAGTGGGTTGTTTACTTTCCAAATATTTCAGGACTTCAAAGATTTCTTTCCTTGCTGATTTTAAATAGAATTCTTTTGTGTCATAGAATATAACTTTCTGTGAAAAAAAAGATATATTTGGAATCTTTTTATATTAGTACACACATTTGTCACTTATAGTGTTCTTTATTTCTTTTTGTAGATTTGTATTATAGTCTGATGTGACTTCCTTTTCAGCCTGAAGGGCTTTCTTTAGACTTTTTTTGTAAGTAGCAATGAATTATCTTAGTATCTGTTTATCTTGAAATGTTTTTATTTTATTTTATTCTGCTTCTGACTAGTTAATTTCTTTTTTTTTGGCACACTAAGGCATACGTATGAGAAGGTGTAGGGGGCACAAGTCTAGATTTGAAGTCAGTTTAACTGTCCATTTTGGTACCACATGTTCTCATAGTCCTCTTACCATGACAGAAGAATTCTTGGTTTATTACTATTCAGAGCCAGGCATGGATTTTGTCTAAAGTTTAACTTTGTTTTTGGACATATGACGTAATGTGACTCTTATGAAAGCCTCTGAACTAGTCTCGTTATATTCCGAGTTTGGGGCTGCATGCAACGGAAGTTGCTAACTAACGTAGGCAATAAAATGGACTTATGGGTATATACTGATTTGCTCACGGAATCTAAATAAGAGTTAAACAGTTAGACTTCTAGCAGTACAGGAACTAAGACACCTTTGGAAATATTAGAAACAAGGTATCTTGGGCCATCCCTTTTGATATCTCCAGGATATCAATGACTGTGCCATTGGATGACTAAATTATAACTACCTTTTTACCTTGAACCTCAGACCTACTAATTATATTTCCTGGGAAAAGATTGGCTAACTTGGGTAACATGTCCAACTCTGTAGTGAGGATCCTGTGACCAACCATTTCAGTAAACCACGTAGGGGTAAATAAGTTCTACAGTTAAAAATGTTGCTGTTACTAGAACAGACAGAAAAGATGCTGGACAGACAACCAGGTCAGCTATCTTCTAAGCTCATTGTATCAGCTCATCCTCAAACCACAAGTAACCTGACTAAAAGTTTGCTTTGTTATTTTTGCCTGCCCAGAATTCATTTCCTTGCTATTTGTTGGGGAACCCTCTCTATATCCATTTGGTGTAGGTAAAAGTCCAGGCATGTATATGTGACCCTAGCAAGGCCAATTCAAACTGAGGGGTTTCACTTCTATAATGTTTCTTGGAACTATTAGGGGAAACATATTATTTTTCTTCTGAAGGTTTACCTTCATTAATGAAGGTTAGTTCTGTTTGATATAGAATTTTTGGTTGACTTTTTTTTCTTTCAGCACTTTGAATTTGTCATTCCACGGCCTTCTGAACCTCCATTGTTTCTGATGAGAAGTTAGCTTTTAATTGTATTGCTCCTTTGCATATGATTAATTATTTTCTTCTTGTTGCTTTCAAGACTTTGTCTTTCAACATTATAATATGTAGATTAATGGATATTTTTGTATTTATCTTACTTGGGGTTTATTGGGTTTCTAGGATCTATAGATTTATGTAGTTCTTTTTCTGCCCTCCTGTTCTCTTTTTTGCGGGGACTCCCATTACATGTATATTAGTATAGCTGATGTTGTTACACAGGTCTCTGAGATGCTATTCATTTTTCTTCAATCCTTATTCTTTCTGTTCTTCAGATTGTATAATGTATATTGACCTATCATTAAATTCTGTGGTTCTTCTACCATCTTGAATATGTTGGTGAGCTCCTATAGTGAATTTTAGTTTAGTTATTTTACTTCTCAACTCTAACATTTTTATTTGTTTTTTAAAAAAATAATTTCTATAACCTTATTGAGAATCTCTATCTGTTGGTTCTTTGTTGTCATACTTTAATTTTTTCTACATGGTTTCCCTTGGTTTGGTTCTTTGAAAATATTTATAGTGGCTGCTTTGAAATCGTTGTTAAATACAGTATCGGGAGTACCATACTCAGTTTCTATTAACGGCTTTCTCCCCCCAATATGGATTTTACTTCCCTGTTTCTTTGCATGCCTCATAATTTTCTGTGGAAAACTGTACAGGACCCTGATATTTCCCCCCAGGAAATGGTTGTTTTTTCTGGGTGTGTGTTTGTTCCTTTGTTTAGTAGCTTGTCTGGGTTTATTCTGTGAAATCTTTTTCCCTTGTGGAGTATTAGCACTGATGTCTCTCCTTTTGTTTTTTGTTTGTTTGTTTTAGTTTTAAACCTGACTTTCTAGGAACTCCCCATCATCTGCAGAACTTAATAATCTACCATCAATTGGCAGAGATTATTTTTAAACACCTTGATTCAGTAAGGCTTCTGTCATCTGCCAGTTGATCTATGTGTAAGCAGAGGAACACTTTCAGGCCAATTCCACATCTGGCCCAGGTTTTACTTTCCACAGGACCCTTTTAGTCTCCTATGTGCACATATGAGTACATTTTCAGGAGTGTGAATAACTTGGAACTACTACTTCTTCTCTATGCATATCAACAGGCTTTATCAAGAATGTGATTGCCCCTACCAGGACTACAACCTTAGACACGTAGAGTCAAGCCATTGGCCCCCTTCCTCTGGCCAGCCTTTGGGAAATCACTTCCACCAACAATGCCATTTGGTATGGGCATC
The DNA here is from genome assembly GCF_000001405.40 of Homo sapiens. Taxonomy (NCBI): domain Eukaryota; kingdom Metazoa; phylum Chordata; class Mammalia; order Primates; family Hominidae; genus Homo; species Homo sapiens. The sequence goes on from NC_000002.12 coordinate 190,001,990, forward strand.
ATCCATCACCCCAAATCAAGTGAGCCCTTTTTGGAGACAGCAGAGAATCGCTGCCATTTCTCACATCCTGCCCATCCAGCAGAGCCTCCCTATAGAACAAGGGCAGGGGATATGGTGGGAGTAGCCTTAGGCCAGACACCACACATTCCTAACGTTCTCATCTGAAGTTTAGCAATATTTCATATATAAATGCTTCTTAGACTGTCATGTGTCATTGTTCAATTTCCAGAGTACTGAAATGGTTATTTTGATAAATTAGTCCAGATTTATAATCTTTGGGAAGAGGATTTGCTTTGCTTGTTATCTTGTTCTGGTCATTGCCAGAAACCTTGACCTTTTATCTGGAACTTCTGTTTATCTCTGTTTTTCTTGTCCTGCTCAATTTTGATTTCACTCCCATTAGTTTCTATTCATTGTGGGGAACTGTCCTGGAAGGCAGCCCTGGTGGCCCAGTTTTAAGAATTCATGGTTGCAGCACACCAACATGGCACATGTATACATATGTAACAAACCTGCACATAGTGCACATGTACCCTAAAACTTAAAGTATAATAATAATAAATTTAAAAAAAGAAAGAAATAAAGAAAAAAAACAGAATTCATGGGGTCTAGATAGCTTCAGCCTCTTCATTCCTTCTTATTGAACTCCTTGTTCTCACTCACTATGGGATTGAACATCTGCTTTTCTTAAAACGCCTAACTGCTTTCCATGAATACCTAATGTTTACTGTGATTCTTAGGACCGTCAGTTGGTCTATTTTTTCCTTCTGTCTCCTACCTACAGAGATGCCAAACTCTTGCAGGTTTTGTGGTCACTTATGGCCTGTTTGATGTTTGGGTTTTCTGGGAATATGTCACTTAGATTTCTTGTAAATGTCGTCCACGGAATTTTGATTTTTCTTTTTAGTTGCGCTATTTTTATGTAGAAATTCAAAAATATTCAAAAAGCATGCCAATACAACTCCATTGCCATCATTTTCTTGTAATCCTGAGGGTTTTTTTAATGTTGTTAATAAAGTTTTCTAGTTTTTCTCTTAAAGGTTTTCAATGTTTCTGACTAGTTTTATTCCTAAATGATAGTGTTTATTAGAATTAAAAGATAACAAATATTTTTCTCATTACGTTTTCTGATAGAACACTATTGACTTGTGTATGTTGCTCTTGAATCTGGAATTCATACTGACCTCTTTTTAGTTTAAAAATTGTAAGTTCATTTTGTATATTCTAGAAATAGAGTTATGAAATATATGTAGATAATGACAATTTTTCATCTCTTATAATTTTTACCTCATATTTTTCCACATCAGTACCAATAAAGATAATTCTTTCTTAATATTTATCTATTACTTATATCATTCTAATTTATATAAACTCTTCTTTTTTGACATCTAGATGTTTCCAAATTTTTGCTATAACCAACAAACTTTTGCATTTATATGAGTCTTTTCATAGATTGAATTCATAAAATAGAATTACTGAGGTAAATAATATACCTATTTAACATTGTCCTTCTATTTCTTTACTTTCAAAAGTGTTTATTTACTTTCTTAATAAACTTGCTTTTTTAAAATTAATATAAAATTGTACTCTTAGGCCAGGCGCGGTGGCTCACGCCTGTAATTCCAGCACTTTGGGAGGCCACAAGCGGCGGATCTCTTGAGACCAGGGGTTCAAGACCAGCCTGTCCAACACGGAGAAACCCCGTCTTTACTAAAAATACAAAAATTAGCTGGGTGTGGTGGTACGCGTCTGTAATCCCAGCTACTGCTCGGGAGGCTAAGGTACAATAATTGCTTGAACCTGGGAGGCAGAGGTTGCAGTGAGCCAAGATCATGCCACCGCACTCCAGCCTGGGCGACAGAGTGAGACTCTGTATAAAGAGAAAAAAAAAAGTTGTATTCCTACTTATTATTTTTAATTCAAATAAATTCTAATCAAATTTATTTCACACCATACATCTATTCTTTCCCCAAATCTCTTTACTCTTAATTTGTAATGTTTCCAGAATCCAATCACTTCTCACAATTGTCACTAATTTGATCTGGCAAGACACTATCATTTTGGGGGAGCCTGGATTATTGCAATGACAATATAGTTAATCTCTCTCTCTCTACTCTAGTGGAAAATTCTATTCTTAGAATGGGGAGGGGGGAGGGATAGCTTTAGGAGATATACCTAATGCTAAATGACGAGTTAATGGGTGCAGCACACCAGCATGGCACATGTATACATATGTAACTAACCTGCACATTGTGCACATGTACCCTAAAACTTAAAGTATAATAATAATAAAAAAAAACATTCTCAGTTTATTAATACATTTAACCTACTAGCCAGTGTGAGCATATGAAAATATGTCAGATATTATCTGTATTTTGCTCAAAGTCCTCCCCTAGTGTTAACCTGATACACAATATAAGTGAAAATTCTTACAGTGACCCGTAGGGCCTTTTACAATCTGCTCCCTTTGATATCTCTACCTTATCACCTATTATTATTCTCCAGCAGATGTCTTTCAAAATTATGTTGTCCTTCCTCTTGAACACTATTTTCTTCTTTTGTGTCAACAAATATTTTTCTTATAAACCTTTTTATTTTTTTTTTTTGAGAGCAACATGTTTTTCACACCTCTGACCTCAAATCTCACCTGGTTTATGTTCTCATCTATCATTATAATCATTTTGAGTTTCACGGAACCTTGCCCTCCCGACCTCCCTTGCAAAGGAATCATAACTAGCAGACACATCATAGGAGAAAGAGCAGAGCATTCTAGTGCAATCTTTTGAGTGTGTCTGCCTTTCACACTCACAAGGGAAAGGCACCATTTTAATTGGATGTTCAGTAGGTTCAAGGTTATGAACACTGTTGTAGGTTCAGTTGCTCACTCTTAAAAGTATTAGGCATACCACTCTGGGCGATATTACTGTGTCCGCAATTCATTCCTTCCCATGGGTTCTTGGTCTCACTTAGTTCAACAATTAAGCCACGGACCCTCACAGTGAGCATTACAGCTCTTAAAGATGGTGTGTCCAGAAGTGTGTTCCTTCATATGTCCAGATGTGTCCTGAGTTCTTTCCTTCCAGTGAGTTCACTGTCTTGCTGACTTCAGGAGTGAAGCTGTGGACCTTCCCAGTGAGTGTTACAGCTCTTAAAGGTTGTGCAGACCCAAAGAGTCAGCAGCAGCAAGATTTATTGTGAAGAATGAATCAACAAAGCTTCCGCAGCATGCAGGGAGACCTGACCAGGTTGCCGCAGCTGGCTCAGGTGGCCAGCTTTTATTCCCTTATTTGACCCTGCCCACATCCTGCTGATTGGTCCATTTTACAGAGTGCTGATTGGTCCATTTTACAGTGTGCTGATTGGTGTGTTTTTACAGAGTGCTGATTGATGCATTTACAATCCTTTAGCTAGACACAGAGTGCTGATTGGTGCATTTACAATCCTCTAGCTAGACAGAAAAGTTCTCCAAGTCCCCACTGGACCCAGGAAGTCCAGCTGGCTTCACCTCTCATTGCCACCTTCTCCTCAGCCTCATTCCACTTCTATCTCATTACTGCCATAAGACTTCTGTTTACCCCAGATGCTGGTCTCTACAGAGCTCTGTTGCATTGCAGTCTTTACATTTTGTCATTTTAGGGCAGACAGATGGATTCCCAGTGGCATGTTTCCTATTGGTCTCATGGTTTTTCTTTTCCTCTAAGTTAGGAGAAATGACCATGGGGTTGGGAGTGTCCTTTATTCTCAAAAGGCAGTGCTGTTTTCTTTGTAAATGCAAATGGCAAGCTTCATTGAGTATATGTCTTTAATTTAGAGCTCTATTAAAATATTTTTCAGTGTTTGTGTCATCTGGCATTCTTCTTTTAGCTTTAAATACCAATGCAACTTTTCCTTATTTTCACATTTTCCTTGGTCAATTTAGTCTGGATTGGGAAGAAGAGAGGCAGACACCATTTATATATTTTTTTGTCCCTTCAGACTATTTTTCTTTACAATATATGCTAATGCTCAATACATATTAATTTCTATTATTATCCAGTGGAGGTGCAAGTGAGCACTCAAAGTATGATACTTAAAGGTGGCCATTTAAACATTTCATTACATCCAGTGAGAAGGCAGACGAATAACACAGTATTCTTATCATTTTTCATGAGATGAATGAGTAATTGATCTGTGAAAAGTTTATATTAGAAAACTTGAGAATCCTCAAGAATTGCAGCTATGAAATTAGCACTTCATGACATCATTCCTGGAGCATAAGAGACTTTTTCTAAGATGGTGCTTCCCCAACCTTACCATCAAATACCTGTCCCAAAGAGTCAAAACTTCCTTCTCAAAGTGGATAATTCAGTGAGCAGCTATCCATAAAAGCTAGTTATGGTTGGGCGCGGTGGCTCACGCCTGTAATCCCAGCACTTTGGGAGGCAGAGACGGGCAGATCATGAGGTCAGGAGATCAAGACCATCCTGGCTAACACGGTGAAATCCCGTCTCTACTAAAAATACAAAAGAAAATTAGCTGGGCGTGATGGCGGGTGCCTGTAGTCCCAGCTACTGGGGAGGCTGAGGCGTTAACCCAGGAGGCAGAGCTTGCAGTGAGCCGAGATCATGCCACTGCACTACCGCCTGGGCGACAGAACGAGACTCTGTCTCAAAAAAAAAAAAAAAAAGCTAGCTATAAGCAAAATTCTAGTGAACAGCATTGGTGCAATGTAGTATGAAGAGATCTTATATGAGAATTTAAACAAGTAGGCCAGGCGCGGTGGCTCACGCCTGTAATCCCAGCACTTTGGGAGGCCGAGGTAGGCAGATCACGAGGTCAGGAGATCGAGACTATCCTGGCTAACACAGTGAAACCACGACTCTACTAAAAATACAAAAAAAATTAGCCAGGCGTGGTGGCAGGTGCCTATAGTCCCAGATACTCTGGAGGCTGAGGCAGGAGAATCGCTTGAACTGGTGGGGCAGAGGTTGCAGTGAGCCGAGATCGCACCACTGCACTCCAGCCTGGGCGACAGAGTGAGACTCCATCTCAAAAGAAGAAAAAAAGAATTTAAACAAGTAGGTCCTCTGAGCTAGGTCTTACTATGAAAAGTTTTAGTAATTTTGTATAAGATTAGATAAGCACAACAGTGTACATTTAATCACAGTAGAGAAGTGGAATGAAATGCACTTTATCAATAATCTTCAAACTGGGGTAGGATACCTTCAAGGGATATGAAAACTTTCTATGGGGTACAGAAATAGGAATCATTTCAAAGGAATCAATGCCTATATTCTCCATTTTCTACTCTGTCCAAAAATTGAGTGGGAACTCACATGACTTCATAACATCCGTTCTCTCACTTTATGAAATGAAAGCACATACATCTCAAATGGTATGCACTCTGGGCTCCATAAATCAAGGGGAAGCCTTTTTTTGATTGATTAATCAAGTTACCACAACCTATGGGGAATTTCTCTGTTTTCTGTATGTTATGGATGAAAAATTGGTAAGGATGCCAAACTTTGGCCCATGTTAGGATGTTTTTAATTTAGATATATGGTAGAATGGGGTGGTGGGACTAATAATGATTTTCATTTAAGGACTGTGCCTCCTCCATGCCCTCAGATATTGTTAATGAATATGTGCACTTAAGGAAAGTACACTAAGAGCAAAGGAAGGAAAGCATTAATAAGAAATATTGAATGCTGGCCAGGCGCGGTGGCTTACGCCTGTAATCCTAGCACTTTGGGAGGCTGAGGTGGGTGGATTGCCTGAGCTCAGGAGTTCGAGACCAGCCGGGGCAACATGGTGAAACCCTTTCTCTACTAAAAATACAAAAAATTAGCTGGGTGTGGTGGTGCGTGCCTGTAATCCCAGCTACTTGGGAGGCTGAGGCACAAGAATCGCTTGAACCCAGGAGGCAGAGGTTGCAGTGAGCCGAGATCATGCCACTGAACTCCAGCCTGGGCAACAGCAAGAGACTCTGTCTCATAAAAAAGAGAAATATTGAAGGCTTACAGCAATCCTTTCCTACATTTAAGAATAAGAAAGTCTTAGCCATACTCATTACCTATTCCCTGGGCATGTCATTAGCTAGAAAGCAAAGCTTCTTGGAAAAACCAAAGCAGTAAAGTTTACTGGTACCGACTTTTTAAAATGTAACTGAAATATCTGTTGGTGCTACCAGATTTTTCAAAACACAATAGATGAAACTCACTAATAAGATTTTCACCTAATTTCTTTCAGATTAGGTGGTATTAAGCAAAGTATGTAAATCCTGTTTTATTAAGTAAATATAATGAATTATTTATTCCAATTATAATCAATCCTAATCATAAAATGTTTCAAAAATTCCCACCTCCTTTTAAAAAATAAAAGGACAACTCTTATACCATTTAATTTATCCCAGTATATACCTTTCTTCATTAAATGAAGAAGAAAAATGTGATCATGGTTCATCTCATTATGGTGTTTTACCAGTACATTTTGTTGGTTTAATTATTATCAAAATTTAAAATATCTTTCTGTCATTTGATCAATTGTATACTAGTAATTATTATAATGATAGCCCAATCCAGAAGATTTTTAATTAGAGCTTTATGATCATGAGTTAAAGATGAAAATAAAAAGTTTAAAATCCCAGCTTATGCACAGTTTTTTATTGTAAGCTCATTCTACATGTATTCACTGAGCACCTCCTTTGTGCTAGATACTTTATGAGTTTCTTGGCTATGTCAGTGAATAAAAGATGTGCACGTGCACACACACACACACACACACACACACACACACACACACACCCACCTGGTCTCCTGAAATTTACATTATGGGGTGTAAGTAAGCAAAGTGTGATATGTGCTTTGGAAAAATGAGTAAGTAAAGCAGAGTTAGAGGTTAGGAAGTAGGGGCTTGTAAAAGAAGTGATATAGGGGATTGCAATTTTAAATAGGGTGGTAGGGAGAGATTGTGCTGAGAGGGTGATATTTGAGGAAAATTTGAAGAATGCAGGGATGTTCCATGTGGCTGTCTGGGGTTCCAGACAGCAGGAACTGTAACACAAAGACTCTAAAATGGGAGAGAGAAGAGCAGTAAAAGGAAGATATCTGGCATTGTGAGGAATAGCTAGAAGACCACTGTGGGTGGAATAAATTCAGGAAGCACAGCAGGAATAGTCAGGGAAGTGTGGTGTCGGGAGGGGACCAGAACATGTAAGGCCTTGTAGAGGACTTTGTCTTTTATTATGACTAAAGTGGATGGCCATTAGAGGAATACAGAGGCATGATATTATTACTCAACTTCTGTATAGGGAATAGATTCCAGGGGGCTAGAAGTATAACAGAAAGTGTTGTTAGGGGCATTTAGGATATCGTGGTGGCTCATACTGAAGCCACATAAGAGGAAATGTTAAGAAATGTTGGATTCAGGATATATATTTAAGGTAGATCCAGAAAGATATTGTGATATATTGGATGTGCTATTGTGAGAGTAGGAGAGGACTCAGGAATATCTGTAAGGTTTTGGTTCTAAGCAACTAGAAAAAATGGAGTTGCTATCAACTGAGATGGCAAAGGCTGCAGTGGAGCAGCTTTGGAAGGAAAGATTAGGAATTTGATTATGGATATGTTGAGTTTGAGATGTCTATTAAAATCCAAAGGGAGCTGTTAAATAGACATTTGGATAATCAAGTCTGGGGTTTAGGAGAAATGTATAAGCTGGCAATTTAAATTTGGGAGCCTTCGTCATAGAAACAGCATTTAAAGCCATGAGACTGGAAGAGATTATGGACAAACTGAGTAGATAGAGAAGAGAAATGGATCAAAGACCAACTCTTAGGATACACCAACATTAAGAGGATGGGGAGAAGGCAAAAAGGCCTGAGACATAATGACCAGTAGGGTCCTAGGATAACCAAGAGAAAAAAAAAAAGCAAAATAAGTGAATAAAATGTTTCATGGATGAGGGAGTAACTTAAAAAGTTGCTGTTGCAAAAAAGAGCAAAGGATTTTGCTGTTGCAAAAAAAGAGCAAGGATAGCTGGTGCAGGAAGTAAAGGCCAAAAATACATTTATTCTGAAGATGGTAGAAATAAACACCATGCTCATGTGTTGACAGAAGTGATCTTCACTCTTTGTAAGAAATAAAACAAAACAAAAATGACAAGATAGGAAAGACAAGGGAGTATTTCTGGATCTATATTCTTGAGTGGGTGAGATGGGATAGGATCTACTACACAAGTGGATAATTTTACTTTAGATCAGAGCACGAATAGTTTATCCATGGTAACAGGCAGGAAAGGAGAATGGGTGCAGAAAACAATTTGTGGAATTTATCCTTTAATTGTGTCAATTTTCTTACAGGAGTAGGAAGTAAGTTTGTCTACTTTGAATGAGGATGCAGAGGAGGTGCTATGACTTGAGAGATACAGTGGGATAATAGTCATCAATGGGAGCAGAAGAGAGAGTGGATTAAGGATGTACTGTATGATTGCTGAGCAACATTCAGGGTAAAATTAATCATGAATTTGAAAATACTTAACACTCAGAGCTTTATAGTCATAAAGAAAAAATAAAATGTAAAATTCCACTTAAAATGCATGTTTTTGTTCTAGATTCATCTAACAAATATTTGAAGATTAGTCATAAATTCAAAGTCACTGTGGTTGTATAGAAAATATGGTGGGTGATATATCAGTCCTCTATTGTCACAGAGGGGCTGCATAACAAAAATATCACAAAATCTCTGCATAAAACAATACATATTTTCATTTTATCTTATTGAATATTGAGAAACTATAATCGTATATATTTCTGGAGTGCAAAGTAATGCTATGATAGATGTATATAATGTGGAATTATTAAATCAAGCTAGTTAATATATCACCTCAAATACTTAACATACAATGTTATGTACCCTTTGACCAACATCTCAGTTTATTTGTTTTCTTGCTATTGAGTCATTTGAGTATCTTATATATTTGGGATATGTGGCTATATATATATTTTTGATATTAACCCCTTCCCAGGTTATGGTTTGTAAATATTTGCAAATATTTTCTCCCATTCTCTCATTCTCTCTCTCTCTTTTTTTTTTTTTTTTTTTTTTTGAGACAGTCTTTCTTGCTCTGTTGCCCAGGCTGGAGTGCAGTGGTGTGATGTCAACTCACTACAGCCTCCACCTCCCAGGTTCCAGTGATTCTCCTGTCTCAGCCTCCCAAGTAGCTGGGATTACAGGCACCTACCAACACATCCAGCTAATTTTTTGTATTTCTTTAGTAGAGATGGGGTTTTGCTGTGTTGGTCAGGCTGGTCTTGAACTCCTGGCCTTAAGTGATCAGGCCTCCTCTGCCTCCCAAAGGGCTGGGATTACTGGCCTGAGCCACCACACCCAGCACCATTCTGTCATTCTTTAGGTTGCCTCTTCACTCTGCTAATTGTTTTCTTTGCTGTGCAGAAGCTTTTTACATGATGTAATTTTTTCTGTCTGTTTTTGTTTTTGTTGCCTGAGCTTTTGGGGTCAAATGCAAAAAAATTATTGCCCAGATGAATGTCATGTCATTTTTCCCATATGTTTTCTTCTAGTGGTTTTGCAGTTTCAGGTTGTATGATTACATCTTTAATCCATTTTGAAGTTTTTAAAATACAGTGTGAGATAAGGGTCTAATTTCATTTTTCTGTATATGGATATCCAGTTTCTCTGACATCATTTATTGAAGACACTCTCCTTTTCCCATTATGTATTCTTGGCACCTTTGTTGAAAATCAATTGACTGTAAATATGTGGTTTTGTTTCTGGGCTTGCTATTCTTTTCCATTGGTCTGTGTATCCATTTTTATGCCAGTACCATGCTGTTTTGATTACTATGGCTTTGCAATAGTATTTGGAGACAGGTAGTACAAAGTCTCTAGATTTGTTCTTTTTGCTCAAGATTGCCTTGACTATTCATAGTCTTTTTTGGTTCTATATGAATTTTAGCATTGTTTTTCCTATTTTTTTTTTTAAAACTCACATTGGAATTTCAATAGGGATTACGTTTAATCTGTAGATCACTTTGGGTAGTATGAACATTGTAATAATGTTAATTCTTCCAATCCATGAACATGGAATATATTTTCATTTTTTTATGTCTTCAATTTTTCTCATCAAAGTTTCATAGTTTTCAGTATACAGATTTTTCTTTTGAGACAGGATCTGGCTTTATTGCTGGAGTGCAGTGGCACAATCTCAGCTCACTGCAGCCTCTGCTTCCCAGGCTGAAGCCATCCTCCCACATCAGCCTCCCAAGTAGCTGGGACCACAGTCACACACCACCACACCTGACTAATTTCTGTATTTTTTGTACAGACAGTTTTGCATACAGATATTTTACCTCCTTGGTTAAATGTATTTCTAAGTATTTTTTTCTTTTTGATGCTTTTTTAATGAAATTGTTTTCTTGATTTATTTTTCAAATAGTTTGTTGTTAGTGTATAGAAATGCTACTGATTTTTATGTGTTGATTTTATATCCTACAACTTTATTTGTTTATTAGTTCAAACAGTTTTTTGATGGAGCTATTAGGGTTTTCTGAATATAAGAGCATGTTATCAGCAGTGACAGTTTCACCTCTGCCTTTGCTGTTTCAAAGCCTTTTATATTTATCTTGCCTAATTACTCTGGTAAGAACTTTCAGTACAATATTGAATAGAAATGATGGGAATGGGCATCATTGTCTTGTTCCTGATCTTAAAGGAAAAGCTTTCAACTTTTTACCATTGAATATGATGTTATCTCTGGGCTTGTCATATATGGCCTTTATTGTGTTGATTTCTAAATTTCTAAACCTAATGTGTTGAGAGTGTTTATCATAAAATCATGTTTAATTTTCTTAAATGCTTTTTCTGCATCTAGTGAGATAAATATATCATTTTTGTCCTTTATTCTGTCAATGTGATGTGTTACATTTGTAGATTTATGTATCTTGAACCATCTTGCCTCCTACAGGTAAATCCTACTTGAATATATTGAGTGATCCTCTTAATGTGCTATTAAATTTGGTTTGCTGTTATTTTGTTGAGGATTTTTGTATTTATATTTATCAGGGTTATATACTGGCCCATAATTTTCTTTGCTTCTAGTATCCTTGTCTGACTTTGGCATCATTGTAATGCTGGGCTCAAAAAGAGTTTGAAAATAATCCATCTTCTTCAATTTTTTGGAAGACTTTAAGAAGGATATGTATTAGTTATTTTTACACTGTTTGGTAGAATTCATCCATGAAGCCATTGGGTATTGGATGTTTCTTTGATCGGGGACTTTTTATTACTGATTCAATCTCTTTACTTAGTATTGGTCTGTTCAGATTTTCTTTCTTCATGATTCAGCCTTGGTAGGTTGTATGTGTCTAGGAATGTATTTCTTCTTGATTATCCAATTTATTGCTTATAATTGTTCATGGTAATCTCTTATAATCCTGTGTATTTCTGTGATTTTAGTTATAATTTTTTTCTCTTTAATTTCTGATTATATTTATTTGAGTCGTCTCTCTTTGTTTATTTGTATTTATTTATTTATTTATTTATTTTTTGAGATGGAGTCTCGCTCTGTCACCCAGGCTGGAGTGCAGCGGCGTGATCTTGGCTCACTGCAAGCTCCACCTCCTGGGTTCACGCCATTCTCCTGCCTCAGCCTCCCAAGTAGCTGGGATTACAGGTGCCTGCCACCATGCCTGGCTAATTTTTTGTATTTTTTTTAGTAGAGACAGGGTTTCACTGTGTTAGCTAGGATGGTCTCAATCTCCTGACCTCATGATCCACCCACCTCGGCCTCCCAAAGTGCTGAGATTACTGGTGTGAGCCACCACACCTGGACTTCTCTTTATTTTTTAGTCTAGCTAAAGATTTATCTATTTTGTTTATCTTGTAAAAAAAACCAACTCTTGGTTTTATTGATTTTTTCTATTGTTTTTCTAATTTCTATTTCTTTTATTTCTGCTCTGATTTTATTTCCTTCCTTCTGCTAACTTTGGGTTTAGTTGTTCTTTTTCTAGTTCCTTAAGGCATAACGTTAGGTTGTTTATTTGAGATCGTCTTTTTTTATATAGGCACTTATTGCTATAAATGTCTCTCTTAGAACTGCTTTTCCTACATCCCATAAGTTTTGGTATGTCCTGCTTCCATTATCATTTGTTTCAAAAATTCTTTTTATTTCCCTTTTAGTTACTTTTTTGATCCATTGGTTGTTGTATTAGTTCATTGTCACATTGCTGTAAAAAATGCCTGAGATTGGATAATTTACAAAGGAAAAGGGTTTAATTGACTCACAGTTCCACATGGCAGGGGAGACCTCAGGAAACTTACAATAATGGCAGAAGGGGAAGAGGCATGTCATATATGGCAGCAGGTGAGAGCAAGTGAGTGTGTGAAGGAGGAACTCTCAGACACTTATAAAACCACCAGATCTCATGAAAATTCACTCACTATTACAAGAATAGCATGGGGGACATTGCCACCATGATTCAGTCACCTCCCACCATGTCCCTCCCTCAACATGTGGGGATCATCAGGATTTTAATTCAAGATGACATTTGGGTGCAGATGCAAAGCCTAACCACATCATTCCACTCCTGGCCACTCCAAATCTCACTTCTTCACATTTCAAAACAAATCCTGCCTTTCCAACAGTCCTCAAATGTCCTTTTTTTTTTTTGACACAGAGTCTCACTCTGAAACCCAGACTGGAGTGTAGTGGCATGACCTCAGCTCACTGCAACTTCCACTTTTCGAGCTCAAGTGATTCTCTAGTCTCAGCCTCCCTAGTAGCTGGGGTACAGGCATTGGATAATTGCTCCCATTCCAAATGCGAGAAATTGGCCAAAACAAAGGGGCTACAGGCCCCCATGCAAGTCTGAAATCCAGCAGGGCAGTCATTACATCTTAGGGCTCCAAAATGATCTCCTTTGACTCCATGTCTCACATCCAGGATGTGCTGATGCAATGGGTGGGCTCCCATGGGCTCAGGCACCTCCATTCTTGTGGCTTTGCAGGGTACAGCCCACCTCCCAGCTGCTTTCACAGGCTGGCATTGAGTGTCTGTAGCTTTTCCACATGCACATGCAAGCTGTCGGTTGATCTGTCATCCTGGGGTCTGGAGGATGGTGGCCCTCTTCTTACAGCTCCACTAGGCAGGGCCCCAGTGAGGACTCTCTGTGGGGGCTCCAAACCCACATTTCCCTTCTGCACTGCCTTAGCAGAGGTTCTCCGTGAAGTTTCCACCCCTGCAGCAAACTTCTGCCTGGACATCCAGGCATTTCCATACATCCTTTGAAATCTATATGGAGGTTCCCAAACCTCAATTCTTGGCTTCTGTGCACTCATGGGCCCAACACCACATGTAAGCCACCAAGGTTTGGGGCTTATACCCTCTGAAACAACAGCCTCAGCTGTACATTGGCCCCTTTTAGCCATGGTTGGGATGCAGGGTGCCAAGTCCCGAGGCTGCACAGAGCAGCAGCAAAGCCCTGGGCTCAGCCCATGAAAACATTGTTTCCCTGTAGGCCTCTGGGCCTGTGATAGGAGAGGCTGCTGTGAAAGCCTCTGAGATTCCCTGGAGACATTTTCTCCATCATCTTGGCTATTAACACTTGGCTCCTCATTACTCATGCAAATTTCTGCAGCCAGCTTGAATTCTTTTCCGGAAAATGGGTTTTTCTTTTCTACTGCATGGTCAGGCTGCAAATTTTTCAAACTTTTACACTCTGCTTCCCTTTTATGTATAAGTTCCAGTTTCAAACCATCTCTTTGTGAATGCATAAGACTTAACACTTTCAAAATCAACTAGATCACCTTTGTAATGCTTTGCTGCTTAGAAGTTTATTCCGCCAGATACCCTAAATCATCTCTCTCAATTTGAAAGTTCCACAGATCTCTAGGGCAAGGGCAAAATGCTGCCAGTCTCTTTGCAAAAGCATAGCAAGAGTGACCTTTGCTCCAGTTCCCAAGAAGTCCCTCATCTCCATCTGAGACCACCTTAGCCTGGACTTCATTGTCTACATCATCATCAGCATTTTGGTCAAAACCATTCAACAAGTCTCTAGGAAGTTCCAAACTTTCTCACATCTTTCTGTTTTCTTTGGAGCCCTCCAAACTGTTCCAACCTCTGCGTGTTACCCAGTTCCAAAGTCTCTTCCACATTTCTAACTATCTCTATAGCAGCACCCCACTCCTAGTACCAATTAACTGTATTAGTTCATTTTCACACTGTTATAAAGAAATACCTGAGACTGGGTAATTTGTAAAGGGAAGAGGTTTAATTGACTCACAGTTCCACATGGCTGGGGAGGCCTCAGGAAACTTACAATCATGGCAGAAGGGGAAGAGGTATGTCTTACATGGCAGCAGGTGACAGAGAGCCAAGGTGTGAAGGAGGAACTCTCAGACACTTATGAAACCATCTTGTGAGAACTCACTATCAAAAGAACAGCATGGGGGACACCAACCCCATGATCCAATCACTTCCCACCAGGTACCTCCCTCAACATGTGGGGATTACGGGGATTACAATTCAAGAGGAGATTTGGATGGGGACACAAAGCCTAATCATATCAGTTGTTCAGAATTATGCAGCTTAATTCCTACATATCTGTGAATTTTCTAGTTTGTGTCCTGTTATCAATTTCTAGTTTCATACAATTGTGATCAGAAAAGATGATAGGATTTCAATTTTCTTAAATTTGTTCACACTTGTTTTGTGGCCTAACATATGATCTATCCTGGAGAATGTCCCATGGGTGCTTAAGAATAATGTATATTTCAATGCAGTTGAATAAAATGTTCTGTATATGTCTGTTAGGTTTATTTGGTCTAAAATGTAGTTCAAGTTCAATATTTTCTAATTAATTTCTGTCCAGATGATCTGTTCATTATTAAAAGTTGGAGTATTGAGGTCCTTCACTACTATTGTATTATTATCTCTCCTTTCACATATATTAATATTTGCTTTATATATTTAGGTACTCTGATGTTGAGTACATATGTATTTATGATTGCTATATTCTCTTGATAAATTGACCCTTTTATCATTATATAATGACCTGCTTTGTCTCTTCTTACAGTTTGACTTGAAGTCTGTTTTATCTGGTATAAGTATGGCTACCATTGCTTTCTTTTCATTTCCATTTGCTTATAATATTTTTTTCCTATGCCTTCACTTTCAGTCTGTGTCCTGAAAGGTGAGGAGAGTTTCTTATAGGCATCATATAATTGGGTCTTATTTATTTATCCATTCAGCTACCATCTTTTTGTTGGAGAATATAATCCATTTATATTCAAAATCATCAATCATAAGTAATGGCATACTACTGCTATTTTGTAATTTGTCTTCTGGTTGTTTTATTTTGCTTTTTTCTGTGTTGCTTCCTTTGTGGTTTGATGGTTTTCTGTAGTGGAATGCTTTTAATCTTTTCTATTTATTTTTTCTGTATCTGCTATAGAGTATTGCTTTGTGGTTATCATGAGGCTCACATAGACATTGTATACATATAACAGGCTATTTCAAGCTGATAACAAATTAATTTTGATCTTACACCACAATTCTACATTTTTACTCCCCTCCGCCATTTTACATTTTTGATGTCAAAATTTATATTATTTTGTAAACTGTCTTCTTTGACAATTTATTTTAGCTATAGCTGTTTTCATAGATTTGTCGTTTAACCATCATACTAGAGATGAAATTGCTTTACACACCACTATTACAGTCCTAGAGTATTCAGAATATGACTCTGTATTACTTATACCATGAGTTTTATGCTTTCTTTTGTTTTATGTTATTACTTAGCAGCATTTTGATTCAGCTTAAAGAATTTTTTTTAGAAATTCCTGTAAGAGGCAGGCTTAGCGGTGATGTACTCCATTACCTTTTGTTTGTCTGGGAAAGTTTTTGTCTCTTCCTCATTTATAAAGGACAGCTTTTCTGGGTAAATATTCTTGGTTGGTAAATTTTTCCCTTCAGCTTTGTATCATCCTGCTCTCTCATGGTCTGTAAGGTTTCTGCTGAGAAATCTGCTGATAGCTTTATTTGAACTACCTTGTATATGATATGTTTCTTATCTCTTCCTGTTTTCACAATTTTTTCTTTTTCTTTGATTTTTGATAGTTTGATTCTTATGTGTCATGGTGAACTCCTCTTTAGGTTGAATTTGATTGGAGATCTCTGGGCTTCCCATACCTCAATATTTGTGCCTTTCCCCAGATATAGGAAGTCTTCAGCCATTATTTATTTAAATAGTTTTCTGGCTTCTTTTCTCTCCTGTTTCTGGAAATCCTATTCTATCAACTTTTTACCTCTTGATGATGTCTTATAATTTCTGTAAACTTTCTTCCTTCTTAATTTTTTTTTCGTTTTGGTCTTCTGCATAGATGATTTACAGTGTTCTATCTTTGAGTTCATTGATTCTTATGCTTTATTGAGCCTACTGTTGGAGTTATTTTGTTGCATTTTTTAGTTCAGTCATTGTATTCAGCTCAAAAATTTCTATTTGTTTTTTTTAAATTGCTTCTATTTCATTGTTAAACTTCTCATTGATTTCACATGTTTTCTATTTGTTTAACTTTCTATGTGTATGTTTTTTGTTCACCTAACTTCTTTAAGAAGATTATTCTGAACTCTTTATCAGTCATTCCATAGATCTTCATTTCTGCAGGGTCTATTTTGGGGGCTTTATTATTTCCTTTTGGAGGAGTCATGATTCCCTTATTTTTGTGATCTTTGTGTCATTGTGTTGGTGTCTGTACATTTGAGGAGACACTCACCTCTTTCACTTTTACAGATGTTATTAAGCAGAAATAGACCTTCACTGTTTCATGTAGCCTGTGATTCTGGATGGGCCAGCTGATAAGAACCCTGGGCAGGCAGAGCTTGCTTTTGGGTTCTCTAGATGGCTGGGCCACTGTCTTTGCTCTGAGTTTAGGTGGGGCTGCCGGCTGGATTCTGCAATCGGGCAGAGCTGATGGCTGGACACCACAATTGTCTCTGATTGGGATGGGTCATAGGGTGTATTTTCTGGCCAGGTGGTACCGCTGTTTGCATTCTGCAGTAAAATAGGGTTGCAGGCTAGGCCCTAAGGCTAGGTGGAGTCACTGCTTAGGATAGATGGCAGCAGCCACTATGCTCAGTAGAAATACACAGTTGAGGTTTGCCTCCCGGCCTGTGTAGGGAATTGAAGTGGGCTTTGAGGTTGGGCTGAGCCACTGTTTGAACTCCCAGGTAGGGAAGGTCTAGCCCCTGAACTTTGCCAAAATGCACCATGGCAGTCTCTTCCTCTGGGAAGAGCTTGGGGTGGTCTCTGAGGCTGAGTCAAGTGCTCTTTACACTTCCATGGGGGCAGATCTATCTTCTGCCCTTTGCCAAAATGGGCTGTGGAGGGTGTCTTTCTCTCTGGGTGGGGCCTTTGGGTAGGGTCAAAGACTGGGCATGAGGCTGGCCATCTAGGGATACAAGCCAAGTAGAACTTCCCACCACTTGTGGGAACAACCAGCTTAGCTTTGCCAGTGTATTATGTATTGGCTGGTACCTCTGATGTGGTGCCACTGCTGGCAGGTACACAGAGCTACAACCAAGATTTCTGTGCTGATCTCTGTGAGCTCTTTTCCTTGCTTTGTTTCTACCTGACCCTAGGTGATCTAGTCATGCCATTACCCTCATTTTCCCCCATGAAGTAAGACTCCAGTGGGCTTCCTGGGAAGCATCTCAGAATACTTTGACAACTGGATATTTGCCTCTAGTTCTCTTTTTCTACTGTAGAAACTGTGGGCCCAGGATTATCCTCTCTGTTTGGTGCTGTGCCAAGTTGGGGAGGTGGGTGACACAGCCAAAGTGAAACTATTTCTCCTACCCTTCTGATGCCATTTTTCACTGGATTCTGTTATCTATGAAGGTGTCTCAGGTTTATTCCCAAGTTTTGAGGTTTTCATAAAGGTGTTCTTGTCTGTGGATAGTTGCTAGTTGAACTTTCTGTAGTGTGTAGTGAGGACTGGGACCTCCTATTCTGCTATCTTGCTTACGCCACTCCCCGAACACATATTTATTTTAGTTCCTGATTCTTTGGTTTTGCTTAGTAGTTTTGCTGAATTAATTTGGGTTTTGGAGATCTCACTCTATGTCGACTGTTAGCACCAAGTCAGCTACAAACTTAACTGATCTTAATAGGCTCTCTTAAATGTCTGGTGCCTTGGCTAGGACAAATAAATATTACAATTAGATAAAATTCTGAGATGAAAATGTAATGAAAACTTGGGACCAAAGATTAAAAGGAAATATTTAGAAAAGAGCTTATTCATTTATTTTTTAAAATAAGTGATAATGTGTATCAAATCTTTATACTATTAAGATTCTTTGAATATGTTTAAATGAGTGAAGTTATAGCTTTATTTCTGAATGTCAGTATTTATAATATACCTAAATTATATTTTTTGCAACTATTTCAACTTCTCATGAACAATTTCAGATATCAAGATCAGGGTCCAGGTTTATTTTTTGCAGATGATTGGCCAATTGAGTCAGTACTATGTATCAGACAAACCATCCTTTTCCTACTGAATTGAGATATCACATTTGTCACTTAAATACTCTGGTTGAGTTTGAGGTTATCTATTCTCTTTAACCTGTTTTTAACTATTTTTAAGTGTACAATTTAGTAGCATTAAGTACATTTATATTGTTGTGGAACCATCACCACCATTTATCTCCAGAACTTTTTCATCTTCCCAAACTGAAACTCTATTCTCATTAAACACTAACTCCCTATTCCCCCTCCTTCCAGCCCCTGGCAGCCACTGTTCTACTTTCTATCTTTATGAGTTTTACTTTCTATCTTTACTAATTCTATCTTTATGAATTTGCATGTTATTCATATGCATGGGTATCCTTTTGTGACTGACTTATTTCACTTAGCATGATATTCATAAGGTTTATCCATGAACCTTACATTAGCATAATGTTATATTAGCATAACCTTGTATTAGCATATATCAGAATTTCCTTCCTTTATAGGATGAATAATATTCCATTTTATCCATTCATCCATCAATGAACACTTGAGTTACTTTCATCTTTTGGCTATTGTGGATAATGCTACTCTGAACATGGATATCCAAATACCTATTTGAGTCCCTGCTTTCAATTCTTTTGGATATATACCCAATAACTGAAATGTTTTGCCTATTGCTATGCCAATATCATACTTATTTCTTAGCATTTTGTGATTTTTGTTTCCAATTAAAAGCAATCATTTTATTATTTATACTTCTAGATGCTTATTGCTATTACAAAAAGCTATTGATTTTGTATATTTTGTTGAACATAATCACCTTATTATAATGATTCCTGTATTATTTACAATAGAATTTTATTATAGTTTCTTGGGATTGTTTTGTTGTATTCCCTAGTAGTTTGTTTAAACTTTATATGTGCACACACTTGGTGTTAGAGTTATGCTTAGCTTATTAAATAATTAACGGGATTTTCCACTGTGGCAGTCATGGAGGGTCACTGTTCTGGTCACCTCTTAAAAAAGAACTTACCATTTGATTGCAAGGAGTGCAGTTAGCTGATAGCCTCCAGCTGTAAGTGCCTTCAGAATCTAAGCTTTTGAGCTGAGCCCATGCTTTTCTTGGGAAGCCAGAGCCAATGACTGGGCATGGTGCAGACACAAGGTCCTGGCCATTTCTGTCCAATACCAGACTTTGCTAATGGGCAGCATTTGCTGTGGAGGTGCCATTTGTATAACTGAAACTCTGTCAGATCTGCATGATAATCTGAGGCTCTCTTTGCCCAATCCTGTTTCCTCCTCATATTATCCTTTTTAGGTGTTGCCTTAGTCTGTTTCCTGTCTATAACAGAATACC
Organism: Homo sapiens; assembly: GCF_000001405.40. Lineage (NCBI taxonomy): Eukaryota > Metazoa > Chordata > Mammalia > Primates > Hominidae > Homo > Homo sapiens. The sequence goes on from NC_000002.12 coordinate 190,021,851, forward strand.
TGAAGGTGGATAGTTTATAAAAGAACAAAATAATTTGTTTCTTACATTACGGAGGCCAAGAAGTCCGAGGCTGAGGGGCTGTGTCTAGTATGAACCTGCTTACTGGTCAGGACTCTCTGTGGAGTCCCAAAGCAACAAATGGCATCACGTGGTTAGGGGCTGAGTGTGCTAACTCAGGTCTCTCTTCTCCTTCTTACAAAGCCATCAGTCCCATTCTCATGACAAGCCATTGATCCATTAATCTATGCATTAATTAATCCATTCATGAAGGCAGGGTCATCATGACCCAGCCACCTCTTAAAGGCCCCCCTTTTCAGTACTGCCACATTGGGGATTAAATTTCAACATGAATTTTGGAGGGAACAAATATTCAAACCATAGCAGACCTCTTACACTCCGAATTGAGAGAACTATCTACAGTTCAAGATTATGACTGATATGCAAAAGATCATATACGGATTGGCAGTAAAACACATTTTAAAATGGACATGGGGTGTGTACAAAGGTAAATTCCTAATAATTATTATGAAAATCATGCACCCTACCCAAATATCCCAGGAGTAAATGAACCAGTGAATTAATTTGTATCTTATTAACCAGTTCAAATTACTCTTGCCCATTCTCTAAATATATGGAAGTAATTTCTTCTTGCATTGAATAATTCACTTTCACATTCATTGATTTGTTTTAATACCTAGGATGCAGAACAGGTATTATGGATGAATAAATAGAATTCTTAAAAATTCAGATCCTGCTGCTGACTAGATAGGTGAACTTGGGCAAGCTGTTACACCATTCTGAGGCTTATGCATACAGGAAATATTTATCTGCAGGTTCATTTTAAAAGTTAAATATTATGTAAATAAAGTGCCAGGAGAGTGTCTAGCAAATAGTAAGTCCCAAATGTATTCTATAATTTTTTTTTTTGTTATAAATGGGGTCTCAAGGTCACATACTAAGTGCAGAGCCACTCATGTACTTGTTTCATTACTCCTAATCTGGAGCTTTTTGTTTCATTATGCTGGTTCTAGGTAAGTAGAAGGATAGGTGAGATGTTAGAGTGGTTGGTTGAGGGGACCTCAGAGAAGAGACCTTTAAGAAGGAAGAGGTGATATCTTAACTGAGAATGTTAGGCCAATGTCTCTGGTTCCTTTTGGCTAAAGGCTCAGAAAGGAGAAATGCCCCCAAGCTGGTATTTAATTTATATTTATATTTGAGCAGAAATGCTTCCAAACTGATATTTCATTTTATGTTTATGTCTATATATGATTTACATTTATATTATATGATAATTATACATTTGTTCAAATGTGATTACTACTTTTTTATGCTATATTGTAAACTGCAAAATTATGTGTTTTTATAAACACATTAAACACAATAAACAATAATGTGTTTTTATAAGTTAATCCCATGTTTTCTTATCCAGTTTATCTCAAGTTGAAGAACATCTGAGGTCAGAAAGTAGTAGTGGATCCATAGGAGAAGCATAGTACATCTTTTCCAGGGTGTTAATTTTACTTAAAAATAGTGTAGTAACATAGCATAACTTTTACACTAAAATAAATAAAAGCATATTATGGTGTAAAACAAAATTTACATATTTTAAAATAAAATCTGAAGCTTTGACAAATTTTATGACTATAGAATGATCCTTGTGCTAATGTTCACTCTAAGAGATATTTTGGTGGAATATCTTGAGAAATAGTTGGGAGATTAATAATTTGGGGAAAAATATTTTCTGTTTTTATTCCAGTGTTCTTTTTTTATTTTACAAAGTCGAATTTTTAAAATTTACATTCTTTCTTGTAATCGAATAATCTCTTTAGTTTTAAGATTATCTTGCCAGAAATTTAAGGAAAATAAAAAGTGCTTTGACATCTTCTGGAGCATTAACAGAGACTCAAAATATCATATTTGCTATTCTGTAGGTAATGTGTGTGTGTATATATATATATATATATATATACATATATATACTTTTTCTGATTTATGTTCAAGTAGTTTGAAGTAAAGCTATATTAGTTACATTGTAACATTTTCCAATTGAATTGCAATGACGTCTTTTAGATGTTTAGTGAAAGACTGTTAAAATTTCATCGAAGTAAGGGGAAAAATATCAATTTTTCCTTATAGTAATTTTTTTGTACCTATAAACGTATACCTATTGCTGCCTTATAAAGTTCAACATATCCTCCAGGGGGCAGTAGATGCAATAGTAAATGTATTTATGTTATGCAAATGCAAATGACATGTGGAGAAGTAATGAGATGGGAAGGCAGCATTCTGACACCATGGTGGTCATGCTGGAGTCATTGTCGCTGGACAGCGTCCTGGTAAATGTGTCTTCCTAGGGATGTGAGTCTAGATCAAGCAGTTTGGCTGGAATGCACTTGGAATCTTAAAAGCTCTTTTGAGTGAGAAATCATCAAGGTAAGATTTGCAGAACCAGTATATATATATATATGTGTGTGTGTGTATATATATATATGTGTGTGTGTATATCTATACACACATATATATGTGTGTGTATATATATATATATACATATATATTTTTTCATTTTTCAAGAATTCCCGGTTCATTTCACTCTATACAAGGGAATAGACAAGTAAAGTCATATTTATATATACTCATTGCAACTGTAGAATGGGCACAAATCCTATACAATGCTAAACTGTGCTGAGGATATCTAGGCTGCATGTCCTAAGAGAAAGTGTATGTTCAAAATTATGTCATTGAAGACCAGCACACATATATCATTTGTTCAGGACCTAGGACACAGTCTAGGCTGGAGAAACCCTGATTGGGTACTTGAATTCACTCTGGCTGATTCTAGGGTAAACTGTAAGCCTCCAAGGCAGCCTGAGGAGTCCTATATATTCTAAAATATTTGGTTCTAATCCAATATACACCTAATATTTCAGTCCTTCATTGTTTCTAACCTATTCTATTGATGTGCCATATCTATGTGTCTTTTGCCTCCTTGTGAAGGAAAATCTCTAAATATATTTATAATCACTTTAAATAGCTGTCTAATGCTAGTTGATCTGTATTCACTGCTTATTCAACATCTCAAAATAGAATTGATTTTCTTAGAATGAAACCTGCTCCTTTTAAAGCATTTTCAATCTCAATTCTTGACATCACTGTCTATCTAGCTGTTCAAGGAGGAGGTATATTGTTTTTAGACACCTCTTTGCATTTTAGCTTTCATATCACATTGATCACTAAGATTTACCAGTTTTATCTCCCACATGTCCATTCAGGCCAGCAACCTCATACTTAATGTCCCTGCTTCTAGTCTTGCCTCATTTTCATTAATGCTGTTTGCTAATACAGGGTGTTCTTTCTAAAAGTAGTTGGACTATTTTTAAGTTTCAGTTCTTTGAATTATACACAATTTGTTACAGGATAAGTTTCAAAAATTTTTAGCAGAGCATACAAGGTGTTTCAGGATCTGTCTCTGGTTGCCTTCAGATCCTCATCTCCTCTGCCCATTCTCCATCCCCCCACATCATGTGTGCACAATGAACTGAATATTTTCATGCAGTTTGAGAACATTCACATATGATAAATTAAATTTACTCATCTTGGGGTAGATTTCTATAAATTTTGACAATTACATATAGTAATGTAACCACAACAGTAATTGAGATACAGAAAAGTTTCATCATCCTAAAAAAGCACCTCATGCCATCCCTTTGTAATAAAGCTCTTTGTAGTCTAAGCTTTAGAGCTGAGCCCATGCTTTTCTTGGGAAGCCACAGCCAATGACTGAGCATGGTGCAGACACAAAGTCCTGGCCATTTCTGCGCAATACCAGACTTTGCTAATGGGCAGTATTTGCTGTGGAGATGCCATCGATATAACTGAAACTCTGTCAGATCTTCATGATAATCTGAGGCTCTCTTTGCCCAATCTTTATCCCCAAGCACTGGTGAATTCTGGTCTGTGTTTAGTCCCTATAGCTTTACCTTTAACAGAATGTCAAATAAATGGAGCTGTACAGTATATAGCCTTTTAAATCTCTTTCACTTAGCATAAAGGATTTAAGATTTATTCATATCGTAGTTCTCAATCATTTATATTTACCCCAAGCAAGACAGTCACTCCCACTAACTTCTCATGTCTTCATGACTTTGAGCATTCTTTTGTTTCTGAAATTCCTCGTTAAACTGCTGAACATCTGCTCATTTTAAAAAAATACAAACATCTTCAGCTCATTTGTCATTAAACATGACTACTTCAGGCCAACTTAGATATTATTTTTTCTATAATACTACATTGCATTGCAGTGATTTGTGTAGTTGCTTGTTTCTTCTACTCCAGGGATGGGTAAACTACAGCATGTGGGCTATGTCCACAGGCCAAATCAGCTCACTCCACCAATCTGCCCCCCAGCTTTATGTGACAGAGATAGTATGTGGCCTACAAAACCTAAAAGATTTGTCAAATAGCTCTTTACAGAGAAAATTTGGCATCTCCTACTCCACTTGACTATGAAATCTTTGCATCCCCACAATGTAACTTTATCAGTTAGGGGCTTGGTTAGGAAAACAGAAACGATGTTACATATTTTAACACAGAAAGTTTTAATATAATGATATGGTTATAAAAATGTTAGAAGGGTGGGAGAAGCATATAGGAAATGTATTAACCAGAGCCCTGGAACCAAAACTCCTATTGTCCTTATAAGAGCTGGAAATCAGCACTTCTGCTTTGCAGCTACCAAAAGTAAACAAAAAAGAATGGCTCCTATCTTCTTTCTTCTTTCTAATCTGATGTGAGTACCTCCAAATGACAGAATCTACCAGAAATCAGTTGGCAATGAAGTCTGAGAAACATCATTTTCAAGTTACTACTCCCAGTAGTTCTAGGGAGAATATAGAGATGTGAGTATGTAGGAGCTGAGTGTCAATGGACTGTATTGGGCACACTGGCATACTGTTGTACATAGTAGGTGCTTAGTAAAGATTATTGAATTAAATGAATATTTGGAGCATTTGGTATACTAAATAAGAATTTCACAGAATACCTAGATTAATAAAACCAGTTCTTGCACACTGGCATACTGTTGTATTAAAGTACTTAAGTTTTAAAAAGTAGGATAAATTATATTATTCCATAAACAGAGTAATTTACCTAACAAATCCATACTTCAATTATAAACTCCAGTCTAATCCATGTCCAAAATTCCATGATTAGAATTTCATAGCAGCTTTATTGCAAGTACTAAAATACAAGTTCTTAAATTGGCCCTTGGAAAGATTATGTACCTTAGCATTAACTTTATACCCAACACCATTTGTTAAAAGAGTAATATTTCTTGCCCCCAACCCTTGCCCTCACCTCACATGCCACATTATGTTCCAAATCCAAGCCTGGGACATGCATGCACAATGCTCTACTCTTAATAGAGTCAGTGGAACCATGTGGTGGCTATGTACTAGAGATCAAACTTGACTGGAGGTCTCAACTAGCTAATTTCTCTATCAAGTTTCACATGCTGTATATACCAATCACATTTTGCATAGATGGAGGAGTATGTGTAAATATGGCCTATTAGTAGACTTTTGGTTTCCATTTAAGTGGGAGGAATTATTAGAATGAAGATTTAAAGTGGCATTCTTATTTTAAAATTAAATCATGTACATATAAGTCTGCCACAGTTAGCACCCAAAATTCAGTGTGACCTTTATGGCAGCTGGTGATACTCTAATATTTCTGAGTAGTACATAAAAGGTGAAAGGGTGTATCTCCTTTCAATGTGCATATGTAAGTGCAATAAGTATTAATAGGAGTACATACTTGTAGATAATCCTGGAATGTATATCTAGATTTATAATTAGGAACAGTTATGTGAAACTGATATAAATGTCTGTCATCAGTGGTGTTTGATTATCAATTTCCCTTGTGCATTTTACAAGGACTATAAGTATATGGTAGCTTGCTTTTCTCAGATTTTATAACAGGTAATGAAAGAGTGTTTAGAATTTCTTTACATTCTTTCATATACAATTATATTTGTTTGGCATCTATGAATTTAGATGCAAGGGTGCTTTTTTATTTGTTTTATTTTGCAAAGTCCAACAAGGCATTATAGAATTTTGAAATGTAATTTTGTGTATGAAATTCAATTCTTAACTGCCTTTTTTTAGTAACCCCAAAAGAAATCTCAAATAGTTATTTTATTATATTCTCCTGCTCTCTGCACATATCTCCCTGACTTCCTGGCTCTCTTAATTTTTCATTCTTTGCTTAGCTTTTTTATTATCCTTATTCCCTGCTATATGCTTCAGTTATGAGATATATACAAAAATTCATGAGGAGAAGTAAACATAAAAGGATGTTTGTATGGAGGGTTTCAGATGGTTTTACTTTTTCCTTCATTTTTTCTGTATTGTTTGAGGGGGATAAGCATTAGAAAAATGAAGAAATGATTATTTGAATCACAAAGAAAACTAGCATTAATGTTTTAGGATCTTTAAGAACTTGGTTAGTAGAATTCTTAAGGTACAGGCTCTAAAGACTAGCCTAGTTTTCCCATGAATAGATTAGTTTTCAAATGAATTGGTTTGACTTGTTCAGAATGTTGTTCTTCTTAAGTGTTCATGAAAAAATTCACTGAATTTTGGTAAGATCTTTGCATTTTATATCTCAGACAAAATGATAACTACCTTTTTTTTTAACTGAATTGTCATTGTGAAGGCAGAAACCATACCTGTTTTTTCCTCGGTCATATTCTCTATGCTTTTAGCTTCAGTAGATATTTGTTATTTAACATATAAGTATACTTAGTAATTAAGAAACATTCCAGCATAAAAATGGTAAAGTATACAAAGTACATTATTATGTAAATATAAAGTAGTGCAATGCACAAACACAAATGGCCAATAATCATGAAAGGTGTTATACCTCATTAAGAATCAAATAATATAGATGGAAAAAACCTATATATCTTTTTTCCAAAGATTCAAAATACTTGATTATCTTCAGGATTGGCAAAGGAATAGGGAAAAATGAGCACTTTCATTCTCTATTGATAAAATGAAAATTACTTCAGTTCATTCTGGAAAGCAGTTTGGAAATATGTACCAAAGATAGAAGATATGGAGCTTTTGTTCCCATAGTACCATAGGTAGGAATTTATTTTAAGGAGATATTCGAGTGTGGTGAGGTGTGGTAAGATGTACCTGTAAGGATTTTTTTTTTTTTTGAGACGGAGTCTCACTCTTGTTGTCCAGGCTGGAGTGCAATGGTGTGATCTTGGCTCACCGCAACTTCCACCTCCCAGGTTCAAGCGATTCTCCTGCCTCAGCCTCCTGAGTAGCTGGGATTACAGGCATGCACCACCTTGCCTGGCTAATTTTGTATTTTTAGTAGAGATGGGGTTTCACCATGTTGGTCAGGCTGGTCTTAAACTCCCGACCTCAGGTAATCTGCCCGCCTCGGCCTCCGAGAGTGCAGGGATTACAGGCATGAGGCACCGCGCCCAGCCACATGTAGGGATGTTTATGGCAGCATTCATTATATCATAGAAGAATTCGAGCTCTAAATATTCAAGAAATCTATTAAACAAGCTGTGATTCCTTTATATAAAGAAATACCACACAGCCATTAAATGATGTAGATCTATATTTATTGATCTATAAAAATGTTAATGATACATTGTTGAGTGAAAAAACAGGTTACAATACAGCATGTGTGGAATGATTGCTGTGTATCAGAGGTTGGCAAGCTTTTAGTTGTAAAAGGTCAGGTAGTAAACATTTTAAGTTTTGTGGGTTGTATAGTCTCTGTCATATTACTCAACTCTCCTATTGTAGTGCAAAAGTAGCCAGGGACATGTGTAAAAAAGTGAGCATGGCTATGTTCCAATAAAACTTTATTTACAGAAACAGGCAGCTGCTTAAGTTTGCTGGCCCCTAGGATATATGTAAAAATATGTGTGTGTTTATAAACACACACGTACACACCCATGCATACACACACAGACTGAGCGAGAGAATATACATTTCTAGAAGAATGTTTACCCAAATGTTAACAGTAGATGGCTCTGCATGGGGAATTCTAGGTGATTTTCATTACTTTATATTTTTCTGTATTATATGATTTTTATAGGCACTAGGAAATGTCATAAAAATTATTATTTCATGAAAAGACAGAGCCTATTTACCCTTCAGAAAAACAGATTCATAGTGTAACATCCCAAAGGGTTCTGAGATCTTGCATGTTATATATGTACATATCAGATAAGGTAATATTTAAATATAGTTCACCATTTTGTCTGTGGCAAAATCACCTCATGTCCATGTTATTGTACTTGTTTCTTTAATAATCTCCTTGCTCCTGGTTTTTATAGCTCTTCCCCATTGTGTTACATTCACAATTACCAGATTTACCTAAGAATATTTTTTGAAATCTACAATTGTATTATCTCGGTCTTCTAGAACCTATCAGAAGTAACCCAGTTTTGTAATAGAAAATAAATACACATATGCACACATACACTACTTTCCAGGCTCTTCTGTTTCTGTTACTGCCAGCTTTCTGATTTCTCCTCCTATCCCATTAGTATAGGTGCCACCAAGGTTCTGTCCTTGTTCTCTTCTTCCACTACATTGTTGCCCTTGGTGTGCCCGTGTTTTGCCACCTCATGGGAGGACTCATCTGGAAATTCATGGAAGTAGGTGATAGGTAGCAAACCATGTCTTGGAAATTTACTAAAACCAACACTCACAACAACCAGTTACCCATAACTATTTTCAGCTCCTCATGTAGGCTTTAGCTTTCTGTCAAATTTCTCTTGTAGATGTGACAAATTTGGATTTATTAACTCAGCTTTAACATCTGGATCATCACAATATATAACTTTATAAACCTAGCTTTTCAATGTCAGCCTTGAAAGTGTCATGTTTGTGACTTCTGGATATGTATTTGGAGACACAGAAAAGTAAAAGCAGAGAAGCCAGCTGATCTTACCCATCATATAGGCAAGGTATGTTAGTAGCCCTGACTAGCTAGATTGCTGTGGAAATAAAAAGACGTAGATGCACTCTGGGATTTTAAGAAGACAAATTAGCAGGATTTGGTGATGGACTAGATTTAGAGAGATAAGGTGAGGCTCCATCAAAGATAATTCACGGTTTGCTGGCTTGTGCAAATGGGGTATAATGGCTACCCTTTCCCCCACGAAATAGAAGGCTGTCATCATCTGCTGAGAAACAGAAGTGAGGGGTCAGAAGTCGAGGACTTTGCCAGCCAGGTGACAGGAGGATGGGTACTTTAGGCAGAAGGAGCAGCATTAACAAAGGCTTGAAAGTGTGAAAATGATCAGTGTTTTCTGGAAATTTTGAATACTGTAGTGGAATTAGAACACAATAGTACAGGATGTGGAGTAGGGAAGGGCAGTATAGAGCAGTGAGTTTGGAAAAATAAGCTAAAGCCTGATTGTGTCTTGAATCCCATGCTAATTAGTTTACCTTATCTTTATAATTCAGCTGTTCTCAGACAGTGAGATTCATATACAGCTAACATTTTATATCCAATTGATGGACTAATAGAGTTGCCTTCTTTTATTTTGTAAAGCAATAATGAAAACCATTATCTTACTTAAAATATCAGAGAGCTCTTAAAAGACTTTATTTTTCACTTGACAATGGTGGCAAAATAAATCCTAGAGTCAATATAGAAATTATTATAATTATCATGACTTTATTTTTTAATTAATGAAGAATTGCTGGAAATTAATAAACACTAGATGTCTATTTGAAAAGAGGAACTCAGAAGCTAGTTACTTAACTTCAACACCTTAGAAAAACAGCCACAAATCACCAGTCAAGTGGAGAGCTTGAGCAATGAAGATAGTAGTAACAGCATTGCTGAGCCTTACCATATGATAACATGCTTAAAAGGGCTTGGCAAATGCTGAACTTCCACTGTCCTGGAAAGAATAACTATTTATGCTTAGTAAATTGGACAAATGCTGGGTCAGTTTTTTAAAAAAAATTTCTGAATATGTCTAAGAGAGGAATGAAGTTCATGTGATAGTTTTAGAATTATAAAATTTGTAATTTTAAATGCCCATTTCAAAATATTGATCTTCAGTGTTTATCATTATTGAGAAAGTTTTCTTATATTTTTCTTTATACATGTTTTAAAATATCCATCAGTCCTACTCTTATGGATGATTATATATGAGACTGAATACAATATTCTGAATGATTCAAATATTCTCTTTTTTGCAATATTAACTGTTATTTTTCCTTTTCTTCCACTGTCTATAGTTTTCTGTTAAGGAGGTCTTAAAAAGTGCACACTCAGCATTTTCTAATTTATAAGAATTGTAAATTTACAGGAATTTCAGGAATTGTACTAGAATTGACATAACTCTAAATTATATTAAAGGAAGCTAAAGAACATATAAATCATGCCAAAAATACTTAGGATTGGGAGTACTGGATGCCTCAGGGAATTGGTAATTTGATACAAAGCCTGTCACCTGTTAAAATTTATCCTGGGTCAGTAGTGACTGAAAATCATTATGACCTGACAGGTGTTCAGGATCGTGTGTAAACTGAAGTGGTGAACTCAGTATAGTTCCTATTTGACACATGTATGCATTACTGAAACCACTGCAACATTAATTGATAACTATGCTGGCAATCTTGATTGAGGTGCCAAGGACTAACTGGCCTGAACTCTTTTCACCCCTACTAATGTGCCTTTTAAAATAGGTTCAAGTGTGCTTGTGTAGCAGAAAAGTGTGTTCGGTCCTGTTCCTCTCACTAGATTACTTTACTCCTAAAATTGACCATCTATATTTCCCACAGTGGCTCCCCTTATTATAACATCTTAGAGTTTTGTTTTTTTTTTTACCCCCTGGCAAAATGTTTTGTCTGTCTTTTGAATAATCAAATTAGATAAAACATTAAGTTGCAGGTACCCACAGGTATAAGCAGTTCCATTTCCCTACATTCTTTCCTTGGAATTTAATTTAGAAGCATGAATATGCTCTTAAATATACAAGAATTCACATCAATCTTAATTAAATATTACTGATTTTTTTCAATGCAGTTAATATTTGTTATTCAAAAAATTGTTGCCTTATGTACAAGCGAGTCAGAAATAAAATAAATCCACTCAACCTTTCCTAGCGGTAGCAAGTGGAGGAAAAGAGAAAGAAAAGGATTGATTCTCACTGGTATCATACAGTGAGGAGAACAACTTCTTTTTCCTTGCTAACAGATCATGATAGTATGCAAGTCTACATACTTACATTTATCCCCAGCCATGCCAGCAGCAAGACTTTAGCCAGGTGGGACCATAAAAGAAACAGACCTTTAATAAGAATCTAATAATTTTTTAAATTATATATACTCTAGTGTCTCTCCAGCAAGAACATAATTGTGCTGCTTACAGATGACAGGAATGCTTTTTGTTTAGTCTTCTTTAACTAGCAAACTATTCTCCCTTTTTACAAATCCTTCCAGAATGCTAAGGAAAGTCTGAAAAAAACAAATCTTAAACGTGTCTGCGTATAGGCAAAAATAATGATGGTATGAAATTTAAATTGGTTTTCCAATAGGTGCAATAAATGTAACTATATGTCACAATTTTGCCTCATGGTTAGCAATATATCTTTGCAAAATTGCTAACCAGGGTTATGGGCATAACTTGTGAGGATGGGACAAAACCAATTTATTTGTAGAATGAATTCATGAATTCATTAGCAATATGCATTTATAAACTGAGCAGTTCCTAGACTCGACAGTAACAAATTGGGCTGATTATAACTGAATTATTCAGTTTTGCTTTGCTGCTTTTGTATAATTATACTGGACATTCCCCAAACATTACTTTGTACTCTACCTTAATAGCTTTGGTAGTGCTGTCTTGTCTACCTGGAATCTGCTCTATTTTTTTCTTCTTTGTTCCCTATCCTTTCATCCATACCTCTCGTCTGATCAAGTAAATTCCTAACACATCTTTCAAGGTTTAGAGTATCTGCCATTCTTTTCTAGACCTCTCACCATCTCTCCCCGCTCATATCCAGTTTCCATTATAGACAGTATTAACTTTTCTTTCTACACACTTAGCAGTCATGTTGTGCTGGTTGTACTTTATTTGTGAGCTACTCAAAAGAGACATTATGGTGTATTTATGGCACATGTATACATATGTAACAAACCTGCACGTTGTGCCCATGTACCCTAGAACTTAAAGTATAATAAAAAAAATTATATAAATAAAAAATTATAAAGTCAAAAAAAAAGAGACATTATGGTGTGTTTAACATGTAGTAAACAAAGATGTTTATCAAGTCAATTACTAAATAAATACAGCTTAATTCTTTTCATTTTGTTGGGTTTAAATAAATGTTTTTTCACATGCTTAGATGAGCTCTAAAAGACCTAGAGAAATATCTTAAAAGATACGTTTAAATATTTTTGCTTCTAATGAACGTACTTTTAAAATCCTGACCATAATTTTTTTAATCAATGATGGCCTTTAAGATAGTTTTAATGATTGTTAATTTGTGTATATATGTTGAAAAATAGCTAATAGACTTAAAAAAATCAACTGTTTAGAAGTTCCTCAATTTTATCCTGTGTTCCAGGGAAAAGTAGGGCAGGATCATTTAAGGGCTGTAAGCGGCACAAGCCTAGCAGGCTACAGTGCAAAAAAAAAAAAAAAAAAAAAAAAAATTGGCCAGGCACAGTGACTCACGCCTGTAACCCCAGAACTTTGGGAGGCCAAGGAGGGCGGATCACTTGAGGCCAGGAGTTGGAGACCAGCCTGGCCAACATGACGAAACCCCATCTCTACTAAAAATACAAAAAATTAGCCGGGCATGGTGGCGCATGCCTGTAGTGCCAGCTGCTCGGCTACTCGGGAGGCTGAGGTGAGAGAATCGCTTGAACCGGGGAGGCAGAGGTTGCAATGAGCAGAGATTGCACCACTGAACTCCAGCCTGGGCAACAAAGCAAGATCCTGTCTCACCAAAAAAAAAAAAAAAAAAAAAAAAGGAAAAAAATGCTAATTATGGAAAAGTTTTAAAGTATTCAAAAGTAGAGAGAATAGTTTAGTGAATACCCATTGACCTATTACCCAGATTTAATGTTTATTAACCAATGGCCAGTCTTGTTTTATCTATTCCCTAACTCATTGTCCCTGCCCCCAGATTATTTTTTAAAGGCAGGTTTATTGAGGTCTCATTTATATAAAATGTAATGTATTCATTTTAAAAATAAAGATTGAAAAGTTGGGACAAACAGTTGTATATGTGTTCAAGATTGTGTTCAAGGCCAGGCACAGTGGCTCACACTTGTAATCCCAGCACTTTGGGAGGCCGAGGCAGACAGATCAGGAGTTCGAGACCAGCCTGGCCAACACAGTGAAACCCCATCTCTACTAAAAATACAAAAATTAGCTGGGCATGGTGGCGGGCACCTGTAATCCCAGCTACTCAGGAGGCTGAGGCAGGAGAATTGCTTGAACCCGGGAGGTGAAGGTTGCAGTGAGCCAAGATCGTGCCACTGCACTCCAGCCTGGGCAACAGAGCCAGACTCCATCTCAAAAAAAAAAAAAGATTATCTTCGAGATACAGACTACTTTCATTACTACAAAACTGTCCCTCATGCCACTTTGTTTTGTTCATCACTACTCCTGCACAGCAGGGCTACCCCATGGGCTGTGTGCTGAGAGTAGCCCCCTCATGCCACTTTGTAGTCAGTCTCTTCACCCACCCCCACCTCCTGAAAACCACTGATTTATTTTCATTCCTGGAATTTTGCCTTTTTCTAGATGTCATATAAGTTGGCTCAAAAGCCTTTTGTGTCTGGATTCTTCCACGTAAAGCTTTTGATACTCATTCATGATATTGCATGTATCAGTAATTTATTTCTTGTTGTTGTTCAGTTGTATTCCATTTTATGGATGTACCACAATTCATTTACCAGGCGATAGATAGTTAGGTTATTTCCTATGATGGTCTGTTACGAGTGAAGCAACTCTGAACATTCACAAACAGATTTTATTGTGGATGTATGTATTTATTTTTCTTGGGTAAATATCTAGGCATGGAATTGCTAGATTATGTGATGGGTGTGTTTATTATTATAAGAAACAGCCAAACTGTTTTTCAAAGTAGTGCACTATTTCAGTGAAAAATTCAGTGCACTTCAGTCAGTGCAAAATTTTATGCTGAGAAAACTATTCAAATTTTTTAGCGTTAAATTTCTGTAAAAATTAGTTTTAAGTTACTAATAAATCTTTGATTTAAAGTACTTGGTGATTTTTATTACTCAAGGCAAAAAGATTCACTGAGGCAACTATCAAGACATATGACTGCTTACTGCTGGCAAGATCCTGGCCAGAGTTCTCTTGGATAGACTACAGTATAGCCTTGCCAACTATACGCTCCCCCAAATCACAATGTGGCTGTGAGCTATGGCACAGTACAGCTGACTTGATCTTTGCAGCATGTTTAGATTTAGGAAAGTCAGGGCTTAAATCAGGCTGTATCTTACAAGACTGCAGATCCCAGATTTATTTTTCTGGTTAAATGAAGCTGCCTCTAAAGAAATGCACCTTCTATGTAGAGTTAAAATAGATTCTTTTTAAATTTTTAAAATATCATTGTCATTAAGGATTTTGGGAGGAAACCGTAAACAATGGCATTATTACATTATCCTTTACCCTGGTGAAATACTTTGATTAAGCTAAGACAGGTTTTTGGTAGTATTTTTTTTTTCATTAGAATTTTGAAAGGATTTAAGTCTATGGCATATTTTCAATTTTATTAGAAAATAAAAGGTGCTTTACTTAGTTCTTGCTTTGGTATCGTGTAGAATAGACTCATATATCATCAACATTTCACTTTCAGCTGGCATTTATTGAGTGCCACAGTGAAGCCCTAGACTAGGTCTCTACTTAGTGTATCCCTTAAGCATAACAGATTAAGTTAAAACTGCTGAAATAGCTTCCCAAAAGATTAAGTTCACATCCTGCTTTAACCAGGTGCAACATTATCTAATCTGTGATGTAAATACACAGGAATTACTCTATGCTACTAACCAAATTTTGGCAATTTATAAAAGACAACATTTCTACATTATAATGTCTTTGAAATCTATAGCATAACACAATAAACCAAGGAATTCAGAGGTCTCACTTTATTTTCAGAGAAGGCCAAATAGCTACGTGATAATGATGCCATTCACGATTCCTAGAACTGAAAGAAAGTTCCAATGAGAGCGGAAATGGCTCAACTGCTAGGGCTCAGACATCCTTGAAGTATATCCCCTGGGTAATCAGACTTGGTTTCTTGGGACTTTCTAAGACTTGATCTGATTTTTTGCCATAACTACCCAGAATAGGTAATGAACACAGTCCCACAGTAATATTTATTTGCACCAAATGCCATAGTCATTCAGAATCTGTTTAGGATGTCCAAGAATTTAGACATAGCCTATATCTTCATTATAGGGTTATTATAAATCTTATATTAAAGATCTAAGTCAACCTGAGGCCAGGGCCAAGAATTTGTGAAAGAAATGCTATGCAGAGCTTAGAAGGAGATGTCCTTTTATTTGGACTCTAAATTTTCAAAGTATTGAGACTTTCAAAGACAAAAGCCAAGACAACTCACTTCCTAAATACAATGGTCTGGGACATTTTTAGAGTATAGACTCCATAGCCAGGGTAGGAGTACCTGCAACCAGTAATAAGCGAGGTAAGAACAGTTTAAAAGGACTAAGAAAACCACTTGGAGCCATGTTGGCTTTGCAAGAGATAAGGCTCAGCTAATACCCAAGTTGCTCTTAAGCCAGAGTCAAGCTGCAGAGACTAATAATTCTCTTTCTTCCTTAGGATCCATGGTGTGATCCCATGTCTACCGGGGTTCAATTATAATAGTTGCAGATTAGGATTGAAGAGATATGTCTTTCTTTACGTTCTTTAACTGATCTCATCTTAATAAAACTACTCCCTCTAATGATGAAAAATGCTTGAGCTTGCTGATCAAAGTTACGTGTTTTTACAATGAAAAATTTAGGGTTTTTTTAAATGAAAACTGTATGATTCCACCCATATGAAGTATGTAAAGTGTCCCTCCACCCCCATGTTGCTTTTAAGATAAATTTGGAGCAGAGAAGCTTTGGCATTGCAGAAGAATGATGTGGCCCTCACAGGTTTCATATTGAGATGGTTTGTTTTGCTTAATTTTAAGGGCAGTATATTCTTGTCTTGATGCATCTGCTTTAATTTAGCTGGGCTCCCTGTTGACTGAGTGTCCTACAGGGGTAGCCACTGAAATATTGCTGGCTTCACCTAATTTTTGGAAGCATTGTGCTGGCACCTGCTGTTGATGACCATGCTATTGCCCCTAGTTATGAGATCCCTGTACCTTGTCATCCACATCTAAACTTAGCAGCCAGTCCAGCAGCCTGTTCAACAAGCTGCACCCTCTTGGATACCTGGTGGTTCTTAGATACTTTCTTAGAAACCATCTGGAGAGGTCAGGATCTAGTGTAGATGCCCTTAGTCTAGGCATTCTCATCATTGCTACTCAATCACTCTGGCACCATATTAGATATAAGACTATGTCTAGCAGAGGAATTCTCGTAGAGCTTTCTGACTCTCCACATTACACTAGAATCAGGGCACCATCCTCAATAATCTTTGATTTGCTCAGAGTTGTTTGGGTTTTCTTCTCTAACTCTCTCCCTCAGCCAAGTTTGATCCCCCAAAAGGGAGCAAGGACACCTTATAACATTTTTCACTTTCTCGCTCCCTCTCACTTTCTCCAACCCAGGAAAAAAAATTGATATTATATCCCAATATACTAGGTGGTGCTTTTTCTCCTTTTCCAGGGGAAACAAGCCTTAGCCCCGTGGCTTACCCTTAATGACCAAAAGTCTACCAGGAGAGGAGGGGGAAGAATTGCCAAAAAGAAAAACATTGTGTGGCAAATATTTTACAGGAATCTTCTACTTTGCCTGGGCTTATTTGTAGAGTCCTCCCTCTTTCTTTCTTTCTTTCTTTCTTTCTTCTTCTTCTTCTTCTTCTTCTTCTTCTTCTTCTTCTTCTTCTTCTTCTTCTTCTTCTTCTTCTTCTTTCTTCTTCTTCTTCCTTTCTTTCTTCTCTTCTTCTTCCTCTTCCTCTTCCTCTTCTTCCTCTTCTTCCTCTTCTTCCTCTTCTTCCTCTTCTTCCTCTTCTTTTTTTGTTTGTTTTTTGAGACAGAGTCTTGCTCTGTCCCCCAGGCTGGAGTGCAGTGGTGTGATCTCCATCTCAGCTCACTGCAACCTCTACCTCCCAGGTTCAAGCGATTCTCCTGCCTCAGCCTCCTGAGTAGCTGGGATTACAGGTGCGTGCCATCATGCACAGCTCATTTTTGTATTTTTAGTAGAGATGGAGTTTTGCCATGTTGGCCAGGTCGGTCTCAAACTCCTGACCTCAGGTGATCCACTGGCCTCGGCCTCCCAAAATGCTGGGATTACAGGCGTGAGCCACTGCGCCCAGCCTCATTCTATCTTCCACATGCTTCAAATACATTCTTTTACCACCATTGCTACTGCCCCAGTAGTGGAAAACTGTAAATTTCTGAAGTCAAACTACTTACATTTGAAACTTGGTTCACATTAGCTATGTGAATTGAATGAAGTTTCTTTTTTTTAACTTTTAAGTTTGGAGGTGCATGTAAAGGTTTGTTACATAGGTAAACGTGTGCCACAGGGGGTTGTTGTACATATTATTTACCACCCAGATATTAGGCCCAGTACCCAACAGTTACCTTTTCTGCTTGTCTCCCTCCTCCCACCCTCTCCCCTCAAGTAGACCCCGGTGTCTGTTGTTTCCTTCTTTGTCTTCATAAGTTCTTATCATTTAGCTCCCACTTTAAAGTGAGAACATGTGGTATTTGCTTTTCTGTTCCTGTGTTAGTCTACTAAGGATAACAGCCTCCAGCTCCATCCATGTTCCTGCAAAAGACATGATCTCGTTCTTTTTTATGGTCACATAGTATTCCATGGTATATATGTAACCACATTTTCTTTATTCAATCTGTTATTGATGGGCATTTAGGTTAATTCTGTGTTTTTGCTATTGTGAATACTGCTGCAATGAACATTTGCATGCATGTATCTTTATGGTAGAATGGTTTACATACATCTGGGTATATACCCAGTAATGGGATTGCTGGCTCAAATGGTAGTTGTGCTTTTAGCTCTTTGAGGAATTGCCATACTGCTTTCCACAATGGTTGAACTAATTTACACTCCCACCAACGGCGTATAAGTGTTCCTTTTTCTCCACAACCTTGCCAGCATCTGTTATTTGAATTTTTAGTAATGGCTATTCTTACTGGTGTGAAATGGTATCTCACTGTGGCTTTGGTTTGCGTTTCTCTAATGATCAGTGATATTGAGCTTTTTTTCATATGCTTGTGGGCTGCATATATGTCTTCTTTGGAGAAGTATCTGTTCATGCTCTTTGCCCACTTTTTAATGGGGTTGTTTTTCTGTTGTAAATTTGTTTAAGTTCCTAATACATGCTGGATATTAGACTTTTGTCAGAAGCAGAGTTTGCAAATATTTTCTCCCATTCTGTAGATTGTCTGTTTACTTTGTTGGTAGTTTCTTTTGCTGTGCAGAAGCTTTTAAGTTTAATTAGATCCCACTTGTCAATTTTTGCTTTGATTGCAATTGCTTTTGGTGAAAATCTTTGCCATGAAATCTTTGCCTATTCTTATGTCCAGGATGGTATTGTCTAGTTTGTCTTCCAGGGTTTTTATAGTTTTGGGTTTTACATTTAAGTCTTTAATCCATTTTGTATTGATTTTTGTATGTGGTTTAAGGAAGGGGTTCAGCTTCAATCTTCTGCATATGGCTAGCCAGTTATTCCAGCACCATTTGTTAAATAGAGAGTCTTTTCCCCATTGCTTGTTTTTGTCAGCTTTGTTGAAGATCAGATGGCTGTAGATGTTGGCCTTATTTCTGGGCTCTCTATTCTGTTCCATTTGTCTATGCGTCTGTCTTTGAACCAGTACCATGCTGTTTTGGTTACTGTAGCACTATAATATATAGTTTAAAGTCAGGTAAAGTGATGCCTCCCATTTTGTTCTTTTTGCTTAGGATCGCCTTGGCTATTCGGTCTCTTTTTGGGTTCCATATGAATTAAAAATTATTTTTTCTAGTTCTGTGAAGAATGTCATTCGTAGTTCGATGGAAGTAGCATTGAATTTGTAAATAGCTTTTGGCAGTATAGCTATTTTAATGATATTGATCCTTCCTACCCATGAGCATGGGATTTTTTTAAATTTGTTTGTGTCTTCTCTGATTTCATCTGTGTTTTGTAATTCTCATTGTAGAGCCCTTTCTTCTTTCTGGTTAGCTGTATTCCTAGGTATTTTATTCTTTTGTGGCAATTGGGACTGGGATTGCCTTTCTGATTTGGCTCTCAGTTTGGCTGTTGTTGGTGTATAGGAATGCTAGTGATTTTTGTACATCAATTTTGCATCCTGAAAATTTGTTGAAGTTGTTTATCAGCTGGAGGAGCTTTTGGGCCAAGACTATGAGATTTTCTAGATATAGAATTATGTCATCTGCAAACAGTGATAGTTTGATGTCTTTTCTTCCTATTTGAATACTCTTTGTTTCTTTCTCTTGCGTGATTGCTCTGGCTAGGACTTTCAATACTATGTTGAATAGGAGTGGTGAGAGAGGGCATCCTTGTTTTGTGCCAGTTTTCAAGGGGAATGCTTCCAGCTTTTGCCTATTCAGTATGTTGGCTGTGGTTTTGTCATAGATGGCTCTTATTATTTTGAGGTATGTTCCTTCAATACCTAATTTATTGAGAGTTTTTATGTTGAAAGGATGCTGAATTTTATTGAAAGCCTGTTTTGCATCTATTGAGATTAATCATGTGGTTTTTGTCTTTAGTTCTGTTTATGTGATGAATCACATTTGTTGATTTGCATACATTAAACAAACCTTGTATCCTGAGGATAAAGCCTACTTGATCATGGTGGATTAGCTATTTGATGTGCTGCTGGATTTGGTTTGCAAGTATTTTTTTTAAGGATTTTTGTATCAGTGTTCATCAAAGATATTGGCCTGAAGCTTTCTTTTTTTATTGTGTCTCTGCCAGGTTTTGGTATCAGGGTGATGCTGGCCTCATAGAATGAGTTGAGAAGGAGTCCCTCCTCCTCAGTTTTTTGGAAGAGCTTCTTTAGAAATGGTACCAGCTCTTCTTTGTACATCTGGTAGAATTTGGCTGTGAATCCATTAGGTCCCAGGCTTTTTTTATTTGGTAGGCTATTTATTACTGATTCAATTTTTGAGCTTGCTATTGGTCTGTTCAGGGAATCAGTTACTTCATGGCTCAGTGTTGGGAGGATATGTGTGTCCAGGAATTTATCTATCTCTTCTAGGTTTTCTAGTTTGTGTGCATAGAAGTATTTGTAGTAGTTTCTGATGGTTGTTTTTGTTTCTGTGGGGCCGGTGGTAACATTCCCTTCATCATTTCCAGTTGTGTTTATTTGGATCTTCTCTCTTCTTTATTAGTCTAGCTAATGGTGTATTTTATTAATTTTTTTTTTCAAAAAAACAACTCCTGGATTTGTTGATCTTTTGAGTGGTTTTCTGTGTCTTGATTTACTTCAGTTCAGCTCTGATTTTTGTTATTTCTCGTCTTCTGCTAGCTTTGGGATTGATTTGTTCCTGCTTCTCTAATTCTTTCAGTTGTG
This sequence comes from Homo sapiens, assembly GCF_000001405.40. Taxonomy (NCBI): domain Eukaryota; kingdom Metazoa; phylum Chordata; class Mammalia; order Primates; family Hominidae; genus Homo; species Homo sapiens. The sequence goes on from NC_000002.12 coordinate 190,042,600, forward strand.
AAGTTAGGTTGTTAATTTGAGACCTTTCTTACTTTTTGATGTGGGCTTTTAGTGCTATGAATTTGAACAATGCATAGAATATAACAAGTGCTCAATTAATAGTGGCTATTAACATTAAGACCTTTATCACTTCTGTCCTAGACGAGTCATTTGTTTGTGTGGTTGCTTTACACACTGGTCTGTGTATGACACTGGTCTGCATGTATAAGTGTGTTAAGGTATTAGCTGGCAGTGATCTTTCTTTTCTATATTTATGCTTCTTTCAAAATTTCTTGCAAGGCAGGTCTGGTGGTAATGAAGTCCCTCAACATTTGCTTCTGTGAAAATGATGTTATTTCTCCTTCACTTAAGAAGTTTAGTTTGGCTGGATATGAAATTTGTGGTTGAAGATTTTTTCTTTAAGAATGTTGAATATAGACCCCCAATCTCATCTGGCTTTTAGGGTTTCAGCTGAGAGGTCAGCTGTTAGCTTGATCAGGTTCCCTTTGTAGGTGACCTGCCCTTTCTCTCTAGCTGCCTTTAACATTCTTTCTTTCATTTTGACCTTGGAAAATCTGATGATTATGTGTCTTGGGGGTGATCTTCTTGTGTAGTATCCTGCAGGAGTTCTCTGTATTTTCTGAATTTGATCGTTGGCCTCTTTAGCAAGGTTGTGGAAGTTTTCATGGACAATATCCTGAAATATGTTTTCCAAGTTGTTTGCTTTCTCCCCCTCCCTTTCTGGGATACCAGTGATTCATAGATTTGGCCCCTTTACATAATGCCATACTTCTAGAGATTTTGTTCATTCCTTTTTATTCTTTTTTCTTTATTTTTGGCTGTCTGATTTCAGAGAACCAGTCTTCAGGTTGTGAGAGTCTTCCTTCAGCTTGATTTATTCTGCTGTTAATACTTGTGACTACATTGTGAAAATCTTATATTGTGTTATTCAGCTCTGTCAGAACCGTTAGGTTCTTTTTTATCTTGGCTATTTCATCCTTCAGCTCCTGTATTGCTTCATTGTGATTCATATTTTCCTGGGATTGGGTTTTGCCATCCTCTTAAATCTCAGTGATCTTTTTTCCTATCCATGTTCTGAATTCTATTTCTGTCATGCCAGCCAGTTCAGTCTGGTTAAGAACTCTTGTTGGAGAACTGGTGCAGTCGTTTGGAGGATGTACAACACTCTGTCCATTTGAGTTACCGGAGATCTTATGTTGGTTCTTTCTCCTCACTGTGTGTGGGTGTTCCTTTAAGTGCAGTGTACATTGAGTACAGTCAATAGACTTCTTTTCTGGGTGTTTTCACCAAACCAAGGCTTTGTGCAGGATCTTTATGTGAAGCTGACTTCTTGTCTCTGGTTTCAGAAGGGAATATGTTAGTGAGGTATTTTTGGTGTTAAAACTTTAGGGTGTGATTTAGCAGGTGGCACTTAGGTTTCTCAGTCAGTTGGTAGACTCCTGCTTACTTGTGTGGCTCCCCTGTGTTTCCTCACAGTTGCAGCTGTGTTCCCTCTCAATGCTTTGAAAGTGTGGGTTCCTTTCCCCCTTGAGTGCTGACTGTAGATTATGACTTGGCACTCCTGAGCTGCCCACTGTAGTTCTGGGGTGATCTCAGTGTTTATGTTCCTTCCCCAGCTTGGAGGCAGAGAGGAAGGAATCTTAGTAGTGTTGTGGCTGAGGGTCATTTGCTTGTCTCCTGTGGTCTCCAACCCAGAGAGATACAGGTCAGCAATTGCTCAGTGCAATCAGCCCAGAATGGAGTGTCTTTGTGCTGTGGACCCCAGCCAGGAGTTTACTGCCTGGTGATGAGCAGTGTGGGGCCCATGGGAAATAGACTGGAGTCTCCTTGGGTTAACTGCAGCTTGTTTGAGGTGTGGATAAGACACTTTGGGTCTTTGCTCCTTCGTTAGTCCAAGGGTGTCAAGGGCAGTTCTACTGCAGAGGCAGTAGCAAAGAGGCTTTTAGTTGCCCTGAGAGGCTCTGTCCAGGGAGTTGCCAAGCTGCTACTGGCTCGATAGCTCTGGTGGGGGGTGACTGGAGGCCCAGACCTGGAGGACCTACCTGGTGAGGAGATACTAGAATGGGCACCCATGTAACAGGCTGGTCACTTTTCTGTTAGGCTGCTGCAGTATGCTTGGGGCCTAGTTGCCTAGGCCAGTCCCTAGTTGCCTCATATTTTCCAGTACCTGGAGATATTACCAGGGAAGGCTGTGAAACAGCAAAGATGGCAGCTTTGTCCCTTTTTCTGGGAGCTTTGTCCCAGGGAGGTACAGGTCTGTTGCCGGCCCAAAGGCACCTGTAGGAGGTCACTGGAGACCCTGGTTGGTAGGTCTCACCCAATGAGGAGGAATGGGATCCAGGACCCTCTTACAAAAGCAGTCAGGTCACATTTGGTAGAGCAGCTGTGCTGCACTGGGGTTCCACTTCAGCCCCCAGTTGCTTCAGGCACTCCGAAGCCTGAAGGCTGGAATGTCTAAGTCACTCAAACAGCAAACATGGTGGCCCTCCCCTCCCTCTAAGAGTGCTGTCCCAAAAAGATTACAAATCTCTATCAGCCAGAGGACACTGGCAGGGGTGGCTGGAGGCCCCTTTTGGGAGGTCCCACCCAGTGAGGAGGAATGGGATCTGGACCCGCTTAAAGAAACAGTCTGGCCACATTTTGGTGGAGCAGCTGTGCTGTGCTGGAGGATCCCTTCTATCCCTGGTCAGCTTGGACTCTCCAAAGCCCAAAGGCTGGATCAGCTAAGTCACCCAAACAGCAAAGATGGAGTCCTACCCCTCCCTCTGGAAGCACCGTCCCAGGGGGATTTCAAATTTCTGTCAGCTGGAGAACATGGTTGAGGCACGGCTGAAGGCCCTGGCTGAGAGGTCCTGCCCAGCGAGGAGGAATGGGATTGGGCACCCACTGAAAGCAGCAGTTTGGCCATGTTTTGGTAGAGCAGCTGTGTTGTGTTGGGGGATCCCTTTCCCCCTGGCCCATACTCTCCAAATCCTGAAGGCTGGAATGGCTAAGGCACCCAAACAGCAAAGATGGGAAGCCCACCCCTAACTCCAAGAGCGCCTTCTAAGGGAGGCGCAATGCTCCTACCAGTGGCTGGGTGGAATTTCCAAGCCAGTGGGTCTTATCTTGTGAGGTGCCATGGAAGTGGGGCCTGCAGGCTGTCGCTGCTCAGCAGCCTCAATTGAGCCTCTTTCCTAGTAGTATGTACGGGGGTCTAAACTCCCACTTTGCCAGAGCTGCAGCTACTTTTGTCAGAAAGCCTGAGTATCTAAGGCTCCAGGGTCTCCATGCTTGCCTGAACAGCTGCTCTGCCAAGACTCCACATAGCCGTGTCTGTCAGACTGAAGGCCCTGGTGGAGTGGGTTCACAAGATCTCCTGAGCTGGGGGTTGCAAAGATCCGTGGGAGAAGCATGATTTCCCAGGGTCGCACATTCACTCACTGCTTCCCTTGGTGGGGGAAGTTCCCTGGCTCTGTGTTGTTCCCGGGTGGCCGATTGTCCTGTCTTGCTTTTCTTCATTCTCCATGGGTCAAGTTGTTTCCTTGATTAGTCCCAGCGTGAGTACCTGGATGTTTCAGTTGAGGTGCTGTATTTACTTGCTCCTTCTGTTCCCCTCCAGGAGAGTCATGCACCTTAGCTGCTTCTAGTCAGCCATCTTGGCCACTCCCATTCTGAAGTTTCTTAGTTCTCTGTGATTTGTTTTTTTTTTACCTATAAAATACGTATAATAATAGTCTTACCTCTGCAGATAAGATGATCTAGAAAACACTTTGAACAATGCATGGAATATAACAAGTGCTCAACTAATGGTGGCTATTAACATTCAGACCTTTATCACTTCTCCCCTTGACTAGTCATTTCTAATTGAATTCATTTGTCCCCATTCCCACCCCTAGTCTCTTTCATTTATACTAGTATATAGAATTCAGAGGATCTGAGAATTGGATGGGAAAAAATACATCTTTATTTTGACTTACATTTAACTGAAATTTGACATCTTTCCATTCTAGAAGTCTGATGCTCAGTGCGTCAGAGGCACCAGCATCTTTCCATTCTAAATATAGACTTGAAATGAGAGGATTATTCATAATATCTGTGACCATGTCACTAACAAAAATCACAAGTATCTAATATCAAATTGCAGTTGTTGCAGGTATCTCATTTATGCTTATCACTACTTTTAAGTTATGATAGTACTTTCTACTAGGCGGTGTTATTTATTTTATTAATAACTTTTTGTGCTGTCAGCTTCTATTATATCCCACATTAAAAATATTTTTATAAGTTATAGTTAATATGATTGGTTTCTTTTCTAAAACAATGAATTTAAACCATTATTCTGAGAAGTGATATATAGGCTTCACCAGATTTTAAAAGGGACTTTTACACACACAGAAAAAAAGGGCAACACACCTTATTTAAAGTGAGTTTTTTAAGAAAAATTACACATAACCATATTACTCCCTCCTTAACATGTTTCACTGGCTCCCTTCACTGACAGTATCAAGTACAAACTCCTCAGGGAGACATACAAGGACATACAAGCGGTGTCCATCCACCCCTAAAGGCTCATTCCTTCTCACTCACTGCCCAAGACCCTATCTTTCCAGCCATTCTGAACTTCTCACAGGACCTGGAAGACACCCTGCTCTTCCATGCCTGCATTCATGTGTGTGTGTGTTTGTTGCTTTGGTTTTGGAATGCCCTTCTTCCTTCTTCTTTCCCATTTATTCCTTCTTACTTATCCATCAAACTTTTCTTCATCATTAAAGACATTGCTAACAGACGTCTCCTCCTCTTTAAGTCGTTGTGAACTCCCAGTCCAGCGGAGGTGACTTTCCTCACTTCTCCCGCAGCACCTTGTGTAAGGATCCACATAGTTGTCAGGACAAGTGTCAACTGGGTACTATTTGTCACATTTTATGAGGCTTTACTTTTACTGTTTACTTTTCTGCTCTCATTAGACTGTGTTTCCTTGAGAGAAGATTATGATTTATTCCTCTCCCCTTCTCTCTCCATAGTTCCCGCAGTAGTACAAGTCTTGAACTCAATGAATGGGTGAAGTCTGATAGAACACAAGTATGAATAGAATTGATATGTTACTTCAGAGGGAAAGTACCAGAGATATTCTGAATTGTTCTTGTGCCCTCCTTTTCTGGGAACAGTGGAAGAAAATGTTATTCCTTTGAGAGGCTGAATGACATACCGGGTGAGACTAGTCAACTAATGTAATGATAGGAGAAGTTTTGTGTCTTTTGGGGGAAAGGATGTGTAAATTTTTTCCTCTGCAGTCATGGAAGAAAGGTATCTTGGCTTCAGTAGAGGTGAGGGATGCTGTCCTAGAAGGACTATGTTGTTGTGAGCTAAATGTCCGACACCTGCATTTAAGGGGGTTAAAATATAATGATAGTAGACTCTTCAAAACTTTGATGAAATAAATGGATGAATATGGGTAGGGTTGCAACTAGTTATTTCTGACCAGACAGAAACATCAATCATCATACTGTTTTCGCATTTATCTGATTTGATTATGGTTAGATTTCAAGGAGGTTCTTGATTTTACTCTAGGCATCCTGTGCTATTACTAAATTCTATGAAAATTATGTTTTAGATCTAAGAATTAAGAAAGAAAAACTTTTTATCTGAGGAATGCAAGCTCCTTTTAATTTAGGCCCAGAGAGGCATAAACTATGACGGCATGTAACAGTAGTCACATCTCTCTTCCTCTTTGAGCTAAATAATTATCTCTTGAAGCCATTTGCTATGTAGGCTCTAGACTAACTGACACCAAGTAACCATAGAATGCCATGTGCTAGACACCATAACTCATACCCTATAGTTTAGTTCAATGATGTATATCCAATCACTACTCAATGTTACTTCTATAAACCAGTGAGAATTCCTGTCAGACAACTTTGTATCAGCCCACTCCTTCCCTTTTGCCTTTAAAAACCTGCTAGTACCCATTAACCATCCCCCCACGTACAACTAGTATATATCCATAATAATTAAAAAGAAAACATTTTTTAAAAAACCTTCCTGTAACAAAGGCTGAGTGGAGTACTCCCCAAGGCAACTTGGAAGTGTGTTTAAGGCTGCAGTTCTCAACCCAGGCTCAAATAAATTGCCTATAATAATTTTGCCTCAGTTTCTTTCTTTAGGTCAACAGAATCCATGTGGTTATTAGGAGATGTCCATTGGGCATCATTCTACATTTTATATCAGCAGGGAAAAAATAGCATTATAAATGGTAACAACTAAATAATCATGCTGAAGAAAAATAAATTGGATTCTTCCTTCACACTTATGACAAAATGGAGTTGAGATGAATTAAAGATTTTAAAAGTAAATAACTAAATCATAAAAGTATTAAAATAAAATATAAGATGCATTTTGGAATATACTCCTCACATAGAGGAGTAGGCCTTTCTAAGTATTACCAAAAAAACTGGAAGCCATAAATAAAGACTAAAGTATGTGACATCATACAAATATTTTTAAATTCTGCATTAAAAACGCAAGAAATCATAAAGTCAAAAGAGAAATAGAAATCTTGGAATAAAGAGTTGCAGTTTTTGTCATGCATAAAGGGCTATCTTCTTAAATACATAGATTTCTTTAAAGAAATACCAACAACCTAATAGAAAAAAAAATGAGTGAAGGATAAAAGCAATTACTAGAAAAGGAAGTACAAGCAATCCTTACTTAAATAAGATTAATAACCTTACTTAAAATAAGAGAAATGCAATGAAACTCATGATCTGATGCCATTTTTCACCTATCAGACTAGAAATATAAATGATGAGGGTATGGGAAAATAGGTAATCTCATACATTATAATAAAAATGTAAATTGGCACAACTTCTACAGAGTGCAAATTGTATTGATTAAAATTAAATATAATCATATTCTTTGATTCTGCAAAGGAAATTTTTCACGAACCCACATGCAGTGTGGCTTCCTTTCTTCAATATACCTGGACGTTGTCATGTAAACTGCAGTAGCCATCTTGTAATTGTAGAGACAATATCACGGCCAAACAAATGCAATGAGCATGGCAGAGTGAAGCAGTGGAAAGCATTTAAGCCTTCACTGATATTACTAAGCTACCTATCATTCTCTACCTAGAGTTCCCTTACATCTGAACTTCTATGAGATAATCAGCTTTTCTATTAAGTCCTATTTGAATTGGGATTTCTGTTATTTACAGCTGAATGTATTCTAAGTAGATAAATATGTGTATAGCATGTGTGTACACACATGTATCATGTATATTTAGGGATACACATATATATCTACTAAATCAATTGTAACCATTTTCCTGTATTTAGAATGTATGTTATTTCCAACCTTAAAAATAATAACTCTAGTTTTACATAAATGTTTGCATTTTGGGGGGAGGATAAAATTTTAGAAGTGGAATCACCATTAGAACCCCTAAGGATCTTGTTACTGTTAAAAGAACAACTTTTGAAAAATAAAGCAAGGTTTATTTGAACAAAGAACAATTTGCTAGTCAGGCAGCCCTCAGAACCAGAAGAGGTTGAGAGAGCTCTGCTGTGCAATGTAGACAGGCAGCATTTACAGACAGAAAATTGAAGTGAAGTACAGAAACAGCTTGGTTGGTTATAGATCTGTGTTTGCCTTATTTGGACATGTTGCCTGCCTGAGACTGGCTGAAGCTCAGCTGCTGTGATTGGCTGACATGCAGCTATTTGTTATAAAATATACCCCCAAGTCAGGCTTTCAGTTTGTTTACTTAATAAGTTAGATTGCCCTTCAGTTACATAGGGAGGTATGGAGGTTGCCTCAGGCCAAATTTAGTTTAATGTTAAAAATTGGAAGGTACTGGGCAGGGCCTTTTTACAGCTAATGTACAGTGTAGAGTGTTTATTTCTGATCACGCTTACTAATAACACTAGATATTAACATAAAATTTAGTGCAGTTGTAGGTGAAAGGATGTCATCTCATTTTAAGTTACATTTTTATCATTAGTGAGAATTAATAATGTGGTTTATTAAGAAGTTACATTTTTCCAGGATTCTACTTGTCAGATCAGAATCAGAAAAAAATGGTAGCAAGTGCAAGAGTCTAGGCTCAGGTATCAAATACAAAGAAATAGTAAATAGAGCCAGTCAGTCAGAATCTATTTCTATATCTTTTCACTTAAAGATCTCATGAGCCAATGACAGGAGACAATTTGTTGGGAAGAGAGAGGCTTCAGACACTGGTATTTTTGTGATGCCCTCCCTCATGAGCTGAACTGGATGTAAGGAATTAGAGATATTACACCTCTCCTAGAAGTTCAGACATTTGAGAACGGGGGGATATGGATATTGTACATCATTTTCTGTGTGAGGTCCGTGGAGAGGAGCTTCATTAGAGTGGTTCCCGATGATGTTGCATCTACAAAGTAGAAATGGTGATGTAGCATGAGGAGGCTTCAAGTAAAAGCTGGTCAATTTTGTAAGAAATCAAAAGTTACAGTTTTTCACACCTGAGTTAATGACTGTGAAAAATTGTATCTCTACATTTGTATTTCTTACATTATGTATATACCCATCTTAGTCATTTATTACTCGTGCATCTCTCTGAGCCTCAACTTCCTCATTTCCAAAATGGAGATAATAATTCCTATATAATGTGATTTTCTTCTGTAAGTCATACTCATGGGTCTTGTCCAATTTCCTATAAGTAATTTATTCCTTATTAAGCTGAAGAGAATATATGAGGGCCAAATACACTAACCAGGTAATGTACTAGGTAAGGCTGTGTCAATATATATATGGCCAGATTCCAGCCACTGTCACAATCACTGCCCTGAGATGACACTGCTGTCTTTGGCCAGGATGAGGAATCTTTGGTGGAACATCTGTCTGGTCAAGCTGGATAGGGCTCACTATTCATAGTCCACACACCTGTCTCAGTGAAGGAAGGACTTCTGCTGGCCCTGCAGTTGCAGAGCTAATTCTCCCATAAGAAACTTACTTGGTGCAATTTGTTTCAGTCACAGGTATGCACTCTGGCCAATGAGAAGATAGGAATCTCTTTAGGTTTGCATCAGTCCTTTGCAACTTTGGTGGAATTCTGTCTGGTGCTGTAAGGAACTTAAGTTCACTGTAAGACACAGGTCTTGGTAGATTCTAGACTTTGGGACAATTTTACTGGCGTATCTACAGGCAAGGCATATCTACAAGTAGGGAGGAGTACACTCATCTGCTTTTCTTATTTTTTTTATTTTTTATTTATTTATTTATTTATTTATTTATTTTTGAGACAGAGTCTTGCTCTGTGGCCCAGGCTGGAGTGCAGTGGCGCAATCTCGGCTCACTGCAAGCTCCACCTCCCGGGTTCACGCCATTCTCCTGCCTCAGCCTCCTCAGTAGCTGGGACTACAGGCGCCCGCCACCACGCCTGGCTAATTTTTTTGTATTTTTTAGTAGAGACGGTGTTTCACTGTGTTAGTCAGGATGGTCTTGATCTCCTGACCTCGTGATCCGCCCGCCTCAGCCTCCCAATGTGCTGGGATTACAGGCGTGATCTACTTTTCTTTACTATAATTTTTATCCCATGGCACCTGGCCTCATTCAGAGCCCAAGATGACCTGGTGTTCCCCAGTAGAATTCTTCACCTAGGGTGCAGGCAGCCATATAATTCACTCCATTACTTGAGTTGCCTGAAAAGTATGCAGCTTTTCAGGAAGATATTCTTGAATCCTGAAGCCTAGCGATTGCCTCAATGACCACTCAATTGTTTCCATGTAACAATTTTGATTTTCTGCCATAGTCACTTTAGTGTGCTCAGTAAACCAGTGTTTTATGCTTGATTGTCACCTTCAGAATTCTATCTCAGCATTATCAGGATCTCATGAAATCATGTAGGCATACTTTCTTGTATGGACATGTTTTGTTTTGGGCTGGTTGAGAGGTAATGCCAAGGTTCTGAGTTCCACGGGAATACAGCCAAGAGACATTTGTCTTCTTAGACTTAGTGTCTGTGGGAGCGGACCTGAGAAAATCTTGTGGAGGATCTATGGCCCAAACCGCATAATCAAATTTTGTTCTGAATAGTGTCCTTCATAAGACGTTAAAGAGAAAAAACCCTTAACACTTGTAGGAAAAGGTTTCTCAATAGAGTAATTTTGAATGGTTAGGATAACAAATTAAAGGATTGAATTAGTGATTTAATCTTTTTTACATTTTTGGTTTAAAGTTACCATTAAGATAAATTGAGTCAAATATAGCTGTTAGCCCTTCTCAGGAGACGTTTTCAACAGATCTCATTAGGATCAGAATCTGGTATTATGTTTTACATTTCTATGAATTTATACTAGTGAATAATATTTTGCCTATAGTGCATATATAGAACTAATAAAATGACATTTTATTAAAGTTGATCTTTAAGAAAGTATATGTGTGTGCTTATTTAAAACATCAGCTTTATTATGAAGCAGAAACAATAGCATAATACTGTTAAAAACTTTTCTTTCTTATAGTAATCCAAAAGTGGAATCAATGAAAACAAAGCGTGTGTGTCTTGCATCATTGCCAAACTATACAGTTCCATATCAGGAGTACTTAGTGTAATGTTAAACCTGACATAAGCTAGTCAACCTTTATAAGTTATCTTATTAAGGAGTTGTCTGTCATTATTTTATATACATTTTATGTCTGGGCAGCCTCATATGTAAAATCTTACATTCAAGAACATCTTGCGTTCTTGACAGGATATGATACTATTGAAGTATTTTGATGTGTAATCTAGGAAAAAATATTTAAATATTCCTTCTGTCTAGTGTTTTGAATGGCAACCAAGATAAACTTGCTATAAACCATGCGTGTTATCTAGCGTAAATATACTCATTTTCCAAATACTTCCTCTGCAAAATGCCATCGAGGCATGAATGGTACTAAATTTAGTACCATTTTTCATTGCTCGACATCTTACTCAGGAATGACCAAAATAGTATAGTTTGCTTTGATACGTTTTGCAGTGTGTAAACTGGAACTGAATGACCATGCAAATGAAATTTCAACACTTTATGTCACATGCCAGACAAGTCATGACTTGCCTATCATTGCCTATAGTTTCATTTCTTAGTTATATTATTGGTAGTACTCGTATGTTTTATTTTTAGAAGTGATCATTTGATATTTGAAATGGATTTTATCATATTATAGTTTAATCAATATTTGAATTTAGATTTCTATTTGTATGTAATTAATATACAAATAGAAACTATTGAAATGACATTTATATTAATTATACACTATTTAGCAATATTAACACATAGAATTTTAATTATCTTCCCCATTAAAGTTAGTCACTGCTTTATAACTAAGTTACTAAACTGATGGAGGGTGGAGAGGAGGGATCACTTAAAAAATTTTTATATATGTTATTGCACTTAAGGATTTCTAGGTACTTTACAACTGTTTTGCAATTCAGTTTGAAAATTGGTGCTCACAAAGTTCAGATAAGTGTACCAGTTTCATTAAGTGGTAAGAAAAAAATGTAGCTTCCTTGTGTCTCTGTGGCTTCAGTAGAACTTGTAACTCTAGGACCATATACCCTTGCCAACTGCAATGCATTTGGAAATTGAACCTATGAAAACATATAAATAGTTTTCAGGTCAAGACAAAAACAAGAAATAGGGAAAGGATTCCCTATTTAATAAATGGTGCTGGGAAAACTGGCTAGCCATATGTAGAAAGCTGAAACTGGATCCCTTCCTTACACCTTATACAAAAATTAATTCAAGATGGATTAAAGACTTAAATGTTAGACCTAAAACCATAAAAACCCTAGAAGAAAATCTAGGCAATATCATTCAGGACATAGGCATAGGCAAGGACTTCATGTCTAAAACACCAAAAGCAATGGCAACAAAAGCCAAAATTGACAAATGGAATCTAATTAAAGAGCTTCTGCACAGCAAAAGAAACTACCATCAGAGTGACCAGGCAACCTACAGAATGGGAGAAAATTTTTGCAACCTACTCATCTGACAAAGGGCTAATATCCAGAATCTACAATGAACTCCAACAAATTTACAAGAATAAAACCCATCAAAAAGTGGGTGAAGGATATGAACAGACACTTCTCAAAAGAAGACATTTATGCAGCCAAAAGACACATGAAAAAATGCTCATCATCACTGGCCATCAGAGAAATGCAAATCAAAACCACAATGAGATACCATCTCACACCAGCTAGAATGGAGATCATTAAAAAGTCAGGAAACAACAGGTGCTGGAGAGGATGTGGAGAAATAGGAACAATTTTACACTGTTGGTGGAACTGTAAACTAGTTCAACCATTGTGGAAGTCAGTGTGGCAATTCCTCAGGGATCTAGAACTAGAAATACCATTTGATCCAGCAATCCCATTACTGGGTGTGTACCCAAAGGACTATAAATCATGCTGCTATAAAGACACATGCACACATATGTTTATTGCAGCACTATTCACAATAGCAAAGACTTGGAACCAAGCCAAATGTCCAACAATGATAGACTGGATTAAGAAAATGTGGCACATATACACCATGGAATACTATGCAGCCATACAAAATGATGAGTTCATGTCCTTTGTAGGGACATGGATGAAGCTGGAAACCATCATTCTCAGCAAACTATCACAAGGACAAAAAAACCAAACACCACATATTCTCACTCATAGGTGGGAATTGAACAATGAGAACACATGGACACAGGAAGGGGAACATCACACACCGGGGCCTGTTGTGGGGTGGGGGGAGGGGGGAGGGATAGCATTTGGAGACATACCTAATGTTAAATGACAAGTTACTCGGTGCAGCACACCAACATGGCACATGTATACATATGTAACAAACCTGCACGTTGTGCACATGTACCCTAAAACTTAAAGTATAATAAAAAAATAAAAAAAAGAGAAATGAAACAGATATAACTACTCCTTGCTTTCGTATGTGTAAAGCAACTTGACCAGGACCAATTTAATAGGAATTTAACTCCTGAGAACCGGAGTAGCAGACCTAAAATTCCTCAACCAAACTTTTGTGCTAAACAATTAGACTTTTATAATAAAGTGAAAATCAGAAATCCAGAATTAATCATTAGAATAAAAACTGTTGTGTCTTTCAAAAAAATGTGAAAACACTTTAATATAACTTATACTGTTTCTACAAATTAGATGTAAGAAATAATTTCATTTAGTCATAGTACAATAAATTTGATTAACAAAATCCCAATTTACAAAACAGAAGTAAATAAATGCAGAAATATATTCATTATCAAATTATAAAATAAAAGTAACAGTTATTGTTGAGATAGCATCAGTTTATTCTTCATTTCAGATAATAGAGTCAATTATTTTGGTATACTTAGTAATGTTTTTGCAAGTATTAAAATAATGGAACGTTGAGATTTAAACACAATGACAGTAAACCATTGAAATTTCAAATTCACTTTATACAGCCATCATGAATCCATAAGTGAATGTTAATCATGTAAAAAAATATAAAATGATTGTAATATAACCATCTAATCATTAACATATGGAGTTTTAAGACCACTATTTAATCTGCTAATTTGCTCTGAAATATAAGTAGTTGCTTTTCTGTGATGCATGACATGTCTTTGTGCCTTAGTACTTAATTTGAAATGTCCTTAGTGTAAAAATATACCAAAGTAAATAAAAAAGGAGACACTTATTTACAAAACAATATTGTATACATATTATATAAATGCATTGTTTCAGTCTTTTTATACAATATTGATAGAGTCGATCATTTCTATTATTTTACCATAAAAACTGCAGTGTTGCAAAGGCAGTGTTGTAATTTTCCAAAGACAAAATTACATACTTCTCCAAGTATGTTATTTTGACATTTTGATAAAAACAAACACCATTTGACTGCCTTTTAAGATAATGCAGTTTCTCCAAGTATGCTACAGAATTGAAAGCCAACCTCTAGAAAAATGATTCTTCTTACATTAAAGAAAATCCATTCCTCATTTGGAGGTGTAGGAAAATGCACCTGAAGAAAAGAGAAACTTACTATTTTACTGAATGTTTTTTATGTGATAAACCTGGTAGCCTCAGACATTCAGCCTATCGTATTAGCACCGTTGGCATGGATTGTTAATGTACTGTGTCAATTATAATAGGAATGGAAATTGCATATGCTGCACCATCCCTATTTTTGTGGAATTTTATCTTACCAAGTATACTACCATACAATATAAATTCAAGTGTTTAAGGATGATTCGAATGATGGTATATAACAATCCTGCATTTTACCAATACTGTATGTGGATTTTTCTGTAAATATTAAACAAAACTTTAAAGAAATAGACTTTAAAGCATACTCCTTTAATTCATCAGAACTCAAGGAGAATCGCTTTCATTTCCTCGCCGATGTTGTAATATATAGGAACATAAATGTAATTTGATCTCCTTCTAGCTCAAAAACTCTGGAAATCATAAAACTTTCTTGTATGATTTGTTTGGATGGTTAAATGCCAACCATTGCATATATTCCCCCTTTTAGTTTACATACTGTAGCTTATGCTTAAGTGACTGTAGCATACTCTAGGCCTATAGCCTGTGGTACTTAATTTCACAGCTTCAAAATTGTTGAGGGGAAAACCTTCCATGTTTTAGGAAGTTATGAACGCTTAATATAAATCTCATGAGCACCCACAGCGGTCTACTACCATCGCTGGAATTTTCCCATATATTATTTGTTCTTTGCCATTAAAATATAGCATATTAATTGGAGACATCTTTGTGGGAGTACAGCAAGGGCCTGCTGAACCTCTGGGGTTTGCTTGGTGTACCAGATGAGTATGAGGATATTTTTGTAAAAATACAAATTCACACTCTCCAGAGCAGTAATTGGCCTTATATCTTTTAGGAGCGATAATCCAATCCCATCCAAAAGCTTCAAAATCCACAGTTAGAGGGTAACGACAGCATCGTGATTCTGTTGAGTGCTCATCACAGTCAAGACCAAAATCCCTTCTGGATCTTTTTGGTGTGTCTGTTACCTTGACCTCTAAAAACGGATTCTGTTTGAAAAGGAAAGAACAATCAGTAATATCAATAGGCCTGGAAACACTTTTCTACCTACCTTAAGAAGTTATTGTTGAAGTAATAAACTAATAATTTTGCTCATACCACATTTATTTTTAAAAGGCACAGCATTAAGGAATGTTAATTTACACTAGGCTTGATTTTCCCCTTATGTCTCAAAAGAATTTAACAGCAATACAAATTCCCCTAAGGTCAGTACCATGTCTTTTTAAGTTTTATTTTTCCAAGTTTGAGTACCAGATTGCCTGGCACATAATGGATGTCCTGAAAATATTTATGGGAAGAAAGGGAGGGAAGGAAGAAAGGAGAGAGAGAGGAGAAGAAGAAGTGGGGAATGAAGGAAAGAGCTAACAGCTCCCTCTCTTCTTGCTTCCTGATTAAATATGTTGGCTAAATATGCCTGGTAACTCCTGGAGGGTTAGGTATAGTCATCCATCCTCCTCACTCAGGAAAACTTGGACAATAAAACCAGGGCAAAATAGGGAAGGACAAATTCAGAAGAAGAGACGATGATATTTCCTTTATTCTTTCACTGGAAAATGTTTCTATTCAGGTATTTAAAAATTTGTTGATTCTGTCTCTGCCCCAATCTTTTAATGCATTTGAGACTTTGTTTCCCTTTACATGAAAAAATCTGAGGAACACAACATATTAACCACTGGACATATTATCAATTTTGATCATTAAAATTCTACCTATAAAAAGGAACACTTTCTTAAATAATTGACAGTAGTTTTTAACCCATATCTAAATGAAAATAGCTCTGGCAGTGTTATTTAAGACTGTCAAAAATAATAATATCATTTTGGGAGTCATTAACATTTAAAGTAGCATATATAAAGGAAACTAGATCATTTAGAAAATTGTATAGTCTTTTAGACACCTGCACACGTATGTTTATCGCAGCATAATTCACAGTTGTAAAGATATGGAACCAGCCTAAGTGCCCATCAGCGGATGAATGGATAAAGAAAATGTGGTATATATACACCATGGAATACTATTTAACCATAAAAAAGAGTAAAGGAATGTCTTTTGCAGCAAATTAGATGGAGCTGGAGGCCATTATTCGAAGGGAATGGAAAACCAAATACCATACGTTCTTACTTACAAGTGCGAGCTAAGCTATGCGTACGCAAAGACATACAGAGTAGTATAAGGTACTTCGGAGACTCAGAAAGGGATGAGGGATTAAAAACTACATATTTGGTACAATATACACTACTTGGAGTGATGGGTGCACTAAAACCTCAGACTTCACCACTGTACAATTCATCTATGTAGCCAGAAACCACTTGTACCCCCCAACATATTGAAGTAAAACATGTGTGTGTGTGTATAAATATATATATACACATATATATAATAAAGTAATAAAAATGAAAAAATATTGTATAGTATTTTAAAGAATGTTTTATTTAGAGTAGATCTGATCTGCTAATTATATCATCTTTATAACTAAGATCATTGAATGATTACAAAGGTAACAGGTTTGTTGTTTACAAGTATAATCTTCTTTTGTAAATTATATCAATAGATGAACGTAAAAAGATGTGATCACATTAAGTATTTGAAAACAGAAATTTAGGTAAGCCAGAAGAGTAACCCTAAATTTGTACTAGGAATTAAAATGGTTTTTATTAATTTTTGTGATATATAAGGTATTGTCATTTACTTGGCCTGGTACTAAATTAGTCGGCCTTCCCTGAGTAAATTTTTGCACAAGAATGCTAAGGCAGCTCAGAAATAAGCTAGGTGGCAAAGGTTAACTAGTATGTAACTTGAAATTTTATTAGGAGTATTCCACAAAGAAATATATACACACATCAGTGCATCAACATCCTACAAATAATGAACATATTTATCTTGAGAAACCTTAAATATATTTAATAAAGTATAAGCCTATAAATATCACTCTTAATTTCTCTGAATAAAACATTTAATTATAATTTTAAAAGGTTTATCTGTTTTATGCTAAGCCAAAAATCTTTAACACATTTGGCACCCTTCTGGGAGAAAAAAATAATGTTTGGATTTGTTGGTTTATGTGGTAAAATCCACTATATAGAGTTAATATTTTAATACATACAGTCATGTATCATATTAATGAAAAGCACTTTATATTTCATTCCCAATTCAAAAGGACTTCTTAAGAAGTTAAGAAGTATGGTATAATTGTTTTCTAAAATCTTGATGCAAAGTAAGAGTATCAAGGGAGTGTTTCATAGGATATGAAATTGGACACCTACTTTTATTGGGTACAGGGCTACCGTTGGGGTAAGATACCTTTGTCTAGCTTATGAGCTTAGGGAATTTGTAGCTATTTTCCACTATTGTTTGTTCATATTATGAATAAAAACATAAGGTTATTATAATGTTATTTTCAGTTATCACTTACCAGCCCATCTTCTCCTGGTCCTGGGAAGGTTACAGCAAGATCATGACCATTCTCATCTAAAGCTTTTATTTCAATGCCTAAGTTGGATTCAGGTTGTTTGAGCCAATTTTGCAACACTGTCTTCACATCAATGCTCTGCCAAATACCAGTGCCTGGGTTCATGTCAAGTTTCAGAGATCGGATTCCAGTATACCTTGTACCGTCTTTCATAGGTTTGATGAGTCTCAGGATTTGCACAAACACTGTTGTAGGAGTCTCGACGGGTCTCAAATATATCCATAGTTGGGCCTTTACTACTTTATTGTATTGTATTTTAGAGCTAAATTTAAAGAAGCAACATTTGGGTTTTCCATCCACTTGCATTAGAAAATCAGCTATAAATGAATAAGAAAAGAAAAGTTGCTGAAATTATTTCCCATTAACAAAACCCCTCCATATTAATAGTTGAGCATTTTTTTAAATTAAGATAATGTATGCCTATGCAGTCTTTTAAAATGAAATACCGTGTGGAACTTTATAACTCAAAAAAATGTCAAAGAAAATAATTACCCTAGCTTTTCAGAATTTTTCAGACGTATGTATTTTCAGCTGTTCATCAGGAATCTATTCCCCTTCCAGAGAACTATGGACAAAGGAAGGTTCTATGAAGTAATGAACGCTGAATGAAATTTTAAAATGATGATGATTAGAGAGAACAAGAGACACTGTGGAGGAACAACCACTTAGAATTCTTTGGGAATCTGAGTAGTTACACTTACTGAGCAGCTGTACCAATCAGTCTGGAAGAAGGAACCCTTCCCCCAGGCCTGAATTACCTGGGGACAAGACACACTGAGCAACTTACTGAGCCTCAGGAATTAGTAGAAAACACAGTACATCTGTTACATTTTGGCTTTGGAATAACCTTTTAAAGGAGCAAAACTAAGCAGATAATTAACACAAAAATTTTGATGTTATATTCAGGCTATCTGAAAAGTTCGAAAGTATTGTCTTTAGGGCCAGGCTGTCATGTAAGCACAAGCACTAACAATTTCTTTTATTTTGGTTTTCCAAAATTGTCTATAAAAGGTAAATCTGCTCCAGACCTATTTGATAGCAGAGTCTTAAATGGAAATTCTTTGCTGCATTGTAACCTGATTACTTAATAAGGGAAATAATATTTTAAAACTGTTTGGAGTCTTGTTTAAAGTATATAAAGCATTGTATTAAAGCAAGATAACAGGTAACACAAAATTTTTCTTGCCATGCCTTCTCTGTCAAGGTGCCTGTTTCTCTTTCCTGGAGAAAGTATTCTTTTGAGCTGACTGCAAAAGGAATTGTATGAAATATGTTATCTGTCAGAAGCAGTGTAGATACTACAGGTAAAAGCCCTCCCTCTCAGGAAGAATAAAATATTTTAGAAGGTTATTAAGCACTGTGCCTGCTTGGAAGTACACAAACTGGGTACTCTCAATAATAGTACTATGGTCAAGGTACAAGGAGGACTTTGTGAGCCATAACCTACCCAATTAAAATGTTTATTTCTTAGGCATTTTCTAATATTTAGTTCATGATGATTATTATGCTATGTTTACTTCATTATTGTTCTTACTAACACATTAAGATATTTAATTTTTGCATATTCTTCAGTGTAATAGCTCTCAAAATTAAATTTTTAACTGTGAAGAACAAAAAAATTACTGAGAGAGTTTCAAATAACAGAAATCACTTGAGGTTTTCAGCAGTGCTCAAGTAAGCTTAAACATCCAGCAAGTTTCTTTTTTTTTTTCTGTTATTAGTGAAAAAAACTTATTTTACACAACTAAATACAATTCTAAAATCTAATGTAAGTTTTAAACACTGCTTGTAGTATCTCCCAGTCCTTGCCTTGGTGGTATTATTGTGAAAGCATAAGCATGCTATCTATATTTGCCTTATTAAATTAATGCTATGCAAGTACTTTATTTTTTAGTTTTTTGTCTCTATAAGAAAACAAATAATGCAGCAGATTTTTGTCTCATTAATATATTCTCATGCAATCTTGAAAAAGAGAAACTCTTTTCCTTTCTACTTACATACAGGCCAACAGCTTGTTTAAAAGAGCCTGAAAATAGATCTGTTTCTCATAAACACTAGAACAACAGTCAGCAGAACTGTTGATATACACTAATAGGACTACTTACACTCTGTAGGCATGGTAATGATTGTTTCCGTTGTAGCGTGATAATCGTCATCTTCCAAAGAGCCATCGCTGCTGTCATCCCTCTGGACATCATACTGATCAATCAGTTCCCGGAGTGGAGGAGCTTTGGGTAAAAGTTGTCTTATAACATCTTTGCTGATGTTAGGAGCTGTTTCCAGACGAAGTTTACTGAGGATTTGTATCTTAATGGCTTCTATTCTTGAAGATTTAGTGTTTTGTCTCCAAGTACATGCATTACACAGCCCCTCTTTTTCCACATTTTCTTTTTGCTCACTGTTCTCATTTAGATCCACTGGACCAGCAACAATCAGCATAAACAGGTAAATATAAACACAGAGTTGCAGTTTTTGCATGATTTTAAAATCAATATAATCTTTTTTCTTGTTCTTGTTTCTTCCTTTTACTTTTCTTTTGCTTTTGAGTAATGCCAAGCAAAATTTTAATGCATGTACAGTCTGAGAGACAACTTGCCACACCAGTGAATCTTTTATACTGTATTCCAAGTGGCTTTTTATATTCCAACTTAGATGAGACAAGTGTCGTCAGGATCTATGATTGGCTCTTGCTCCACAATGAATCTCGCTGTCAGAGGTTAAAACCCTGTCTGTCCCAAGTCACCAAGCAGTATTTTGTTACAGTCAAGGGTGAGCTGATTCATTTGACTACTTCATAAAAGAAATAAATCTACAAATAATAAAAGATATTTGTGACATTTGAAAAACAAAAGTCTATGTTGGCAATAATATAAACTGTACTTAAATCTTACTAATCCTCACACAACTCTTATTGTAATTTAAATAAGTCAATTTTAATTTATACTACATATTTAAAATATGAAATATTACTTCCTCAAAAACTAAAATGATTTTATATTGTTTAGGCAAGTATTTGAAGTAGAAAATATTTTTATTTGTTGTATTAAATTATTTTTAGTGCCAAGTAATTAGGAAAATAAAAATTAGGAAGACCTGAATTAAAAGTTAAGATTATGATACTAGTTGAGAATTTTCATCTATAATTTGAGAAACTTGTTTTCTGACTAAATTCTTAGTAAATATTGGAAGTCATTGTTATTATAACATATTGTGCATGGAATTATTTTTACATAGTTTCATGTCTTTTATTAATATGAAAATTATACTGAACTTTTGACTGAGTGCTATTATTTCCTATTCTAAAGATGCAGATTAACATAACTCAGAAGATGTGTTTTTCATTGTTTATTACCAAGAGGGTAATGCCAGCTAGTAGAAAAATCTCTGAACATAGACTAAGATAATGAATTTTATAACTGGCATGGCAGAGATTATTACAGTTTGCCTCAGATTTCCAGCAGTAAATATCCAGAGAGTAAAAAGTGCAGTATCTATTCTCTATAAATTATATCAGAATATTATGAGCACATAAAAGAGAAAGAGCATCATGATAAAGGGGTGACCTTTTGTTGTTTCCCAATACTGCGATATGTTTGCACCCCTTTGCCAATTTCTCATTTTGACCAGAGGGCAGACACCTGGCAGGGATTTGGGGTAAAGTCTGGGAGCAGAGAATAGAGCTTTTTGTTCTCTAAATTTAAGTGGCCTCTGTAGGGATCAAACGTTCAACCTTAGCTTTGGGAGCCACAAGATCTAGTCAAATGAACTATTAAAGAGCTAAGCAAACATAGCCAGCAAGAAACAGAAGATATTTCTAGGCCAAAGGAGATTTCTTTTTCCTACTCCTTTTTGGGAAGCTAAGGATTCCTAAGAGATTTAGTCCATTACTTTTTTTTTCCAAGAGAATACAGTGGCTCATATCAAATATTTATTTTTAAAGTCACTACCATTTTTGCACACTGTACACTAATTTACTGCCTCGGTGCACTAAAATGCAACTCAGTAGCCTGAAAAGTTAATGCATTTTCATCAAATTCTTAAGAGGTATCTACATCTCTTGAGAAAAAAATGGCCTTACATAATGCATTGGATTTGCTCATCATTAAAGATTAAGGAAAACCAGACACAAACCAGATGCCCTGAGGATTTCAGATACTCTTTGTTATGGGACAATATTAGATCTGGCTTCTAAGGTTTTATTTGTTTGGTAAATTCATTTTTCAATGTGTAAATCTTTCAAATGTTATGATCATTGTAACACATGCATCTATACAGTTCCAAGTAAGTCAAACTTTTTTTTTAATATGCTTAGAATTGTATAGCAGTTGAATTGAGAACTCAGGCTCTGGAGTCAGATAGACCTGAGTTCAAATCTCAACTTTGCCACTTCTAACTATGTGATAATGGATGAGATACTTAACTTCCCTAAACTTTAGCTTCCTCATAGGGTTTTGGGGGGATATAATTTAATAATGCATGTAAATTGCTGAATATGGCACCTGTCATATAGTAAGTAATTGATAACTGGCATTTGAGTGCTTGCTCTTTGTTTTATGCAGAAGGGTTTGAGATTATGCTTAAAATTATGCTCCACATGAACTAGAACTGCTTCAGGTCATAGCTGCCAATTATCAGTCACAAAGCCTACTTTCTAGGCCTGTGAGGCAAGTAAAATTTTCTAAGGCAGCCAGGTTACAAGACATGTTCCAGCTCTTTATTCTTATCACCTGGAAAAAAGTGAACAAAGGTTGTCATTTCCGCTAACAGACAATTCTTATTATTCATGATTTCTGTATTCACAAATTTGCCTACTTGCTAAAATTTATCTATGAAACTCAATATTCCTAGCATTTTTCAGTCATTCGCTGGCATTCACAGAGCGGCAAAAAATTTGAGTCCTATCTGACGCACAGGTTCCCAGATGAGGTCAAACAAGGCAGGGTTCCGCCTTTTTGTTTCAGCTCTCATACTATAAACAAATTCCCTTTTTCCCGTCTATTTAGTGCCATGTTTTCACATATTTTGTGCTTCTTTTTTTATTGCTCCTCTTATTGATTTTGCTTTTTAAAAATGGCCCCCAAGCATAGTGCTGACGTGCTGCGTGGTGTTCCTATGTTCCTAATCACAGGAAAGCTGCAATGGAAAGTAGCATGGTGGTTGCCAGGGACTGGGTGAGGCACTGAGGGGTAGTTACTGTGTGATAGATACAGAGTTTCAGTCTGGGAAGATGAAAAATTTCTGAAGATGAATGGTGGTGATGGTTACACAACAGTGTGAATGTGCTTAATGCCACCGAACTGTACACCTAAAAATGGTTAAGATGCTAAATGTTGTGTATATTTACCACAATTTTAAAAGGCTGTGATATGCCTAAGGGAAAAAAGTTCTCATGAAAAAATGCATGTGCTAGAT
Organism: Homo sapiens; assembly: GCF_000001405.40. Lineage (NCBI taxonomy): Eukaryota > Metazoa > Chordata > Mammalia > Primates > Hominidae > Homo > Homo sapiens. Next base: position 190,065,531 of record NC_000002.12, read on the forward strand.
AAGCATCATTCAGGCCTGAGTTATAGTGCTGCTGGCTGTGAGTTCAGTGTTAATGAATGAACAATATATATTAAATAATGTATTTGTAAACAAAAACATACATAAAACAAGGTTATATATTGATTGGGTGATGTAAATGTTATGACCAGAGGCTCAACTAACCCTGTTTTTCCCCTGGGAACAATAGTTCAATATTTGCTAACTCAGTGTTGGCAATGACTTTATAGAACATAACTACTATGAATAGGGAGAATTGACTATATCTAATCAACTTCTCTAGAGAACAGTATTGAATGGGTGAAGAAGAACTGAAGAAATTTAAGTAAGTTTTATTCCTTCTCCAGTGGCAGTGATTGCAACCTTCCTGAGGCCCCAGAATAGAAGGGCTCACCAGCTATAGGAAACTTCAATGTAGTCTGACTGCTGGAGACCCAGTTCTGGCAGTTCTTATCACCAAGGAGACAGGACAGTACTGCATCATTAGGGTGAGTGGGTAGAGAAGAATTCCTCCTAGTTAACTGGGAGAGCTGCGTCTATCAGCTTGTTGGTTTTGTCTTAAGTTAGCCATCTCTAAAAGCAGCTTCTCACAGGAGTCAGAATTTAGGTAGTTAAGGCAGTATCTCACAAGACTGGTATGGTTCGTCTTTGTACTAGGTAGACTGTTGTGGGCCTCACATTTTCTGTAACCGTCAGTAAGGTGGCAAGCGAAACTCTCTCATCTCTGTTACAAATACTCACTGGTTGTCTCAAAACAATGTTGAGGGTATAAACAATATTTTCCAAAAAAAAATTACGGTTTTATTTTTCCAGTGTGAGATCTACTGAGTGTACTAATGTAAAGACTTGCCGGAAGTTTAATGATCATGGCCAAGAAAAGGAGGACGATGAGATTAGGAATTAGCACAAGAATGAATCATGAAAAATTCAACAGTTTTGGGCAAAAACTCAGAAAGTTTTATCTGATACCTCTTGTCATTAACTTGTGTTTACAGCTGTTTGGTATTACTTTATGCTGATTATTCTTAGAGCCAGAAAAAATCTGCATAGTACTCAACTCACTTAACATCATGAGAAGATAATCATCCCACATTGATGATAACTGATTACCCATGCTTTTGATAGTTAGAAGACAAAAATTAACAAAAACAAAAAATATTCTTAAGCTAGGTAGCATGAATATGGGAATAGAAGGCAGGAGACCCAAAATATAGTTCTGGCTTTACTGTTGATGTTTTATGTAACCTTGAATAAGTCAGTTAGCAAACCCTTCATTTATAAATGTATGTATGTGTGAATTCATGTATTAGTTTATGAAATATTTGAATGCCTATTTTGTACCTGGCACTATGCTAGATTCTGAGGATAAAACAGCGAGCCAGACAGACACAATCACTGTCTTCAGGAAACCTATGGACTAGTTTCTTCATATGAAATATGAATAAATTTGATTAGGTGTGCCCTTTCCATTGAGGTTTATCCCCTAAAGCAGTGATTCTCAAAATTTTGGGTCTCAGGATTTGTTTATACTCTCAAAAACTATTTAGAATCCCCCAAATCTTTTTTTGTGTCAGTTATATCATTAATATTTAACACATATATATTAAAACAAATTGTCATGTGCAGGCATATTCAAGCATGCATTTTATTTGCTGACAGAGTCATGATGTCTTCATACATTATGGGGCCTCTGGAAAACTATTGTACACATAAGAAAGAATGAGTGTGAGAAAGGCAAAAAACATCTTAGTATTATTATGAAAACAGTTTTTATTTCATAGACTCTCTGGAAGAGACTTGGGAAGCACCCCAGTGATCCCCAGACTGTACTTGGAGAACCATATGCCCAAAGTAGTACTTTTTACACTACTTCAATTGAATACTTCCCCCTTTAACTTACAGTCCCCTCCTCCCAATACCTGTAGCGTTGCTTTTAATGAGACATCAAACATGGTAATTTTAAAACATTGTTTATTTAATAGTACATAATTATTACAAAAAGCAGAAATGTAAATATTATTGTAATCACCAACTACAAACTTGCAGGCAATCTAGAGGTCATTTGCAAAATATTTGTCAGTTCTAGGGTATAGACTGAAATTAGTAGTCTTAAGGGATTTCTTGTAGATGGTCTTCAGAAGGTCTTGAGGTGACTGTATTCATACTCTGGCAATCCTCATAATAATGTCCTAGTTAATAAAATTGCTGCAATCCATTGTCCTTTAAGAGTAGAATTAATTCAGGAAAACTTCAAAATGCAATTTCTCCTCTCCCTCCTTCCCAAAATGGGAGCTCTAGTCTATTTATTATAGGCTTAAAATTTATCATAGAAAATAAAAATGAAGTTATAATTTGGCTTCCTCATTTTTTCTATTGAAAAAAAGATACTAGGGGCCAGGCACGGTGGCTCATGCCTGTATCACAGCACTTTGGGAGGCTGAGGCAGATTGGATCATTTGAGGTCAGAAGTTCGAGACCAGCTTGGCCAACATGGTGAAACACCATTTCTGCTAAAAATACAGAAATTAGCTGGGTGCGGTGGCGTGAGACAGAGCGAGACCCTCTCTAAAAAAACAAACTAGACTCAAAGACTTGCTGTTAAAATTGTATAGATTGTCCCCTCCTCGATTATTACAATTCTTATATGTTTGTGTTTTAATGTTTCCTTACTTGTCCTCTAATCCCTACCCTTCCATCCCCCAAATAGACTATGAGCTATTTGAAGGCAGGGAATATTTTGCTCTTTTTTGTCTTTTCAGCTCTTGGTCTAGTACCTGGCACATAGTTAGACGGGGAGAACAGTGTTTTTCTTTGTTTGTTGAGATGGAGTCTCACTCTGTCACCCAGGCTGCAGTACAGTAGCAGGATCTCGGCTCACTGCAACCTCTGCCTCCCGGGTTCAAGCGATTCTCCTGCTTCAGCCTCCTGAGTAGCTGGGATTACAGGTGTGTGCCACCATGCCTGGCTAATTTTTTGTATCTTTAGTAGAGACGGCGTTTTGCCATGTTGGCTAGGCTGGTTTCGAACTCCTGGCCTCAAGTCATCCATCCGCCCACCTCAGCTTCCCAAAGTGCTGGGATTACAGACGTGAGCCACTGCACCTGGCCAGAACAGTGTTTTTTAAATAATTAAACCACTAAATGAACAAACAACTCCTTAAATACCAGAAACTCCAACTTTTCAACTTCTCGGCAAGGTGTAGTTAGTGTATTTATAGACTTTCTAAGTGAAAGGGTTTTTAGTTTGTTCTGACTGTAGTTCATAGCATTTCTGTTGACTCCCCTCTTCCTGAAACTGGCAGGAGAGATTAGTATCACAGGTCCCTGTGTTCTTGACACTGCAGTAGTTCTCCAGTGGAGCACTGAGCACTTTGAGTATCCCAGTGCAGCTTTTGCATTTAATGATCTGGGCTTCCTAGATCTATGGCTTCTCACACCGTGTGGCTCTTAACAGGGACCATACTAGGGAGTTGCCATGCTGGCTATGACACCACTGCTTAAGGTGACTAGATCCCTTCCCCAACATAGGTTCATATTAAGTTTAATGAGTCTCAAAGGTAGCCAGAGGGTAGAAAAGAAGTCTCAAAAGGGGTGTGTGTGTGCATGCATATGTGTGTGTGTGTGTGTGTGTGTGTGTGTGTGTGTGTGTGAGAGAGAGAGAGAGAGAGAGAGAGCAAGGCAAAGACAGATCAATCTCCCAGTAGGGAGAAGTATGAACTGAGCATAATAATAAATTTATTTTCATTATATTTGATGACCAGTTTTCTGCATGATGTTTTCACTTACTTTAGAACAAACACAGGTTTCCAGAACAGCTGACAATATAGATTGAATTGGCAAATAATTTGTCTTTAGTTTTAAAAATTTTTAAAGTTAATGTTTCTAGTAACCAACCACTCCCCAAGAGAAAAATCTTACAATTAAATCTAAAAATAATAATTTTTTTGATTTAGATTTTTAAATGTATAGTTGTAAAACCATTTTTAGAAATCTTAACTCTCTTTACTCCATTGGTGGTTTGAAGGTAGTAATAGCCTTAGAAAAATTTAGTTCTTTCTTGGAGACTCATGTTTTATTTCCTTGGAATTGCCTAAAGCGTAGTTTTCCATAATTCACAGAGGATTGGCTTTCAGAGAGTCATTCCATTTCCAAATTCTTTTGTAAATTCTTAGAAAGAAGTATTTTTAAAATATATTCATCTGTTCATTTATACATGTATTTGTTCATTAAACCCTTATTGTGCACCTGGTTTATGATAGGTACTATGCCAGGAATTGGACACAGAAAAAGATGATGCTGTTTTTGCCTAAGGGAAATAAAAAACTTTAGGGCTATAGGATGTTAAGGTTATTCTATCCACTCTATTCATAAAGAGATGGAGAAACTGAGGCCCAGAGAGAGGTTATATGATTTAAATTAGAATTAAATGAAGAACAGTTTATTTAATTTGCAAAGGCAATTTACAGTGAAATACTTTTGAAGCACCAAGTACTTCTTTAACTTCTTTATGTTGAATTAAGAATTTTTTTAATGTTCTAAAATGAACAAATTAGGTCAGCGCTCAATTTCCTGGGTCAGTGCCACAGTGGTGCCCTTTGTTCTTGGACCCTATCCATGGTTCCGGCTTGGCAACTGAAAGATTCAATGAGCTGTTTTTGGCAATTAGTATAGGAGTTTTAATGTCTACTGACTAAATGTACTTTTGAAGCCCATTTGCTCAGGTATTGGGGTCAGTGTTTTGTTATATAACATCATTACTTAACTCAAATTTCAATATTTTAAATTATATATCTATATTCTTGAAATTTAACATTAAAAAGTCAGTAGTTTCTAGTTATTTTAACCACAGAAAGTTACAAGGAGTTATATCTTTGAATTTCTAATTAGTTCAGAACTAGGTACAACCTTGACTTATAGTTTAAAAAAAAAAAAAACTTTCATTTAATTAGATTTAGCATGAACATTCTGGCCCCTGCTGGGAACTCTAAGAACTACATTACTTCTGCTGTCAATTTTTCTAAGGTCATAAGAACTTCAGTTTAAACCTTGAGTTCAGCGAGTTCAGTGTGATATATTTTCCCTCTCTCTCCCCCCCCCCTTTTTTTTTGGTAACCTGCAGAATCTGGCTGAATAAAATATGTAAGTAAGACATTACTATGATTAAGACCCAAAATCTATGTTAAATATTGGATATTTTTAGATGACACATGAATTTAAGTCCCCAGTAATACAACAAATTTTTCTGGAAATCTAATATATTTTTTAAAAATCTCCATTCAAACTCAGAGGAGAAATCTGATGGGAAGAACTGGTAAAATTCAAATACTTGATAAAGTATGGTATAGTAAGGACCCTTTACTTAGATTTTCATCAAATACTTATGAACACCCACTATTTGGTTGTGGGTAAGCATTGAATGTACAGTCATGCACTGCGTAACAATCTCAGCAGACCACATAGATGAGGGGGGTCCCAGAAGATTATAACGGAGCTGAAACATTACTACGGCTTAGTGATGTCTTGATGATCCCAACTGAGTGTGGGCCTAGGCTAGTGTGTGTGTTTGTGTCTTAGTTTTTAACAAAAACATTTAAAAACCTTTTTTAAAAAGCTTATAAAACAAGGATATAAAGAAAGTAGGCTGGACATGGTGGCTCACACCTGTAATCCCAGTGCTTTGAGAGACCGAGGCAGGAGGATTGCTTGAGGCCAGGAGTTCAAGACCAGTTTGGGCAGTATAATGAGACCCCATCTCTACAAAAAATAAAAGTGAAAAATTTAGCTTGTTGTAGTGCCACACACTTGTAGTTCTAGCTATTCGTTTTTTATCTTTTATACCATATTTTTTACTGTACCTTTTCTATATTATATGTTTAGATATACAAATGCCATTGTGTTACTATTGCCTGTGGTATAATATAGTACAGTAACATGCAGTAGTGGTTTGTAGCCAAGGAGCAATAGGCTATACTATGCAGCCTACCTATGCAGTAGATTATACCATCTGGGTTTGTGTAAGTACATTCTATGATGTTCACACAACAGTGAAAATGTCATGTTAAATATGATGTTCATACAACAATGAATTGTGTGCTTCATAAATATTAAATATGAAAATGTGTCAATAATAATACCAGTAATATCTAACAATATTGATATCATTAATATTAATTTGTATTATAAATCTTTGTAAAATTAAAAATTTCTAAATTAAACTTTTATAAAGTGAACGATGGGTTTATAATGTACACAAGATGGAGATGTAGAACAAAATGATTAAGAAACTAGAAAGAAAAAAGTCAGAAAAGATATACCAGACAAATGCTAACAAAAAAGAACTGGAGTCATGATATTAGTCACAGGTTTGAATTTAAGACAGAAAGTAAAAACAAGACAAGGAAATTTTATGATGGTAGAGGAAACACTCCACAGAGAAGATATACCTTTCATAAATCTTAAAGCATGGAACGATTTAATAAAAATACATAAAGAAAAACTGCAGAACTGCAAGGAGAAAGGGTAAGAAACAAAGCAGTAGTAGCAATGCAGCCATAAAAAAGAACGAAATCATGTTCTTTGCTGCAACATGGATGCAGCTGGAGGCCATTATCCTAAGCTAATTAATGCAAGTACAGAAAAACAAATACTGCATGTTCTTACTTATAAGTGACAGCTAAACGTTGGGTAGTCATGAGCATAAAGATAGCAAAATAGACACTGGGGAGCACTGGAGGGAGGAAGCTAGGGGAAGGGAAACAAGGGTTGAAAAACTAACTGTAGGGTACTAAGCTCACTACCTGGATGATGGGACCAATCATACCCCAAAACCTCAGCATCACACAATATACCCAGGTAACAAACCTGCACCCCCGAATCTAAAATAAAAGTTGAAATAAAAAAAATAATAGTAGTAGCAGACTTTAATTCACTTCATGGATCAAACAGTTGAAAATTAGTAAGGATATAAAGTATTTGAACAATTAAGTCAATGAGGTTGATGAAAAAAATTTGTAGTGAATGCTATATCCTGACAATGAAAAATCAATCTTATTTTTTAAAGCCCATGAAACATTTACTAAATTGACAAATATTGTAATAAATGTCCCAAATTAGAAATAATCCAGACCATATTCTCTGATCACAGTATAATTAAACAAAAATGAATAGTCAAAATAAAAAATCAACATCTCTTCTTCTACTTGGAAATATAAAAATTGTTTAAAACAACTTTTGGTACAAAGAGGAAACAAGTGTTATCACAGAATGTGTACAAAATAACAGCTAAAACGTTACATACCAAAACTTATAGGAAACAACTGCTGTGTTTAGCAGATATTCATAGCTTCAAATATGTATTGCTAAACAAGAAAGTATGAAAATCACACACTCTTTAACTTAAAAAGTTAGAAAATGAACCATAAAATAGGCTACAAATTAAAGTGACAGCTAAAACAAAACTAAAAAGATAAAACCATAAATTGAGTCAGAAACAGCAAAGTAATCGAATTGATAATATAAATTTATAACTTTTTTAAAGAGAAAAAACACACTAGCTTAATTTATCAATATAAAGAATGCACAAATACTGTAAATTCAGAGGGAGAAAGATAAATGGTTTACAGACAGAGAATTAAAAGAGTATACTGCAAAAGTATTATGGAAATAAATTTGAAGACCTGGAAGACCTGTATGAAATGAACATATATAGATTTTCCAGAAAAAAACACAACCAGGAAGAAAGTGGAATACTCTGAAAAGTGCCAGTCTATAGATGATTCTTCCAAATCCTCAATGGACAGGTAATGTAGAACAGTATTTTTCAAAACAGTGTTTAGATATAAGCATTTTTTACAAAATAGAGTAAGAATAGAATAGAGTGCATGCTCAGAGTAAAGGGCAAATAGAATTATGGGAAACTTTTTTATCAGTGTATATACCAGGTCTCCTTTTGAAGTTGTGTTATTTACTGTGGGTCGCAATCAAAATATTAATACTCTAAAAGCCACCCTTCTAGAATTAAAATAATTAATAAAAATAAATATAGAAATAAATCTGAAGGCCTGTGTGAAGCCCAGAGAAAAATTTTAGCTACCATACAATACTGAGTCCTCCTATTCAAGAAAAGGGTGTGTCTTTCCATTTATTATTTGAGATTTAATATTTTCTTTATATTATAGGACCAGTGTTTCTTTACCCTGGTTGTACATTACAATCACTTAGTTAAAAAAAAAACTGCAGATATCGGCCGGGTGCGGTGGCTCACGCCTGTAATCCCAGCACTTTGGGAGGCCAAGGTGATGGATCACCTGAGGTCAGGAGTTTGAGACCAGCCTGGCTAACATGGTGAAACCCCATCTCTACTAAAAACACAAAAATTAGCCGGGTGTGGTGAGACGTGCCTGTAGTCCCAGCTACTCAGGAGGCTGAATCGCTTGAACCTGGGAGGCGGAGGTTACAGTGAGCCGAGATTGTGCCACTGCACTTCAGCCTGGATGACAGAGTGAGATTCCGTCTCAGAAAAAAAAAAAAAAAAATTGCAGAATATCTAGGCTCCATCACCAAAGATTTAGTCTGGTGTGGAGCACAGGCATTGTGTATTAAGAGCTTAACCCCAAATAAACCAAACCAAATTTAAAATGCCTTTCTCTTTATTTTATAAATGCAACGTACTTTCCAATTCAAACATCAATACATTTTTAAATATAAATATTTCAGAATAGCTAGGTAAATTTTTATAAGGAAAAGAAATGAGAGGGGAATATCACTAATGGATATGAAAACATTTTAAGGTGAAATAATTTAAAATGCACAGTTTTGAAAGAAGAATTTAAAAATAGAGAAAAGGCCAGGTGCGGTGGCTTCACACCTGTAATCCCAGCACTTTGGGAAGCTGAGGCGGGTGGACCATGAGGTCAAGAGATCAAGACCATCCTGGCCAACATGGTGAAACCCCGTCTCTACTAAAAATACAAAAATTAGCTGGGCGTGGTGGCGCGTGCCTCTAGTCCCAGCTGCTCAGGAGGCTGAAGCAGGAGATTCGCTTAAACCCGGGAGTTGGAAGTTGCAGTGAGCTGAGATATCACACCACTGCACTCCAGCCTGGCAACAGAGAAAGACTTTGTCTCAAAAAAAAAAAAGAGAGAAAAGGAGTGCAAAAGTAGATCAAATCATATAGGAAAACTACAGAAGAGATAAAAGTGTCATTTTAACTTAGGCCGTTAAGTAGATGGACTATATAATAAATGGTATTGGGACAGAAAACTAGCCATGTGGATCCCTGACCACTAAACCGTAAGCTCCATGAAAGCAGGGACAATTTTATATTTATCAAAATTTAAATCTCAAAAATGAAACCAGAAAAGTATGAGAAGAAAATGTGAGTATCATACACTATGATGTAAATGTTGGTGTCAAACATTCTTAAGCATGTAAATGTGCCAGAATTTGTTTGAGGTTCTTTGCCGTGATGAATTTAAAATTAGCTAGGCGTGTTTACCAAGCTTTTCTACTATAGCTTGGTAAATGTATTTAGATAAAAAATTTAAATTCCAACATGGCAAAGAAAACTTCTAAGTCACACACAATACAAAATATTTCGTAATTTTTCTTGTGATTATTTTTTGACCATACTTATTTAGAAGTATGATTAATTTCCAAATATTCAGATATTTTCCAGATATATTTTTGTTACTGGTTTCTAACTTCTGTTGTAATCAGAGAATGTAGTTGGTATTATTTATATCATTTTACATTTATTAAAAATGGTTTTATGGCCCACCTTATGTTCTATCTTGGTGAATGTTTCATGAACACTTGAAAATAATTTGTGTTCAGTTGTTATTGCATGTGTGATTCTTTAAATGTCAAGTCAGGTTTGTTTAAGTTCTATATAGCCTTTCTTATTTTCTATCTGCTCCAACTCTAATGATGAATCTGGCTACTTCTCTTTTCATTTGTCAGTTTTTAAATGTATTTTAAAGCTCTATAATTACTTGCATACATATTTAGGATTGTTATGTTTTCATGATGAATTAAATCAACTCTAATCATTATAAAATCATCTTCTTTATCTCTGGCAATATCCCTTGTCCTGAAATCAGCTTTGTCTGACATTAATATAGCCACCCAGCTTTCTTAGGATTAGTGTTTTTATGTTGTATCTTTTCCCATCCATTCACTTTCAACCTACCTGTGTCTTTATTTTTAAAGTGGTTTTTTTGGTAGACCACATGTAGTTGGGTCTTGTTTTTTTATTCAGTCTTATAACTTCTGCCTTTTGATTGGAGTTTTTAGATTATTTACATTTAATGTAATTTTCAATATGATTTGGTTTAAGTTTAGTGTTCCATCTGTTCTTTGTTCCATTTTTCTTTTTCTATCTTCTTTCAGATTATTTTTTAGTATTTCATTTTATCTCCACTATTGATTTACTCACTATGCCTGTTTTTTATGTAGATATTTTTTAATTATCATAGTCTACCTTCAAATGATATTTTACTGCTTCGTGTGTGATTGCCATCATACATTTTACCTTTACCTATGTTATAAATTCCCTAATGCATTGTTGTTATTTTTGCCTTAAATAATTTTCTATAAAAAGCCTTAAGTATTTATGCATATATCTATATTTTCCAGTGCTCTTCATTTCCTGTGTAGATAAGTGTTTCAACATAAACACTTTGGCATTTTGGGCTGGATTATTCTTTATTGTGGGGGGTTATGCTGTGTATTGTAAGGTGTTTAGCAGCATTCCTGGCTCAACTTATTGGATGCTAGCAACAACTCTCCTCATTTCATGCCCATTAAAAATGCCTTCAAACATTGCCAAAAGTTTTCTGGGGGGCAAGCTCTCCCCAGTGGAGAACCACTGTTAAAGATTGAAGTGTCTATATGATAACATTTTCCTTAAGCCTGAAAGAAATCCTTTAGCATTTATTTTACTTCAGGATTGTTGGGAACAAATCCTCTCAGCTTTTGTTTGTCTGAAGAAGACATTATTTTAATCTTATTTTCAGACATTTCACTGGATATGGAATTCTATATTGCCAACATTTTTCTTTAAACACTTTAAAGATATTATTTGTATTTCAGATTGCATTGTTTTGACAGGAAATCAATATTACTTATCATTGTTCCTGTATATAGTGTGTCTTACTCTTTGGCTACTTTTAAGATTTTCTCTTTGTCAGTAATTCTCAGCAGTGGTATTTGATATGACTTGATGTGATTTTCTCTATGTTAATACTGCTTTGGATTCATTGAGTTTTCAGGATTTGGGGGTTTATAGTTTTCATTAAATTTGGAAAAAGCTCAGCCATTATTTATTCATATATTTTTCTCCCCTCATCATTTTCTGGGACTGTAATGACACATACATTAATTAGACAACTTAATGTCCTGTAAGTCACACAGGCTATGTTAATATTACTGTTCAGTCTCTTTTTCTCTCTGTACTTCAGTTTTGATAGCTTCCATTGCTATTTCTTCTGGTACAACTGATTTTTTTTTCCTGCAGTATCTAATTGCCTATTAATCTAATCAAGTGAATTTTCATTTCAGATATTATATTTCATCTCTAGACAATTCATTTTTATGTCTTCTATTTTTTTCCTTATTATGCTCATATTTTCTTTTAAAACCTTGAGCATATTTATAGTGGCTGTTTTAAAGTTCTTTGCAAATTCCATTATCTATGTCTTTTTTTTTTTTAATTGAGATGAAGTCTCACTCTGGAGTGCAGTAGCATGATCTTGGCTCACTGCAACCTCTGCCTCTTGAATTCAAGCAATTCTCCTGCCTCAGCCTCCCGAGTAGTTGGGATTACAGGTGCCTGCCACCACACCTGGCTAATTTTTTGTGTTTTTATTTACAGACAGGGTTTAGCCATGTTGGCCAGGCTAAAATGTTAAACATTTAAAATGTTAACATGTTAACATGTTAACATGTTAAAAATTTTTTAAAAAATGTTAAAATGTTAATGTTGGTCAGGCTAGTCTTGAACTCCTGGCCTCAAGCGGTCCACCTGCCTCGGCCTCCCAAGTGCTGGGATTACAGGCATGAGCCACCGTGCACAGTCATTATCTATGTCTTATTTATTTATTTGTCTATTTCTATTGACTGTTTTTTCCCCTTAGTAAGTCTAGTAATTTTTTATTGAGTGCAGGGGATTGTAAATATTATGTTGTAGTACAGCTGAAGTTTGTTGTCTTCCTTTGAAGAGTGTTGAAGTTGGTTTAGACAAGGAGTTAAGTTACTTGTAGATCAAGTTAATGTTTTAAAGGCTGACTTTTAAGCTTGCTGGGGTTGGTCTACAGTAGCTTTTACTCTGGGACTAGTTTAGTCTGATTATTAATGCGTGACCTTTCTAGGGTTTTTTAATGCCCTGGGTATTCAACTAGTCTTCCTACTCTGGCTACTCAGAATTTAGAGCCCATTGTGAACTCAAATAAGTGTTCAGCTATTGTTCTTAAGGAGTTCTTTGCCTGGCTCATGAAGTTTCTTTCATTCTATTCATTTACAGCCTATTTCAGATTCAAGGGGACCTCTAGAGCCTTTCTTTGCATAGCTCCCTCCTCTCCAGCCCTTTGCCCCACAATACCTAGTCTCCTCAGCGTTTCCAATTACTGATCTGTTTCCTTGACTTAGCAAGATGGCTTTTCTCTTAGTTTTGTCCTCCCTGTACTGTGATCCAAAATCTGCCTCTAGGACAGTTCTGTGCATCACATCATTTGTTTCCCTTCTCCTAGGAATTATAGTCTTATGCTGCCAGTGTCCAATTTCTGAAAAGTTGTTTCTTATATTTTACCCTATGTTCTAATTGTTTACAGCAGGAAGGTAAATATACTACCTGGTTACTAAATGTGGCCTGAAATAGAAGTCCCCTTAGAATGCAAACATAGCAGAAGGGTGGAAATAAAGCACTTATGATAAGAAAAAAATGGCTTTCTTCTTACCTTTAGCCCAGAACCCTTAAAAATAAGAAGGTTAAAAACCCAATGGAAAAATGGCAAAAAGAAATATATATTTCTGATAAGCCTCTGAAAAGATGTTCAACCTCACTCATAATTAAATAAGAACAAAAATTAAAAGATCAGTGAAATACCATTTCTCATTCAAAATCAGGATAAGCATGAGAAAATAACCCCTTCTTTCCCTCTTGGTGGGAGTATAAATTTTACTTTTTATCCATTTTGCAGGACAATCTGGCACTATCTTTTAAATTTTTAAATATGCCGTTGCATTTGACCCAGCAATTCTATCTTTTAGGATTTTACCCTCTGATCAACTTGCATAAACTCTCAAAGATATTTGTAAAGCATGTAATGTTTCAAGTTGGGAACAAAATATATGTACAACTATTAGAAATTAAATAAGTTATAGTATCTCCAGCTAAATCTATATGTACTGACATAGAAAGGTAAATATCAAATACAAGTAGAAAGGAAAATTTTAGAATCCATTTTATAACTATGAAAAAAAACATTTCATTTATTATATGTATGCTTTTTCCATAGATATTTCATCCAGCTCTCTGACTTTTAACATTAATTTTCTGCTGATCTGCTCCAGACTCATATTCAACAGTCTATTTTACACCCCTTTTGGGTAGTTAATAGGAATTTTCAACTTAACATGTCCAAGGCAGAACTCTTGATTTATCAACACTACCCTCCCCACCCAATCTTCTCTATTTCAGTAAATTGTGCCACAGTTCAACCAGTTGCTTGCTCATGTCAGACATCTGAGAGTCAAGAAATTTTTCTCACTAAACTTCCTGCTCCACACCATTTAGTGGAAAGAGAGGAATCAGAAAGCTAGAAGGTTAAAAAAGTGTGGTCTAGTGTGGGCCACCAAACCCACAAGTATCATAAGTAACTACCACTTTTTTAGCTGGCAATGAATTTGTCACTGTCTCAAGCACTTCATATACATTATGTCATTTTATCTTCACAAAACTCTGTGAGTGTTCTCTCCCCATTTTATATTTGAGTTAACGATTTTGGGCTGGGCGCAGTGGCTCACACCTGTAATCCCAGCACTGTGGGAGGCCGAGGTGGGCGGATCACCTGAAGTCAAGAGTTTGAGAACTGCCTGGCCAACATGGCGAGAGCCCGTCTCTACTAAAAATACAAAAATTAGCTGGATGTGGTGATGCATACCTGTAATCCCAGCTACTCAGGAGGCTGAGGTAAGAGAATTTCTTGAACCCAGGAGGCAGAGGTTGCAGTGAGCCGAGATTGGGCCACTGCACTCCAGCCTGGGAGACAGAGCAAGACTCCATCTTAAAAAAAAAAGATTTTGAGCAATAATGCTTTAGGGAAAAATGAGGGGTGTGTGTGTGTGTGTGTGTGTGTGTGTGTGTGTGAGAGAGAGAGAGAGAGAGAAAGAGAGATACAAATCTTCTCATCCTTCTCTTTCTTGTTGTAGCCTATTGGACCTGCCAGCTGTTGGTGACCAGGTGAAATAGATATCCTGAGCACACCTGTTTGATTCCAAGGTAGGTGCTAGTGGCAACATATTACGTATTTCTTGTGAGGTGCTGATTCTCACAGCTGGTCTGTGCAGATATTATAGAATTCATTCTTCCTCGGTTATATAGAAACTCCCTTTCTTTCTCAGTTATATAAAAATTAGCTGGCTTTTTGTCTAGAAGGATGTAGTTTTTTAAATAAATATATTCAGTGTGACAGTTAGCAAAATCGCAAGACTGTTTTACAAATTAATTTCATCATGTTTGTGCTATATACCATTCACACAAAAAAATTAATAAAGACACAATGCCCCTGATGACCTCATATTCCAGTGGGGGAGACAGACTTGTAAACAGATATGTTAACATAGAAGGTGGTAAGTGCTCTTCTGAAGATTGAGCAAAGAGCTGTCAGTGCAAAAGCACAGAGGACTTTGTTGGAGGGAGTCAAGGTTTAACAGAATAGGTGACATTTGAGCTGGATCTTGAAGGATGGGCAGGAGTTTGCCAGGTGAATGAGGTGATCTCTATATAAAGTGCCTAGTAAAGGGTCAGGCACTTGGTAAGACCCAATAAATGTTCACATCTAGTTCCAGCTAAAGAAGTGTTCCAGGCAAAGGACATAGGTCAGTTCAATTCAAGGAACATTTATTGAGTACTTTGTATATGTCAGGCATTGGTCCAGGTTCTTTGGCCTTATGTGCCAGGCACATCTTGTGAAGATAGAGAATTATACAAGGGTCTGGTGTGAGCCATATTCAGATCAACTATTTATAGATTTTGTTGTCAGAATGGAGCAGGGATGTTTTAACACTGCTGACACAATGCATCTTGATTACAAACCTCTACTACTACAGCATTGAAGCACTGAGATGTAAGTAGCTAATGACTGTACAAGATTCCATTTCATGAAGGCAGTGATGACAATCTAGCCTGGCTTCCCCCTGTGTTCTGGGTCACTTTGATCTTCACTAGGGGATCAGGTTCAGGCAACAGCTCTTCCTAACAACACAGATGTAAAGGAAACTAAAACTATTTTACTCCAAAATATACTTAAAAAACATATTTTAAGATGGATACTGAGAGGGTCTGCAGAAAGGAATGGCCCTGCAAGGTTGTCTTTTGGTGGAGGAGATTTGTATTTGTAAAGAAAATGTTCATCAGTGAAATCAACAGCCATGCTTTCTCTGAGCCAACCCCCATCCCCCCATCCTCCCATCCCCCCATCCCCTGCCACAACTCCTTCCCTGGATCTAGGAAAGATTAACTCAAGCACAAGCTACCATCTATTTTTTCTGAGGGCATCCCTGACATTACCTGAGATATTTTCATCTGCATTACAAGACCTCCTTTAACCCATGCCTTTCCTCTCCTCTCCCTCCCATACCCTGTGACTCCATGTCCGCCAGAGCCCAGAGGAACTTAGTTCCAGAGAATTGTTTTGTGGGCTCATTCTTTTCCCCTGAAAATTATTTACTCCTAACCCGCATCTTACCTCTCCCCAGTGAGGCAAATATTTAAGCATTAACCATCTTGCCTTTTTTGACTTTTTCATATTTTGCATGACTCCTGTGCATACATGAGCATGTTAGTCAATTTGCGTGCCTTTTTTCTGTTATTCTATTAGTTTGTTTTATAGACTTAAATTATTAAACCCTTGGGGGAAAAATTTAAACTCCCCTATAGATGGAAGGGCGAGATGCCTGCATTTCCCTTCCAGCTCACTAACTCAGTGGGTTCCACTTGCCCTCTCCTCAGTAAGTCTCTTCATTATATCCAGCCACCAAATCTTGAAGCTTTATTCTATGGTATAGTAGGTAAAAATAAAAATGAAATCCTAAGCACCCCCCATTCCACAACTGACTTAACAGAACCACATCTTTCGGCCAAGGGGACCCCAGAGAAACTTTGAAAACTGAGTTCCCAGCCATGATGGGATGGGCTTTCTCCCCTAGGGGCTAAATAGAAACCAGCCCTTTCTGAAGACTCTACCACTGATACAGCTATCCACCTGACATTTTCCCTCCTTTTTACCTGGTAAGAGACCACTGAGTATGGAGTGGTTCTGGCCAGTCTGTGGAGTATGCACAGTGAGGGTTTTTGTGCCCTCTACTTTACCTTTTGATGCCAGAGGGCTGAAAACTCCACCCTTGGATCATGCCGACAGCCATTTTTCTAACATGGATCCCATGAAGAGGCATGAAGTTCATGTGGGCATGCATATGTTTCTCCTTTCATAAATATTCATGACTTTTCCTATAGCTTATTGAATATGCACATTTGGCCACCCCATTCAGCATAAATTCCTGTCTTACTCTTCTGACCCTTGAAGTATCTGTTTCTGGCTTCTGGCCAGAGGCCATGCTTCCCAGCCTGTCAGGATGGCCACCTGCAGGCTACAACCCTTTATGTGAAATAAAGCTCTCCTTTCCAAATTTCTGAATCTCATCATTCTTCAGTTGATATAGTTAATAGTATAGGATAAATAGAATTTATTCTGTTATATACATTTATTACACTAAACATAGAACCTATACATGCCCACATCGAAAACAGAACATTTCTAAATATAAGGAATATTCTATGACTGTTTTCACGGGCAGTTTTACTAGTACAGCTGGATTGCAAACAATAGAAGTAATGTGCTAGATGTTTTACAAATGTTATTTCATTTAATTCTCATAGCAATTCTTTAAAATAGGAATTATTCTAACCATTATACAAATTAGGAAGCTAAGGCACAGAACGTTTAACTTATCAAAGACTAAACATGGTAGAAATGGGATTTGGAGCCAGGTATATCCAATTCTAAACCCACTTTCTCTCCACTATAGCAGTTTTCCAGTATTAATGCTACCATTTATTGTGTTTCTACTTGTTCCAAATGTAATGTGAGATGCTCAAATACATTCTCCCTGATCCTTATAAAACTTAACACTTTTTAAATTGACAAGTAAAAATTGTATATATTTATGGTAGACAACATGATGTTTTGATATATGCATACATTATGGAATGGCTAAACCAGGCTATTTAACATATGTATTATCTCACATATTTATTTTTTGTGCATGGTGAAACACTTAAAATCTACTCTCTTGGCAGGGTGCGGTGGCACACCCCTGTAATCCCAGCACTTTGGGAGGCCAAGGCGGGTGGATCACTTGAGCTCAGGAGTTTGAGACAAGCCTGGGCAATATGGCAAAACCCCGTCTCTACTAAAAATACAAAAATTAGCCAGGTGTGGTGGTGTGCACCTGTAGTCCCAACTATTTGGGAGGCTGAAGTGGGAGGATCGATGCCTGGGAGGTGGAGGCTGCAGTGAGCCGAGATCGTGCTACTCTCCAAGCTGGGCGACAGAGATCCTGTCTCAAAATAAAATTTTAAAAATCTACTCTCTTGTCAACCTAAAGGAAGAAGCTGAGGCACTAAATATAATTTTAATGAGTTTACTTGAGCCAAGATGAGGACAGCTGCCCAGAAGACTCAGACCTGATAACCTTGTATAAGAGTTCCATTTGACCTTTGTGAAAAGTAGGTTTTTATAGGCAAAAAAGGAAGACGGTGGGCTGATACAAAGTTGTTTTTCAGGAATTCCCATTGGTTTACAGAAATGACATTGATTAGTGATTAGCTATACATTGTTGAACTCTAGGGCGTGAGTTATGGTGTCCATCATGCAACATTGTTAGGTTAACTTACAGCTATTTGCAGCGACAGTCAGTCTAGAGTCCACATAGCAAGAAGCTTCAAGAGGTGATGAGCTCAAGCAGGGAAAGTGGGATGTCACTGCTGCCTTACTCCCATGCCTCTTTGGGCCTGATAATTTAGAGGAGGCTTACATTCCTCAGAGAAGGTTTCTTTTCTTTCTCACTCTTAAAACAATTAAGTACCTTGCTTGTTGAAGTCACACAGCGAGCAAGTTACGGATCTTGACTTCAAGCCTAGGTTTGAGACTCCGAAGCCTATTTTCTTTATAATATATTATACCAGAGCTTCTGAACCTTGGGCATACATTAGAGTCAAATGGTTAAATTTGCACAAAGCCCTACCCCCAGAGAGTCTAATTTAATTGGTCTGGAGTAGAGCTCAGGTTTTTTTTTTTTTTTTTTCTGAGACAGAGTCTGGCTCTGTTGCCCAGGCTAGAGTGCAGTGGCATGGTCTCTGCTCACTGCAACCTCTGCCTCCTGGGCTCAAGGAATTCTTCTGCCTCAGCCTCCCACGTACCTGGGATTACAGGCGCCCACCACCATGCCTGGCTAATTTTTGTACTTTTAGTAGAGACAGGGTTTTACCATGTTGGCCAGGCTGGTTTCGAATTCCTCACCTCAAGTGATCCACCCACCTCAGCCTCCCAAAGTGCTGGGATTACAGGCATGAGCCACCTTGCCCAGCTAGAGCTCAGTTAATTTTAAAGCTTCTGGGTGATTTTAATGTGTTGGCTGGTTTGAGACCACTGATGGGAAGTATAGTTTATCTATCATGATAAATTGGTGGAAAATGCCCCTTATTGACTATTTTTTTGAGGCTGTATTATATAACTCTTTAATGTATTCACGTAGTCAAAAAACACAATAAAATTCCTTTAATCAGATTACAGTCTACAGACTAAACAACTGAGATTCAGTCATTTAATTAACTGACATCCCTTCTTCTAACCCACTTGTCGACTATTTTTAAGGTGATTGTATTTTCCCAGAAAGTACTGAAAAACATACAGGAAGGGACACGGGAGTACGATAACCTAACTTTCAACCTTGGCTTTGATATTTTCTTGCTAAATGGACTTTGACAAGTTACTTAACATTCTGTAAAATATTGATTATGAAAGAAGTAAAAGGTATTCTTGAAAAGGGTTTTATCTGGGGACAGATGGAGGGAATGCTGCCTCTGGTGGCCTCCTGTTGGGGTCAGATGCATATAGTGCATTGAAAAGGCCATGGGAAAACTTTTCTAGTTTTCCTAGTCAGCCTGGCTGTAAAGCCCATCTTCTACTTTCTGCCCCTGCTGCCAACCATTTCCCAAACCACCCTTCTCTTTACACCTAGTCAGGGGTGATTCCTTCATTGCCAGACCACATGGCATTATTGGGAAGTGGCCAGGAGAGGAGGACTCCCTTTTAACCATAGATGCCAGGGTAGGGAATATGTGCTTGAGGGGAGGGAAAGGAAATGGATATTTTCAATCTCATATTAGATTAGACATGAAATATATTTTACCATAGGAACAATCTCTGGATGGTAATTAGGTTTCCTGGTTATTCAATTAAAGCCTATTCATAATTTTGCCAGATATTTACAATATTTTATATGCAAATAACAGTGTATTTCAGTAACATTTTGGGTTCAATAGGCCTTGAAGAATTAGTGTGAAAGCTTAACTGTCATTTTTAACACCGCTTCTGTGAGAAATACGAGATCAGTACTTAGCACTCCAAGAAATAGTTTCTCTCGTCTCTAATTCAGCTTAACAAATATAGCGTTCACTGATCATCTAGTGAAGAGGGAATGAGGCAGCTGAAAGAATCCCATTTCCTCTCTGAAGTTTAGCAGAACTCTTTTAGCTACTGATTATAAGATCACAACGTACTTGAGGCCATGGGCCATTTCTTTCCTTCATTTGTGTTCCCCTTCCCCCTGAACAACTTATCACATAGTATGAGCACGTTGTAGATGTTAATGTATACATAGATTAGATTTGAAATTGGTAATGACCTCACTGTCAATGGAAAATAGGACACTGATCATCCATACCATACAGTGACAAAACATTTCTTAAATGATCAGCTTTTGTTGCTGGTAACCAGGTGCCTCTCAGCAGCAAGGCTTAAGAGATGAAGTAACTGGTGCAATAAAATATTATAGTGGAAATTATGAGCACGAAGGCCATGGGAAAGGTTCTGCTTGCACTAGAAACTACCTAAAAGACTGTCTTGTTTCTTGTACCAGTGGGGCTGAAATAGCCAAAAAACAAACCTAAATTTGCTTCTACAGCTTTCAGCATTACAGTGCAGCCTTTCTAGGCATAGGTTAGTAGAGTGGGATCCTGTGAATGGAAATATTTGGGTAGGTTCTAATGAATCCAACTACAAATCCTTCACTTGTGTTTCCCTTCCTCCAAAGAAATCTATCACATAGTATAAGCACATTGCGGATGTTAACATACACATAGATTAGACTTGAAATCAGTAATGGCCTCACTATCAATGGAAAATAGGATACTGATAATTTGTACAATGTAATGACAAAACATTCCTTAAAATATCACCAATTGTTGCCTGAATTAACAAACTCCACTGAGTCTTAGTTGTTAGTAGGAGCAGTCCTCCTCTTCCATCTGATAACCTGTAATAATTTCACCTGAGGTGGTTTATTTGCAGGAAGATGACGAATCTCCTAAATGTTAATTCTCACTACTTATCACTTCCAGACCCTGACCTATTCCATAATTAGGTTCAAATCCTCAAAGACCTCAAGGAAGATGGGGAAAGAGAAACATTAGAAAATATGCACGATGGTTGCAGTCTACACAATTTATGAGGCCATAGTAGGTATTTGTAACTCCCTCTTCCACTTCCCTTCCCATGCTCCCTTTGCTCAGTTATCATTTTAGCTAGGTGTTATTATTTATCAGTCAGAGTGACCTGAACCTTCATTCCTGAAATATCTGAACCATTGTGGTTCTTGCTTGGCTTGGTTTGCTCTAATCTTGTAAATTTTACCATGGATATGGAAGGAATTGCTCAGATATGGATATGAAAGGAGTTGCTCAGAGAATGTCTTGCCTTTGAGACATGGTCTTCCCTCTGTTTTGTAGTACCACCACTTTTCCCACTTTATGATTAGGATTAATTGTCCCAGCGAATACAGTAATCCCTTTCTTTCCTTGTTGGTTCAGTGCCTTGAAGACCTCAAAGTGGCTGATGTGGCAGTCTCAGCTTCCATTCAAAGGAACCCTTCTAGTGTTTCCTGGAAAAAGTATTCCTTCCATGGAAACTAAGAGCACAACATTGTGAGGTTGGAAACAAAAGTTATGTGAGTAGGTCATTAGGAATAATAATGGAACCACCAATACTTTTACACTTTCATTTTCAGATCTAAGTATTCTGGCTATGGAAGAAATAGCATTATATATTAGTTGCTGGCTTGGGAAATATACAATAACTTGTGGGACAGCAACCTAGTCTTACAAGTGGCAACATAAGTTGTCAATAGATTATTCTACCATTTAATCAAGTCAGATTTTTCCAACAGACATGAAACCATTTCTTCAACTCAGATTCCTTAAATCTCTCATCAGTGAGACTAGCCAGATCATAGTGGGAGAAAAGAATCCTATGTTCTTAAGCCCACACGTGATCAACATGCCCGTTGCTAGGGCCAAAGTGTTCATGGGCCCATTGTACAAGCGCCAGGGTAGCTAGGGGAGGCAGCTAACTGGCATCCACAGGATTGGCCATACTCTTTACTTGATTACTGAGAATCTGTTTTACAGTGGATGCCTTTTAGTAAGCATTAATTTGGGACACAGATATTCTCACTCTGCTTACTCTGAGAGGCCCGTCCTAAAACTCTTCCTCAGGCCTCCCTTTAACCATTCCTCAAATTCTGTTTTCCAACCCGCTGACTCCTTGGCCAAAGTGCCACTTGCCTGTGAATCAATGTCGATCTCTACTTCTGTCTGTCTTCCAGTTAGGTTTTGAATCATACATCATGAACCCTTCCACCCTGAGGTCTTTCCACCCTGCTCAGGGGCATCCTCAGAGCAGGCTCTATAGTGTTCCCAATTGGTCATGAAACCAATAAACCTCTATAACCTTTCTAGTCAGAATGGGACAATCTTCTATCTTGTTCTTTTTACTTAAAGCCCTCTTCTCCCTTCCTTCTCCAGGGCTCCTACCATAATCTTTTGTATAAAAGATAAGGAGTTTTAAAACCTCAGATGGCTTAAGTTTTCCCCATGCAAAAAATTCCGGACACACACAAAAAAGTAGAAAAGAACCTGGCTACCTGCTTGAATAATTGGAGAGGAAAAAATTACAGAGATCATCCCTGAAACACTGTAAAGTATGTATAGCTGATATTATTATACCTATTTTAAAGATGGCAGAAAGGAAATGTGGAAGGAGTAAAGTGACTTTGCCAAAGCTTCCATAACTACCTAAGAATATGATCAGGGACCAGGATTATGCCTTCTGGTACAGTGAGAGGAGAGTGAATGCACAAACCCCATGATCGTGATATGTCTGGGGACCTCTGATTTAAGGAGTGGAGAAAGAGAAGTATTGATTGGTAGAAGAAAAATGAAGATGCAAAGAGCACTCATGAGTGGGTGGTCCCAGAGCTCTGAGTAGAGGGTAAGAATCAGAGTCAGGCCTTCCAGAAAATCCCAGTATAAGGTCCTTTACCATCGTTTCCTTTTTGTCCCTTTGCTTAGTACATTATCAACAAGTTTTAGAGGCAAAGAATGGAAAAGGACGTAAAAAGAATATCCAAATAAATATTTCAAAAAGATTAAAATAGAGATGTGGAACATAGGTAACCTAGTGAAGGACAGAACTACTTAACATTCCAAAAATAAATTTGAGTCAGATACAAAGTTGTATAAACTCATAAAGGCTAAAGAAAAAAAAAGTATCATGTTAATATCAATTAGAAATTCTCTCTTCGGCAAAATTGAGTTTTAGTTAACTAGATCAAGTGAATATTTTAAAATCAGTGTAAGAGATTTTTCCTGGACATCTCATTTTGTGTGTTATAGATACTTTTATTAGTTGTAACAGAAAACTCCACTGATGGAAACAGGCCCAAGAATTGAGGAGACATCTTTACATTCTGGTAATCCCAGCTGTGTGACCTAAAGCAAGTCATTTAACCTCTCTGGGCCAAAGGCCTGTTTCATCAATTATGAAGTAAGGAGGTTATGCTAAATGTCCTCTAAGCGTTCTCCCAGCTCTCAAAATCAGTTTTTCTATGAAAATTTTAGTTATTCTCATGGAAGCCCTGACTTAGGTTTTTAGTTTAAAAGATAGGCTCCAGCAGGGGTCACTATAGCCACATCGAGCTTTGAGTCCAATGCTCTTTCATGTTGTAGTTGATTGTGTGCAAATCACAGTTACCCTTTGTCTTGATTTTTCCATCTGAGACATAGA
This sequence comes from Homo sapiens, assembly GCF_000001405.40. Lineage (NCBI taxonomy): Eukaryota > Metazoa > Chordata > Mammalia > Primates > Hominidae > Homo > Homo sapiens. Next base: position 190,089,148 of record NC_000002.12, read on the forward strand.
CTCTCTTTGTACCTAAATGTAATCCAAATCGATCTTCAAATGTACTCAGCATGTCCATTTCAACTAGGTTTTGTTGTTGCTGTTTTTGTTCTCTGATTCTTTTCATTTATTTATTTATTTATTTTTACGCTGAAATTGGAGATCATTTACTTCCTTTGACTCTGGGGTCCTTCAGAAAAATATATTTTATTTGATTAGCTATGTTTAATTTTTTGCCTCTGAGAACTGTGATGAGTAAGTATATTTCTTTAAATATATGAGATTACATTAAAACAAAACACAAAATTCAGTCCTATCCTGAAGGTTTTTAAAAATTCTATGTACACCTGAAAAATGTATTCAGCTCCTTTAGAACCCCTTTTTGAAAATTCTAGAATTCTTCTAATGGCTTCTACTCCTCCATAGTTAACTTGCTACGTACATGAAGCCAGAATAGACTAGTTCATATATCCAAGAGCAGGGTAAGGATTTCAACGCCAGTTCTAATTTCAATATTACATGTTTTTGCCCTAAAAACTTAGTGACTGTACATACACCATAAAGAATTTGAGGATCACTGTTGATGCTCAAAGGTAGACATTCAGCAAAGTGTTACTCCCGAAAAACCACAGGACTCCCCAGAGTCCTAAGTTTTAAGAGTAAGTCTTGAGTCTTACGTCCTAAGTCTTAGGACTCTTGAGGACTATGATTCAATTTAGGACTACTCCAGAGGGGTTCAGTCTGCCCCAAATGCCCTCCACAAATTCCATATACTATGCAAAACCTAACACTGGTTCAATTGTGCTAGGAGTCAAGGAGAGTTAACTTCTTACACCATGCAGAGCAGTGTTTCTAGTCCTTTGGCCTGGTATATATGCCCCTTTCCCCAAACTACTCTACTTAACCTAGAGTAGTTCTTGTAGGTGTATGGTGTGCAAATGTAATCTCATTGTCCCTTTTTTCTCCTTATAACTACCTGCCTGCTCCTTTGGGAGAGACTGATATTACCCTTTTCAATTGCAGCACTCCTGCTGCTGCTGCCATTTCCAATATTATTGTGTTAAAGTCCTCATCTAGGCAGGTAGTTGGGTTTATTTCTAGTTGTTAGCAAGCGAAGAAAGCCTTCTATACACTCCTTTCACAGTAAGTAGGGGATGGCCTGGTGACAAACACAGTGAAAGTGATGGTGTATGACTGCTGAGACTAGGTCATAAAGGGCATTGCAGCTTCTGCCTTGGTCTCTTGGATTGCTCACTGAGAGCCAGCTGCCATGCCTCAAACAGTGCCATGGAGAAGATCTGAGGCCTCCTGTCAATAGCCAGCACCAATTCGCCAGGCACATTAGTGAGATAGCTTCAAAGCAGATTCTTCCCAAGTGGATTGAGTCTCCTCTCCAGACTTCTTCAGAACAGTCTTTTTTCTACTTATGTATAGCCTCAAACAACCACCTCAGTCTTGATTTTATATAACCAAGTTAGCTGCCATAGCTAACTGATCACGTGTCTTTGAGTCCTAGCCTGTGTAAGGTTTGTATCCCTTGCCTGATCATGTGTGAAAGATGGAGGTACATAGTTCAGACAAGGCTCTGATAAAAGGCAGAAGGTGACTCCCAGGGAAAAGTGTGTGAGCTGAACAGGTCCCTCAAATGGTTTCTATCAATGTCCTGTCCTACTTCTCCCCTACCACTAGTACTTTCTTATCACAGTACTAATACTTAGCGCACTGTAGTCTAATTGCCTGCTTATTTTTAATGTCCGCTCTTTTCTGTAGGCTCCTGAAGGGCATGGACTCTAGCTTATTACAGACATACCCTGGCATCTAGCACAATACCTGGCACATAATAGGTAATAACATAAATTTTGTTGTAATAAATGAATAACTTTGTTTCAAAGGTGTAAGCCTTATAAAAAGACTTTGATATTTTTACTGTAGAGTTGCTAACACATTAATAGAAGAACCATCCACACAATTTGAGAACTGAATTTTACTGTTTACCAGTTGACACTTTGCTTCATATTTCTAAGAATAGGAAATGCCTATAAAGTTCAACAATATACTGCCTTTAAAAAGAAACTTTCTAATGCCATGTAAATCAGATAACTTGTCAGCACGTCAGTGGCACATGTCTACATTCAGGGACTGAAACAGAAACTCATTTTAAATTTAATTCTAAAAGACTGAAAAATATTATTACAGAAAGTTCCAGTTTGACACATATGAATTTATTTCAGAAAGTCTGCTATCTCACAGGAATTCTAACACTAGGATACTTTGATAATAACTGAAAGGAATTTATTCAAACTGTACTAAAATATGCTACAAGAGTGACCTACTTTTGAAAGTAAAGAACTGTTTCCTATGTTTCTTAAAGTAGAAGAGAACTTATTTGTATCAAATTAGTAGTTTATCCTCTTTTGTTAAACACACACACACACAAGTAGCCCAAATAGAACCATTTTAAGAACTGAAGAGGCCATGTAATCTACTTTATTGATTACAAAGCCTAATTGATTGTGTAAATTATGTCTTAAATTTCTAGAGGCCAAACTTTCGATCTTGAGTTTGTACCAGAATATCCCTGTGATCCCTTTCAACTACAGAATTTTAGGATTCTAATTATAAACACAGAAAATATAAATGTGCTTAAAATTCTTGGTTTCTAAAATAGTTTTTAATACTTGAAATAATATGATTACAAAGTAATACATATTCATCACAGAAAATTTATAAAATATAGAAAACACAAAGCCAAAACTAAAAATCACTCATAATTCCTTTATTCAGGAGTAATTAATATTAATATTTTTGTTTATCTACTCAGTAAATAAACAAATTGACTGACTACAATATCTTCCTCAGAAATTAAATATTTTTACACATTTTTAAATGACTTATCATTAAACATGACTATACTATATTGTATTATGTTATGTTAATATATGGCAATTTATTTCATTAATATTCTACAGTAGGACACTTAGATTCTTTCAGATTTTTGTTATAATAATATTCAAAACACATACTTAATGGCAAATCTTTTTGTAAATATGTGTGTGGAGGCTAAAGCAAAATTATCTGGATGCTAATTTGTCATGTTGACTGCTGATTAACTCCAGTTCCAAGAAGGCCTCTAAGATTTCCAGTTTATTGATTGTTCCTTGTGTAAGAGAATGTACTTACTGTAAATCCTGCCCTTAGGTCAAAATGACCTTGATATTATACATCAATTGTCCTACACATTCCTTCTGAATCACACATATCTTTTCCTTATGTTCTATAAGTCCTGGGTCTCGGGGGTAAGGGCACAGGGATCCACCGTTTTGTCTTGCCACTCCTGAGACACAGGCATGGTTTCTGTTCCTAAGTCCCTATCAAATGTTTCTTTCTCAGAAACTGGGTTTGTCAGCCTCTTTCTTTGGCCTCTCTGCTTCCTTGGACTTTCTGGGGTAGGTTTGCATAGACCTGTCCACCTCAGAACAATATGTATATGTACTATTTAAAAACATACACATTAATACACATATTTTTAAGAATCTGAGTCAATTTTCCAAATTATCATTCAGAAAGATGTAGTGATTTAGAAGTCTAACAGAAGTATTCAAAAGTTCCTGTTTCCCCCAAATCCTTGCCAGTCCAGAATAATAGCCTTTTAAGAAATCATTGTCGGTCTGATCTGTGAAAAATATTATTTCCTTGTTGTGAGGATAATTTTATACCAGATCAAAGGAGAGGAGTAGGTATTAAAACTAGAGTTCTACTGACTAATTCTAAACTCTGTGAAGAGTTTTACTTACAGCGAGTCGATTGCTAGAAGCAGAGGAAAAGGGAAATACCAGAAATACCCTGTTGTAAATTTTTCTTTTTTAGTAATATAATAATTTATATTCATGAAGATGATGCTTTTCTGGACCACACGTCTGAAGAAACTTCAAACCATAGGTAGAAAGTATATAGTTAGTATAGCTATAAGTATCAGGGCACTAGATGAATGTTTACAGTTTAAAAAGTAATTAAGGCCGGGCATGGTGGCTCACGCCTATAATCCCAGCACTTTGAGAGGCCAAGGCGGGTGGATCACCTGAGGTCAGGAGTTTGAGACCAGCCTGGCCAACATGGTGAAACCCCGTCTCTACTAAAAAAAAAAAAAAATACAAAAATTAGCCGGGAGTGGTGGTGGACGCCTGTAATCCCAGCTACTTGGGAGGCTGAGGCCGGAGAATCTCTTGAACCTGGGAGGTAGAGGTTACAGTGAGCCAAGATTGTGCCACTGCACTCCAGCCTGGGCGACAGAGCAAGACTCTGTCTCAAAAAAAAAAGAAAACAAGTAATTAAATACTAAACTAAAATAGTAATGTATAGGGCAAGAATCAGAAAATAAACATTGTTGGGTGACTTATAGCAGAAGTAGAGGAAAATAGAGTTTAGTTTAACATTATAGAAATAAAGATTTGTACTCTTGGCCTGGTAAAATTTTAAACTGTTGCCTCTAATAGGATAATGTTTTGCTCTCATATTTCCCCTTCTTCATCCATAATTTCATTTCATTTTGGATTATTTTTATTTATGTGATCTCTTCGCTTTCATTCAGTCTTTTGGGAATATGACTTCTGCAATGTGAAGGTGAAATTTGCCCGTGTGTAATTTTGAAAGGTTGTTGATAGATTCCAAACACAGCTGTCAGTATATTTTTACTTTGGGAATTTCTTGCCTTGGTAGCTTGACCACAATCAGGAAGGTAGAAACATGGCTAGCAGCAGTCAGAGACGAAAGCAGTCTACTCACCCACTCACCTCCAACTTGGGCCAAGAAGGGCCTACCCTCTGTCCTCATCTGTCTTGTGACCAAGCACATGGTGCTGTTACGAAAGCAGCAGCTCTTTTATTAAGGACCAGAGCCTTGCATTTTCTAAGGCCCCACACCCCTGCAAGAGTGTTTATCCTCTCCACAGCGACAGAGTAAGCTCCTAGGTTGCTTTAGTTTGACCTCCCACTATGTGGGAAAAGATTGGTAAATAGGAGTCTTGTGGCTGGAAAGCAAGATGAGTGGGCTTGAGCAACAGGAAAGTATATCTCCATTTGTAGGGATTTTCTAGGACATCATTTTCAGAGAAATAATATTTTTAAAGGTTTTTTTAAAAAGGGGAAACATGCTGTTTAAAGCATTCCCCTAGTGCCTTTAGTGTACCAGAAGTTTTGTGTATTATTTCTGATCTTTTCAGCAGTCCTATGAGGCTGATACTGTTACTGCCATTTTGTAGATAAGAAAACTGAGCTTCTGAAAAGTTAAATCATTGGCTTAAAGTCACAGAGGTAAAAAAGGCCGTGATTGAAACCCAAGCCTGATTTATTACAAAATTCCTTACTCTTTCCATGCAGCTTAGGTTTTGCTTAAAAACAGCAGGGGAGTGGAGTTCAAAGTTTGCAAGTGTTTATTCTTCTATTTCTGTTTAGATATGCAGTATTACTTGATTTTTTATTTGAACCATGTTTTTCAGCAATCAAAGGATTTATTACAGGATGTTTTCCTGCCGGCAAAGTCTATTGAGCTGAATCACAAACACTGCCTTGCCTTCTGTCACTATTCATAATTTATAGATTGTTGGTTCCTCATTAGCATTATATCCAAGTCATGTATTTTGAACGATCCTTTCAAGGCTTTTGTAAGGATGATAAGGGAGAGGTGGGGCCAGGCATTTTATAGATAACTTTAAGTAGGAAACAAATGATTACTTTATCTGGATATGGATCATTACAATTCTGCTGGTTCAAGAAAAATAGTATTCAAAGAAAGTGAGAGATAAGTTGAAAGAGTAAATAGGCCGGGCGCGGTGGCTCACGCCGGTAATCCCAGCACTTTGAGAGGCCGAGATGGGCGGATCATGAGGTCAGGAGTTCGAGACCAGCCTGACCAATATGGTGAAACCCCATCTCTACTAAAAATACAAAAATTAGCCGGGTGTAGTGGCCCATGCCTGTAATCCCAGCTACTCAGGAGGCTGAGACAGGAGAATCCTTGAAACCAGGAGGCGGAGGTTACAGTGAGCCAAGATCACACCACTGCACTCTAGTCTGGGCGACAGAGCAAGACTCTGTCTCAAAAAAAAAGTAAATAACCAGGACAATGATCCATGAAAAGCACTAAATGTAATTGCTATAAATCAAGAAATTGAAAAATACCTTTGGTAATATCAGTGCAATGGAGTGAATGTTTATGTCCCTCCCAAAATTCAGATGCCAAAATCTGAATCCCTGATGTGATGGTATTTGAAGGTGGGACTTTTGGGAGGTGATTAGGTCCTGAGAGTGACCTCACGAGGAGGATTAGCGCCATTATGATGGACACTCCAGAGAGCTGTCTTATTTCTTTCTACCATGTGTGAACACAATGAGAAGACAGCAGTCTGCAGCCTGGAAGAGGACCCTCACCAGAACCTGACCATCTTAGCACTGTGTTTTGGACTTCCAGGCTCCATAACTGTGAGAAATAAATTTCTGTTGTTTATCAGCTACCCAATCTATAGTACTTCGTTATAGCAGCCCAAATGGACTGACACAATCAGAAACATATATGGTGGGAACTCAGGATTCAATCAGAGAAGAAGAGTGGATGTATACATTTCTATATTGTCTTATAGTGTATTATATATGATATACACAAAGGAATTTATCACAATAATTTGACTTTATGTAACTGGGGAGTCTCTGTAAGGCTGCTGTCTTCACATCTGATGATGGAACTTGTAAGTCTACAAGACAGGTAGGTGAGAAGGAAAGATAGATGTAAAGAAAGGGGGAGCAAGAACAAGCTGGACCCCACAAGCATAAATAAGGTGGAGCCCACAGGACAGACTGAAACCACATCAGTTCTTGTCTTAGACCTCGGTGGTGTGGGTGGCCTATAGAAGCTGGGCTTTTCTTCATGGAGCTAAACACCCATCCTGGTCTCAGGAGTCAAAGAAGCTGAAGGAGTATCTAGGAAAAGGTGAGGCAGTTTTGGTAGTGTCCACGGCCTCTAATACTTCCTAGATAAGTGACAACATGGTTGGGCTGCAAAATGGCTGCCACTTCATGTCTGCCCTCCATGTCTCCCACGAAAGTCTCCTGTGGCCCAACCTAACAAGAGAAACATACAGGAAAGGGAAACTTGAGAATTTAGTTCAGGCTAGCCATGTTGGTACATTACAAAGTTACCACAGTAAAAGAAATGATTATTATGTGTATAGCACTAGAATAAAATGGACAAAATGCTTTTGGCCAAAATAGAATGAACTCTTCATGAGATGAATTCAGATGCCTTCTGACTAACGTAACACACAGCCCTTCTTTTTAGGGGTCTTGCTGTCTCCCTGCACCTTTAGCAGGTATGAAGCCTAGGTCATATAGCCCTATTTCAGGGAGTTTGCTGCCTGTCTGTGTGTTGGCCTGGAGAGCATGGTGCTGGGCTTTTTTTGCTGCTGTTAACTAATATTCATGCTATCATTGACTCTGCTCTCATATTGCTTCCCTTTCTTCTTCCCTGATAAGTGATGTTTTAGTCCATGTATGCTACTATTACAAAATATCACAGATTAGATCATTTATTTTTAAACAATGTATTTTCTCACAGTTCTGGAGGCTGGGAAATCCAAGATCAAGGCACCAGTAGGAGTCAGTCCTCTCAAACTCTGCTGTGGCTGTGTATAATATCTAGTGAGGGCCTGTTCCATCTATGTCATCTTCTCATGGCATCCTCACATGGTGGAAGACAGAAAGGCGAGAGACAGCCCAACTCTCCCTCGGATCCCATCCATGAGGGCAGAGCCCTTGTGGTTCAGTCACTTCCTAAAGGCCCCACCTCTTGATACTGTTACACTGGGATTAAGTTTTAATGTGCATTTTGGCGAGAGACACAAACATTCAAACCAGAGCAATTCCCTTCTCAAATTTCCAAGTCTCAAAATTTTTTTTTCAAATTTTAAGTTCAGGTGTACATGTGCAGAATGTGCAGGGTTGTTACATAGGTAAATGTGTGCCATGGTGGTTTGCTGCATAGATCAACCCATCACCTAGGTATTAAGCCCAGCATCCATTAGTTATTCTTCCTGAGGCTCTCCCTCCCCCTAACCCCTACCCCAACAGGCCCCAATGTGTGTTGTTTCCCGCCATGTGTCTATATGTTCTCATCACTGAGCTCCCACTTATCAGTGAGAACATACAGTGTTTGTTTTTCTGTTCCTGCATTAGTTTGCTGGTGGATGGTCTTGCCTAGATATTGATGGCAGCTGACTGATCAGGGTGGTAGTTGCTGATGGCTGGAGTACCTGTGGCAGTTTCTTAAAATGAGAAAACAATGAAGTTTGCCACATAGATTGACTTTTCCTTTCACAAAAGATTTCTCTGTAGCATGCAGTGCTGTTTGATAGCATTTTACCCATCAAACTTCCTTCATTTTACCCTTAGAACTTCTTTCAAAATTGGAGTCAATCCTCTCAAACTCTGCTGCAACTTTGTCAATTAAGTTTACGGAATGTTCTAAATTCTTTCTTTTATTTCAACAATGTTCACAGCATCTTCATCAGGAGTAGGTTCTATCTCAAGAAACCAGTTTCTTTGTTCATTCATAAGGGGCAAGTCCTCACTAAGTGTGGTGGCTCATGCCTGTAATCCCAGCACTTTGGGAGGCCAAGGTGAGAGGATCACTTGAGCCCAGGAATTAGGACCAGCCTGAGCAACACAGTGAGAGCTGGTTTCTACCAAAAAAAAAAAAAAAAAAAAAAGAAAAGAAAAGAAAAGAAAAAGAAAAAAAGAAAGAAGCAGCAGTAAGTCCTCATCTGTTCAGGTTTTCTCATGAGATTGCATATCATCAGGTTGTAGTTCTCTTGCTATTTCCATCACATCTGCAGTTACTTTCTTCACTGAAGTCTTAAACCCCCCAAAGTCATTCATGAAGGTTTGAATCAACCTCTTCCAAACTCCTGTGAATGTTGAGAGTTTGATCTCCTCCCATGAATTATAATTCTTAATGGCATCTCGAATGGTGAATTCTTTCTACAACATTTTCAGTTTACTTTGCCCAGATTTATCAGAGGAATCACCGTCTATGGCAACTATAGCCTTATAAAATATATTTCTTAAATAGTAGACTTGAAAGCCAAAATTCCTGCTTGATCCATGGGCTACAGAATGGATGTGTTCACAAGCATGAAAACAACATTAAGCTTCTTGTACATCTTCATTAAGCTCCATGTATATGTGAAGATGTACACCAATGCTCTGGTCACCGAAGAGCAATGCACCAATGGTGCATTGTCAATGAGCAGTAATATTTTGAAAGAAATATTTTTTTTTTTCTGAGAAGTAGGTCTCAACAGTGGACTTAAAATAGTCAGTAAACAGAGATGCCATCATCCAGGCTTTGTTCTTTCATTTCTAGAGCACGAGCAGAGTAGATCTAGCATAATTCTTAAGGGCCCTAGGATTTTCAGAATGTCAAATGAGCATTGGCTTCAACTTAAAGTCATCAGCTGCATTAGCCCTTAGAACAAGAGAGTCAGCCTATCCTTTGAAGCTTTGAAGCCAGGCATCGACTTCTCCTCTCTAGCTATGAAAGTCCTAGATGTTATCTTCCAATATAAGGCTGTCTCATCTACATTGAAAATCTGTTGTTTAGTGTAGCCACCTTCATCAATGATGTTGGCTAGATCTTCTGGCTAACTAACTTACTGCAGCTTCCATATCAGCACTTGCTGATTCCCCTTGTACTTTTATATTTTGGAGACTGCTTCTTTCCTTAAACCTCATGAAGCAGCCTCTGCTAGCTTTAAACTTTTCTTCTGGCACTTCCTCATCTCTCTCAGCTTTCACAGAATTGAAAAGAGTTTGTGTTTTGCTCTTGATTAGGCTTCAGCTTAAAGGAATGTTGTGGCTGGTTTGATCTTCTGTCTCAACCACTCAAACTTTCTCCATATTGGCAAAAAGGCTGTTTTGCTTTTTTGTCATCTGTGTATTCAATGGAGTAGCATGTTTAATTTCTTTCAAGAGCTTTTCTGTTCTATTCACATCCTGGCTAACTATTTGGCATAAGAGGCCTACCTTTCAGCCTGCCTTGGCTTTTGACATACCTTCCTCACTAAGCTTGATCATTTCTAGCTTTTGATTTAAAGTGAGTCACATGTGACTGTTCCTTTCACTCAGCCACTTAAAGACCATCGTAGGGTTATTAACTGGCCTAATTTCAATATTGTTGTATCTCAGGGATCAGGGAGGCCTGAAGAGAAGGAGAGAGACAGGGTAATGACCAGTTTGTGGAGCAGTCAGGACACATACAACATTTATTAAGTTCACTGTCTTATATGGACACGGTTCAAGGTGCCCCAAAACAAATACAAAAGTAACATCAAAAAATCACTGATCATAGATCACCATAACAGATATAATAATAATAATAAAATTTGAAATCAATTGCAAGAATCACCAAAATGCGACAGAGACACCAAGTGAGCATGTTGTTGAAAAATGGTGCCAATAGACTTGTTTGATGCAGAGTTGCCACAAACTCAATTTGTAAAAACCACAGTCATTGTGAAGCACGATAAAGTGAAATGCAATAAAATGAGGTGTGCTTGTGCTTAAACATTGTAGATGCTCCATACTTTTCTTGATAAGTAAATACATTTTTTGAAACTTTTCTCAGACTTACCATGATATAACATGAGCTGATGGGAATGAATCCTTAACTCTTCTGCTCTAAACATAGAATAACATATGGCTAAAACTTCTTTAGGTATGAAGCTGAGTTTGAAATCAAGAAAGAAAGTCCCCCTAGTATTAGAATTAAAAAGGAAACTTCAAGTCAGAGTGCTAAGCAGAATCTTATGCCCAAACTGCTCATAGAATTGTTGCAATCAGATACAGGCCTTAAACACTGGAGTTGGTTCTACTAATTGTCTCCCTGAAAGGAGATTACAGGCTTCAGACTGTAGGATTAAAGCTAAAACAGCTATTTAGATAAATCCGGGAGTCATAAAGGGTTGGGCTGACTTTGAAATGGAGACTAAGGGAACTCTGCCCATCAGCCCAGTTAAGCAACAAGAAGGTTTATTAGTATCCCAGGATGATGAATGAGAAAATATCACCTGCAAGAAATAAAAAAAAACCAGTATGTGCCATGCCAAGATGGGGAGTCTGAAATCATGCTGACTATGTGGAAGGACTTTGAAGCCAGGAAATCAGCTAAAAAGGGATCCAATTCGTTTTTGTTGCTGTTTTGGTTTGGTTTGCTTTTCAGACCTGCTCCTTCTGTAAGGAATCCAGTTCTTTCATGCAAGTTGAGACAAAGAAAAAGTATCCTATAGGCTACTTTTCCACAGAGAACTCTCTTCTAATGAGTAGGTCATAGTCAAACATTGTAAATCATACCATAAAACAAATAACTACGTTTGAGACTCAGCAGATGAAAGAAATGGAAGCCAAGGCTTAAAAAAGTAGAATAACCTGACAGAAATATTTACAAAGTATGTTTAAAATATGCACAGGGGTGAAGGAAGGATTATAAACCATCAGGGAAGAAAATAACAATTAGAAATTTTTTTTTCCAAGACAGCTGATTAGAGGGTTTTAGCATGTCTCAGCCACTTGGAAACAGCAAGATAGTACATAAAGATCAACTGTGAGCTTTAATTCAAGAAGGAAAATCAGAATCCACTGGAATTGTGAAAGATACTCCAGATCCCAGGGAGGAGAACACTGGCCCCATGATGGTGTCCAGCTGATAAAAGTGAGTGAAGCCCCAGTAGGTGAGAGAGGCAGAGAGCCTCCCTCTGTAACTCACCCTTCCACTGGGGCTCCAAGCACCCCAGGCTGAGAAAGAAAACTTTGTTCCTCCCAAGCTCTGGAGCTAACTTGGGGAGAGGCTTGGAGATGCTATGAGGGAAAGACATCAGGAAAAGCTGCAGTCAATTTCCCAGACCCAGTGTTGAGAGGAGGATGCCATTTTTAATCTAGGCACATGCAAAGTCAGCCATTCTTTGGCATCCTGGCAGTGTGGCCACGCAGACATGTTTGTCTCAGGCCAGAGACTGAAGTGCTTGCTCTGGAGTGAGATAGGGGCCTCCACAGGCCAGAGTTGTGGAAAGTGCCTCACCACTAGGCCCTGGAATTGTGTTCTTCCCTGTCACAGGCCTGTGGCAGGAGGAGAGCTGCTACAGTTATGGCTTCTCCTCGGCAACAAGGCTTGCAGCCAGGACCAGCTCGGTAACCTGGAACCAGTCTGTGTGTGCCATTGCTGGGTACCCTATCCTGCTCCCCTGAGAGGATAGCAGCAGGGCTCTCTCCACTCCACCGCCAGGCAGAACTCCAGGCATTCAGAGCACACATTTGCCTGGACCAGCAGCCTGAGCCTCCCACCCTTCCTGGAGCAGCAGGGCTCTTTCCCCTCTATGCTCAGGCAGATCACCAGGCATTCAGAGGTCAAAAAGGACAAAGGTCATTACATAATGATAAAGGCTCAACAAGAAGACTTAACTATTCTAAATATATATGTACTCAACATTGGAGCACCCAGATTCATTTAGGAAAAAAAAAAAACTACTTCTAGTATATAAAAAGACTATAAAAAGACTTACACAGCCACACAGTAATAGTGGGGAACTTGAACACCCCACTAACAGCATTAGACAAATCATTGAGGCAGAAAACTAACAAATACATTCTGGACTTAAATTCAAAACTTGACCTATCTAATCTAATAGATATTGACAAAATACCCCCACCCATCAACCACAGAATATATATATTCTTCTCATCTATACATGAAACATTCTCCAAGGTTGACCACATGCTCTGCCATAAAGCAAGTCTCAATACATTTTTTAAAAATGGAAATAATACCAACCATACTCTCAGATCACAGTGGAATAAAAACAGAAATCAATACAAAGAAGATCTCTCAAAGCACACTAATACATGGAAATTAAACAGCTTGCTCCTGAGTGACTTTTGGGTAAACAAATTAAGGCAGAAATAAAAAATACCTTGAAATAAATGAAAACAGGTATACCCAAATCTCTGGGATGCAGCAAAAGCAGTCTTAAGAGGAAAGTTCATAGCACTAAACACTTACCTCAAAAAATTAGAAAGACCCCAAATTAATGATCTAACATACACCTTGAGGAGCTAGAAAAACAAGAACAAACTAACCCCAAGGCTAGCAGAAGAAGAGGAATAACTAAAAAAAAAGAGTAGAACTGAATGAAATTGAGACCCAAAAATTCACACAAAGAATCAATGAAATCAAAAGTTGATCCTTTGAAAGGATAAACAAAATCAATAGACTGCTTGCTAGATTAACAAAGAAAAAGAAAGATCCAAATCAGCACAATCAGAAATGACAAAGGCGACATTACAATTGAGCCTACAGAAATACAAAAGATTCTCAGAGACTACTATGAACTCCTCTATGCTCACAAACTAGAAGATCTAGAGGAAATTGATAAATTCCTGGAAACATACAACCTGCCAAGATTGAATTAGAAAGAAATTGAAACCCTGAACAGACCAATACTGAGTTTCATAGTTGAATCAGTAATAATAAAAAAAAAGACCTACCAACCGAACAAAGCACCAGAGCAGACAGATTCACGGACAAATACTGCTAGACGTACAAAGAAGAGCTGGTACTAATTCTACTGAAACTATTCCAAAAAATCAAGGAGGAAGGACTCCTTCCTAACTCATTGTATGAAGCCAACATCACCCTGAAACCAAAACCTGGCAGAGACACAGCAAAAAAAGAAGACTGCAGGCCAATATCCCTGATGAACATAGATACAGAAATCCTTAACGAAATGCTAGCAGACCAAATCCAGCAGCACATCAAAAAGTTAATTCACCACAATCAACTAGTCTTCATTCCTGGGATACAAGGCTGGTTCAACATATGCAAATCAAATGTGATTTACCACATAAACAGAATTAAAAACAAAAGCATTATGATTATTTCAATAGATACAGAAAAAGCCTTGGATAAAACCTAACATCCTTTACTGAAAAAAACCCTCAGCAAACTACCCATGAAAGGAACATATCTCAAGATAATAAGAGCCATCTATGACAAATGCACAGCCGACATCATGCTGAATGGGCAAAAGCTGGAAGCATTCCCCTTGAGAAGTGGAACAAGACAAGGATGCCTACTCTCACCACTCCTACTCAACATAGTATTGGAATTCCTTGCCAGAGCAATCGGAAGAGAAAAAAATCAAAAGCATCCAAATAGGAAAAGAAGAAGTGAAACTATCTCTTGTTGCTGACCATATGATTCTATACTTAGAAAGTCCCAAAGACTCTGCCAAAAGGCTCCTGGAACTGATAAATAACTTCAGTAAAGTTTCAGGATACAAAATCAACGTACAAATATCAGTAGCATTTCTATACACCAATATTGTTCAGGCTGAAAGCCAAATCAAGAACACAGTCCATTTATAATATCCACAAAAAAATAAAATACCTACGAATACATCTAACCAAGGAGGTAAAAGATCTCTACAAGAAGAACTGCAAAACACTGATGAAAGAAATCATAGATGACACAAACAAATGGAAAAATATTCCATACTCATAAATTGGTAGAATAAATACTATTAAAATGGCCACACTGCCGAAAGCAATCTACAGATTCAATATTCCTATCAAACTACCAATGTCATTTTTCACAGAATTAGAAAAAAATTCTAAAATTCATATGCAACAGAAAAGTGCCCAAATAGCCAAAGCAATCCTAAGCAAAAACAAAAACAAAAAGCCAAAGGAATCACATTACCTGACTTCAAACTATACTATAAGGTCACAGTAACCAAAACAGCATGGTACTGGTACAAAAACAGACACATAGACCAATGGAACAGAATAGAGACCCCAGAAATAAAGCCTCACACCTACAGCCATCTGATCTTTGACAAAGTTGACGAAAATAAGCAATGAGGAAAGGACTCCCTATTCAACAAATGATGCTAGGATAGCTGGCTAGCCATATGCGGAGGAATGAAACTATACCCCCACATTTCACCATATACAAAAATTAACTCAAGATAGAGTAAAGATTTAAATGTAAGACCTCAAACTGTAAGAATCTTAGAAGAAAACCTAGGAAACACCATTCTGGACATTGGCCTTGGGAAAGAATTTATAACTCAGTCCTCCAAGCAATTGCAACAAAACCAAAAATTGACAAGTAGGATGTAATTAAACCAAAGAGCTTCTATAGAGCAAAAGAAACTATTAACAGAGTAAACAGGCAACCAACAGAATGGGAGAAAATATTCACAAACTATGCATCAGACAAGGGTCTAATATCCAGAATCTATAAGGAATTTGAATAGTTCAATAAGCAAAAAACAAATAACCCTGGCCAGGCACAGTGTGTCACATTTGTAATCCTAGAAATTTGGGTGGCCAAGATGGGTGGATCTCTGAGCCCAGGAGTTTGAGACCAGGCTGGGCAACATGGCAAGACCCCTTCTCAACAAAAAATTCAAAAATTAACCAGGCATGGTGGTGTGTGCCTGTAGTCCCAGCTACTCAGATGGCTGAGGTATGAGAATTGCTTGAACCTGGGAGGTTGAGGCTGAGTGAGCCATGACCTGCACCACCGCACCCTGGCTTAGGTGACAAAGCAAGACCCTGTCTCAGACACAACAAAACAAAACCTATTAAAAAGTGAGAAAAGAACATGAACAGACACGTCTCAAAAGAAGACAAACAAGTGGCCAACAAACATGAAAAAATGCCCCACATCACTAATCATCAGAGAAATGCAAATCAAAACTACAATGAGATACCATTTCATGCCAATCAGAATGGCTATTATTAAAAAATGAACAAACAGCAAATGCTGGTGAGGCTTCAGAGAAAAGGGAGTGCTTATACACAGTTAGTGGAAGTCTAAATTAGTTCAGCCACTGTGGAAAACAGTTCGGAGATTTCTCAAAGAACTTAAAAGTACTGTTTGACCCAGCAATTCCATTACTGGGTATATATCGAAAAGAAAAATTGTTCTACCAAAAAGACACATATACTCATATGTTCATCACAGTACTATTCATAGTAGAAAAGACATGGAATCAACCTAGGTGCCCATCGATGGTAGATTGGATATAGAAAAATGTGATATATATATCTCAAATAATTATTAATAGTCTCTTTCACTCTTTTTCACTCAATTTGAGTAATAAGTTGTATGAATACCATAATTACTGGCTGATTGATTTATTGAATCAAAGTACCTAATTTGTGGTCTCCCTCTATTCCTGCTCATAAAATCTCATTGAGACTCCTGGTTTATTGGATTCCTCTTATTTTATTCTAATTTACAAACTGTCCCCAGACATCTTTTAGCCTTATTTCTTACCTAGCCAGTTTAGACTGAGCTCTTTGTTGAAAAGTACCCTATATTTCACGATTCCTCTTTTTTTCCTCTGCCTTACAACCTTTCAAATCTCTGTCTGAAATAATCCACTTGATTTCTTTGCTTCTTTACCTGAATTGATATATTTTGTGATTTTTCTTTAGCAGCAGAGTGAGTCGATGTCACTATGAATTCATTGTCTCCCATCTCAGCTCAGCCCTCAGGGCTTCCTGGTAATGCTCCCATGTGGTTCCTGTCTCTGAAATCCTGGCAAATCTCAAACATGACTCTGCCCTAGCACTGATCACACTGTATTGGGGTTTGGGTTTGTAAATCTGTTTATCACACTAAACAGAATTCCTTGGGGTTAGGGCCCTTCTCTTATTCATCTTTATTCCTCTAGCATCTAGCACATTTCCTAGCACATTGTAAGTGCTGGAAATAAGTGCATGAAAAATGAATGAATGAGGACTGGAATGAATAACAAGGCACTAATGCAAGAAGCATAAGTAAGAAAAAAGAAGTTAATTGCAATTTTCATATTGTGTGACAAGATTAACACCTGACATAAACTTTTCAAACTATGGCAAAAGAGACAAACATACATTTTGTTTCTTATTTATAAGGCATGTGAGACATAATAATAATTGAAAGTATAGATACATCAACATAGGATTTAACCGTATTTTTGTGCTTACATCTAAATGGCCTCATATGCCTCTATGATATCTGTTCTGAGGAGCCTAAATTACATTGAGACTCAAGGATATCTGAACATTTTGTCACTGGAGGTTGCTAGCTTATATATTCAAAATACACTGTCAGCCTTGTAAAATATATTCAGTTTTACTGAGTTGCTCTGCTTTCTACCTTAAGAAAATCTCTTTCCTACATTTCTAACCATGTGGGCCATTATGTGGAAGTACTCAGGCTAATCCTAATCCTAATTCTGCTTGTCCACTGTTCGTTTGCCCTATCCTACCTCTGGTGACTTTCCTGTTCTTAATTGTTTTCAAGCACTTGACCATTAGTAGTCTTAAATTCCTGGCCTCTCTCCTTACCACCAGTTATCTAAATTTCTAGATTATTCTGAATTTGCTATCCATGGGGCCTTTATCTCTTTGATAGAGATTAATTCTTGTCTGTGCAAATCCTAGTCATAGTCCAACTGAGGTATCTTATAGCAATCATCATCCTAAATATCCAGGAAATTCAACAGATTCAACAATATGCTTTTCAGTGACTATATTATTTGTCTGTGTCTAAAAATCTAAAAAAAAATAAGTACTACTACTTCACTATAATGTGTTTTCTCATTAGGATTTAGGGCAAACAATTGTCCAGCAACTCAAGAAGTGTGTTTTTTGTTGTGGTAATGTTAAGTGGTGACCATCACTGAGGAACAGCTTAAATTCACCAACTGAGGAGATTCTATTCCTAGATCCTACTATTCTGCCAGCAAGAAACATAAGCTGGAGAGAGAAGACTTGAAATTAGAGACTGCCAAGTAATCTTTGGCAATGATGTGGGCCACATCTAGGTGTACTGAGGAGAAGGGCCATATTTATATGAAATAATGCTCTTCTTACTCAAATGTCTGTGGTATTCTTCTGTGATTTAATATTAAATGTTTATTACTCAGTATCTAAAATGTGAGAGGAGGGTGATGTAGTGGAAAGAACCTTCAGAATGACCTGAGTTCTGATTCTGACATTTACTAGGTGTGTGACTTTTAGGAAGCCACCAACTTTCTCTCAGACTATGTCTTTATCTGTAAAATGGGAAAAATAATACTCACTTCACTGGCTTGCTAAGATAATAAATTTAAAAAGAAATTCAAAGTACCTGACAGAACATCTGGTACAAAATAGGCAATTCTTAAAACAAGTTTTCATTCAAGTTGTGATTCCAGTATTTTTTTTTTCTGTCTTCTTACTCATCCACATGTACTTGGTCTCAGCATTTCAAGTTGGAAAAGGAAGTTAAATGATTTTCATTTTAGTTTAAGAAATATGGAATTGGGCCGGTTTGCCAATAGGAGTAGGCTATTTAGATGAGTCTATTTGATTTCAGGATGATGTCCAGCCTCATCCTTCAGCAGCATGAGTACTGCTTGTTCTAGAAGTGTATTGCTGAAAGAGTGGGGTCATACAAAGTCAGGCGTGGGTATCTCAAGAAATTAATGCCAGGGCACAGTTTTGGAAACATGGTCATCCAGTAACATTTATTGGTATTCTGTGCAAAGAAACGTAACTAGACAATGTGAAGTTATGCAAAAGAACAGATCGAATAATATAATTTTATAGCATCAAAAATATTTATGTTTGGACTAGACTACCTAGATTTTAAACATTATGAAAGATCAGAGTCCAGTGCCTTCCTTGAAGCATCCAATGCCTTCATTTTGTGGATGAAGAAAGTGTGGCTTAGAGAAGTTAAGTAACTTGCTCAAGTTAACAAAGGCAGTTCTCTTTACTGATAATCCAGTACATTTGCCATGCAACTCTTCTGATGACACAATCTGGTCCTTGTAGAAATTTAAGAAGTTGTCCAAATTTTACATAAGGAAACTCAAAAAGATAATAA
Organism: Homo sapiens; assembly: GCF_000001405.40. Lineage (NCBI taxonomy): Eukaryota > Metazoa > Chordata > Mammalia > Primates > Hominidae > Homo > Homo sapiens. Next base: position 190,108,093 of record NC_000002.12, read on the forward strand.
ACTAATGCAATCATTTCTAGTTATATAAAGGTTGTTAAATTTATTATTGTAAAAAAATTCTGGTTTGTTGTTGTTATTTTTTGAAACAGAGTCTCACTCTGTCCCCAGGCTGGAGTGCAATGGTGCAATCTTGGCCCACTGCAACCTCCACCTCCCAGGTTCAAGTTATTTTCCTGCCTCAGCCTCTTGAGTAGCTGGGATTACAAGCATGCACCAACACGCCCGGCTAATTTTTGTATTTTTAGTAGAGATGGGGTTTTGCCATGTTGGCCAGGCTGGTCTCACACTCCTGACTTCAGGTGATCTGCCCGCCTCAGCCTCCCAAAATGCTGGGATTACAGGCGTCAGCCACTATGCCCGGCCCAAAATTTCTTATAAATGTTTGCAAAGACCGCAAGCTATTGTCTATGATTTGCCTGGGAATTATCCTTGGTGCTTAAATGGCAGATTCTCCCTGTAGAATATGGCTATCTCCTGAAAGAATGCTCAAGTGATTTAAATGACTGGATTCAGGGGCAATGAGTATGAGAAGGTCTCAAATAAGATCTTCATCTTGGCAGCCTGGATATGAAATCCATAATAAATCTCTAAGAGTGGTCTATTGGAATCAGAAGGAGAATGGGAGATTAAGAAGTTAGAATGGAAAGGAAGTGATAGAGCTGGTGGTAGAGGCTATTTTGCCTGTTTGCGGTTTTTTTTTTTTTTTTTTTAACTTCTGGAATTCTTAGTAAAATTCCATAAAGGCCTCATTTGAAGATATAGGAGAAAATATTTTCTCTAAAAAACCTTAAACAGAAGACTAACTTACAAAGAAAAGTCAAAGACTTCATAGGTTGGCAAAATTCTTGTGTGAGATTTCTGCTTTCTTTGGCTCTGATTACTTCATAGATGTTGGTTTATAATATTGTGGGAGAAATGAAGGAAGAATCTGTATTAATAAGAGATGTCTTCATAGTATCCTTGACTTAACTGTGATATTATATTTTCTACCTTTCAATTCTCATTGATTTTGCATATGTTATGCCAGAGCCAACGGAAAAGATAGGCATGTTGTAAGCTATAATTCCAACTCTAGGCAATCAAGAGTTAGAATTATAGGTCAACAAACTAGAAGTGAAAGAATTTGTGTTAATGAAGCATTTCAGCAGATGTAAACAGTATATCTAGGTTTCACCAGTCTGTGGGTCCAACATTTATTTATGATGTCAACATTACAATGCCTGCAGCCACCAACCTGCCTTTAGCCTCTATATTTTCTCAGCTTTTTTTTTTCTGACAGTGTCAGAAAGAGAACTGTCACACAGACACCTTCCTAATCAGACCTCCATGTTGCCCCCTCCGCTGACAGTGGCCTCATGCAATCCCTCCGCATGGGGTAGACAGTGTCTTTCAGAACTCCAGAACTCCAGCAGATCCTCTGCTGGGGATGGTGCTCCACCATATGCCTGCCTCTTGGGAGGGGGACTCTTGCCGATTTGGTCACTCTTCCTAAGCAGGAAGAGGACCTTCCCTCCACTCCTCAAGACCTAAATAATCATCAAGTGCAGAGAGAAGGAAATAATCCCCACTCACCTGCAAGCTAAGGTGTCTTGGTCGCTATTGCCTATCTCAGGATCTGCCTGTTTCTAAAGTCCTTAAAATAGTACTGTCCATTTTCTTCTAAAGAAACCTATAACTTCAGAGTGTGGACTTGCCCTGTGAGCCCTAGGGAAACAGGGCTCACATAACAAAATGAAATAATCCAACATCAGAAAATCTGGTTCACTTAGATATCCATGGTGCTACTATTAGGTGCCACAATTGAAGGTATGATTGGCCTAGGGCAGTAGCTTTCAAACTTTAGTATGCATCAGGATCACCTGGAATGTTTACAAAATAGAAATCCCTGAACCCCAGCTCCAGAGCTTCTGATTCAGTAGGTCTGGGGTAGGGTGAGAGAGTTTGTATTTTTAACAAGTTCCCAGATGACACTGATCCTGATGGGTCAAGAACCACATATTGAAAACACTAGTCCTGGTGTAGATGAGACCTAGAGAAAATCACGACAAAATGTAATAGTTCAACATCAGGATGTCTGGATTACTCAGTGAAACATGCTGCTTCGTAAGTGTCACATAGTGAGGGTATATTTAGCCAAGGAATGTAAAACTATATTGCAGTAAGTTGAAAACTACCTTTATGAAAACATTTCAGATAAAATATCACAGTATGAGATGGTGAATCATCTCAAAAACTGCCAAGCCTCCCCATTGCATCAACTGTATTCAAATTTTCACAGAGAATAAAGAACATTGTTTTCCAGGGCCATACAAAACAGTGGTCTTTGCATTCTATTGTAATACTATTTTCCCTTGTGTATCAGGAAGTGAATTAAGCATGTTTTTCTTTAAAGACTCTTTCCTAATAGCTAATCCTGGAGTTAGCCCAGATTCTGCTCAGATGTAAGGTGAAACCAGAGTTACAATAAAGAGAATAAATAATAATATTATTGAATAAATTCAGTTGTAGATAACAGAATGGTAAGAAAACTTAGCCATTTATTTCCTACTCTTACATAGGACAATTATGTCACTTCAATAACATCACTATTTATTATCACAGATTTACCTTGTCTCAGGAATGATCTAGAAGTTGTAACCAGTGATACATAGGAAGATAAAGTTGGAGAATGAAATGCTTCTGGCCATGTCTTATAGCTGTTAATGTATGCTGGCACTTTCCGATGCCGTGTTACCCATCTCTGAGAATGTCCTTCGTCTCTATTACACAGTCTAAGTCTACCATAAGGAGGAGACGAATAATGTAGGGCGCTGTCATTGTAGGGCGGAGAGCTTTCACTGTGCCCCAGGTGCTAATCTCAAAGCACTCAGAAGCTTAAAGACAGGGTGCAAGATCAGAACTATTTCTTTATGACTCTTAATCTTTCTAAAGGGAATCGGTAGAGAATTGGAAAGCAGTGATTCTAATTTTGTGCCAAGGGCAGGTGATTTACTCTTCTGGGAGAGCACAGAGCCCCCCCAGAGCACAGGGAAAGCCCTGACGCATACATGGGCATAGCAAGGGGATTGCTAGCAGCAAGGAGGTTACCAGTTGACAGAGGCATAGGATCTACCAGGTGCCCCAGATATCACATGAAAATGCCTACTTTGAAAACAAAACAAAACTTGTGTTGGAACATATCTGTTGCTTTGCTTCTTTCCACCCCGGAAATGAAATCAGATTCCTTCTCATGGCTGAGTCCCAATACTGGGACTCAGTAATCAAATTACTGACTGGTACATCATCTCAAATAGAAGACTGAGCCTTAGAGTGCCCAGTGTCCATTAGCCATCAAGTGATATTACATTAATAAACCTAAATAGAGGTATGATATTACACTGTAAAGGCATTGGGAGGATTTTTATTATCATTCTAACCTAATGAATATGCCAGCATAATCTCTTTCAACCTTAGATAAACTGAGCTAGGTATTTTGAGAGATTAAGTCTTCCAGGACCAGCCTAGGTTACCATTTAAGGCACTTATGCAGGCAATAATAAGCCTCCCTGCCTTAAAATTAGATAGATAGACAGACAGACAGAGAGACAGAGAAAGAAAGAGAGAGATGTCAAGAGGCTGAGTTCTCAGGATCTATATCCTGGGGTTGGGGGGGAAAGAAGCAGAGTTCATACCAGAATGTGCACATATACACACACACAAAACCTAAAAACAATTGTTTTTTGTGTTTGTTTTAAATTTTACACACATTATATACTTTGTTTCTGTTTATTATTTTATTCAACATCATGGTTTTTTTGTTTTGTTTTTTTGTTTGTTTGTCTTTGAGATGGAGTCTCGCTCTGTCGCCCAGGCTGGAGTGCAGTGGCACGATCTCAGCTCACTGCAAGCTCTGCCTCCTGGGTTCACGCCATTCTCCTGCCTCAGCCTCCTGAGTAGCTGGGACCACAGGCACCTGCCACCACACCCAGCTGATTTTTTGTGTTTTTAGTAGAGATGGGGTTTCACTGTGTTAGCCAGGATCAACATCATGTTTTAAAATTTTTTCATATTGCTAGATTTATAAAAAACTATTTTCTTCCCACTTCTGCATGAGAACGTGGTGTACCCCTCCATTTATATTGGCCTTATTTGTAACCTTTAATATAATTTTACATTTATTTATTGTTGATTTATGTAGGGAGACTTGTTAATATTTTTGTTACAGTTGTAAGTGATATCTTATTTTCTAATTGTCAGAAAGAGGAACACTATAGATTCTTATATGTTGATCTCATATTTACTTCTTATTTCTTTGTATTTACTTAGTTTCAGGCTTGTCTTTTGTTGGCCAGGACCTACAGTATTCTGTATCAAAAAGAAGTACCTGTCTTATTCCCAAATGCTGAATGTAAAGGGAATGCTTTTAAAGTGTTTCTATTAATATGATTTTTAATAGGTTTTTGATAGATAACTATCAAAGTAAGGGAATTCCCTTCCATTTTTAATTTTCTTATAAGCTTTTTATTATATGTAGTTGTTGAACATTATCAAATTCTTCTTCTACATCTGTTGAGTTGGTCAAATGACTTTCCTCCTTTAGATCTGGCCTTTCTGATTTTAACCATACTTGATCATGATGTGGTGTTATTGTTATTATTATTTATAGCATTTTGGATTCAGTTAATATTTTTAGGATTTTGCATCTATGCTTATATGTGAAATTGCCCATAATTTCGTTTCTTCTCTTATCTTTGTCAGGTTTAGTGTGAAGACTATACTAGCACTATAAAATGAATTGAGTAGCTTTCCCACTAATGGGGAACACTGTAAAACAGTCTAGACTTGGCCAATTTTAGCAGGTCTTTTTTTTTATTATTAAATAACTGGCCAGATTTTCTTAGTTCCATTAGTCTATTGAAGTTTCTTTCACCTTGGGAAATTTAGAAATTTAGAAATTTTATTTTTTTCTAAAACTCGTTTCTGTTTCATCAATTTTTTTTTCTAATTTACTAACTTAAAATTCAGGGTATTCTCTCATAATTTAAGAAAACCTGTAAGTCTTTCAGCTATTTTCACTTTTTTGTGCATTATATTGTTTATTCACACCTTCCTTCCTTTTTCTCTTGGTCAGCGTTTTCATTTAGTTTGAAGTCTTTTGAAATTTTCCTCATGATATTCTCCTTAATTTGCTATCTCTTTAATCAGTAACTGAGACAGGGTCAATCTAATACAATGGGCAAGAGTTTCAAAAAAGACACTCAACATATATTTATGTGTGTGTGTGTTAATATTTTTGTATGCATTCTTCAAAGTTTAACATAGTACTGCATTTCTTTAACAGTATGATCAGTTGAGCCCATTAATAGCGTTATAATTATTGCTGTCATCTTTTGGGTCATCATTTTACTCCAGACAGCATATTGTCTCAACTGCACTATGGATCTCTAGATTTCTACTTCAGAGCTTCTTTATCACCACTACCTGGCATACCTGCAAGAACCTCTCACCCTTATGACATATGGATAAACCAAGAAGTGCAGAGGAATTAAAACCCATGGATAACCGTTAATCAATGAAGTATAGGAGCTAGAAGATAAATATTCCTCTTTTCTATCCCAGGAGTAGACAATTCTGGAGTGCATTCTGCATGACTCCTCAGAAGTCCCTCCCTGGTGGATGGAGTCCTAGTTTGCCCACTATGGTAAATCAACTTGAAGCACCCATAAATTGGCTTTCCTTCCCTGTTTCACTCTTCCCAGTCCCCTACCCCTGTTCCTTGAGATACTTTTACAAAGTAATCTGCCTGCATACAAGACCTTGATTCAGGCTCTCTTTTTAAAGGAAACTAGGATAAGACACTGCTTTCTTCCTGGGTTTTGTTTCTTTTTTTCCTCTCTTACCATCTACTGGATAATCAATTTGTTTCTGTCATTCTGAAAGTTACTCTTATTTTACTTTTATTCTTCTGTTGGTTACTCTTAGGTTACTATACCACCTAAGAGTAGGGAAAATAGCTAAAGCTTATTGATATCTCAGTCTTTTCCGCAAACAAATCAATGAGCTTCACTGGTTCTTATCATACTTTGATCTATATCCATATACCCCAAGTTCCTGTTTGTGTCATTTAGCATTTTAATTCTGGATTCATAAAGATTGAATGGGTTTATTTGTAGTAATTTCTCATTTAGACAATAAGAAAGTCTAATTCTTTACTCATTCATACTTTTCATATCTCACTGCCTACTCCTGGATTCATTTCTCTTTTTCCTGGAGAATGGCCTATAATAGTTATTTCAAAAGGGATGTATAATACATTTTCTGAAATTTATTTCTCCTCACACTTAAATTATAGTTTAGCTAGAAAAGAAAGTGTTTTGTTTGTTTGTTTGTTTGTTTGTTTTTGAGACGGAGTCTCGCTCTGTTGCCCAGGCGGGAGTCCAGTGGCGCGATCTCGGCTCACTGCAAGCTTCACCTCCTGGATTCACGCCATTCTCCTGCCTCAGCCTTCCGAGTAGCTGGGACTACAGGCACCCGCCACCATGCCTGGCTAATTTTTTTGTACTTTTAGTAGAGACGGGGTTTCACCGTGTTAGCCAGGATGGTCTCGATCTCCTGACCTCTTGATCCACCCATCTCGGCCTCCCAAAGTGCTGGGATTACAGGCTTGAGCCACCGCGCCCAGCTGAAAAGAAAGTTTTTAAGAGTAAATGTATTTTCCTTCCAAACTTTGAAAATATAATTGTCTTCTAACCAGTGTTGCTATTCAAAAGTCTAATGCCTAATTTGTATTTTTTTAATGTGATCTTTTTGAAATTGTTACCTTCTTTTTGTCTCTGGAAGCTTTTAGAATTTTCTTTTAATCTTTGATATTGTTAAATTTTGTTGTAATTTGTCATCTTTATTTCAAAATGCTCATGTTCCTTAGAGATCTAATTGTTTTTCACCTTAGGATCATCTTTATTCCTTAGCATAATCTACTCCCTTGGTTAATGACATTTACCTGGAACAAAAGCCTAGGCTTTGGCTTATGGGGGGCAGGGGATGAGAGAGAGGGAGAGAGAGAGAAAGAGTGTGTGTGTGTGAGTGTGTGTGTGTGTGAGGGGGAGAGAGACAGAGAGAGAGAGACAGAGAGAGACAGAGAGAGAAGGAGAAGTAGAAAGGAGAGGGAAGGAGAGACAAGGCAAGAAGCATATATATATATATATATATATATATATATATATATATATATTTTTTTTTTTTTTTTTTTTTTTTTTTTTTTTTTTTGAGATGGAGTCTCGCTCTGTCGCCCAGGCTGGAGTGCAGTGGCGCAATCTCGGCTCACTGCAAGCTCCGCCTCCCGGGTTCACGCCATTCTCCTGCCTCAGCCTCCCAAGTAGCTGGGACTACAGGCGCCCGCCACTACGCCCGGCTAATTTTTTGTATTTTTAGTAGAGACGGGGTTTCACCGTTTTAGCTGGGATGGTCTCGATCTCCTGACCTCGTGATCCGCCCGCCTCGGCCTCCCAAAGTGCTGGGATTACAGGCGTGAGCCACCGCGCCCGGCCAAGAAGCATATATTTTAATCTGGATTCCATTATTTCCTATTTTCCCTTTCAAGGGTCTACTTCTCCCTTGGGATATTCTCAGTCCCTCCACTAGAGACACTGTTCATGTCTCAGAACAATGCCTTTCTTTGTGATGTCCTTTCCTGGTCAGAGAATGAGGTGAGGAATGGGAGAAATGGTCAGAGGCCTAATGGGCACTACCTCTTCTGACTTCTCACTCCAGCTAGATCCAGGCTCTATCCTATTTTCACATGGCTACGCCCAGTTGATACTCTTGCTTTCCGTCTTCCTGAGATGAAAGTAATGGGCAATGTTCTAGGAAGTTCATACTCATGCACTATATGCATGTGTATGTGTACGTGTTGATGCATACCAAATGTCCTGTTTTGCACAGCTATAATTTCTACGCAAACCTGCAAGCCCTTGTCAAACTTTCAACATTAAATAGAAGAGGTATATTCTCACTCCGGCCACAGCTCGACTGATTCTGATTGTACCTCCAGTATTGTGATATCACAGGAAAAAAGGGGAAAAATAACAATATGCCATTAGCACTCTTAGTCCATTTTGTGTTTATATTAAAAAATACCTGAGACCAAGTAATTTATAATGAACAGAAATTTATGGGCTCATGGTTCTGGAGGTGGGGAAGTTCAAGATCAAGGAACTGCATCTGGTGAGGGCCTTCTTGCTGTTATTCCCTGCCAGAAAGCAAAGGGGCAAGAGAGTGCATGTGAGAGAGTAAGAGATTGAACTCACAGCCTCAATCTCTTTTATAGTCATCATTTATCCATTCATGAGGGTGGAGCTCTCATAAACCTAAATGCTTCCCACTAGTCCCCATCTCCCAACACCGTAGCATTGGGGATTAAACTTCCAACACATGCCTTTTGGGGGATACAGTTAAAACTATAGCACATTTTCTACCTCAATCCATATCCCAGTTGTAGCCTGCTAGCCCTCCCCTCCATCCTCACCGCCATTTTCTGTCTACATTGGGAGTACTTTTTAATTCCTAAGGACCACTCACAGGGTTTGTTTTCACTGCTGAGCATGGCTCTGGGTTTTATAAATTTCCATTTCTCTCTTCTGGTGTGCCCAGAGTTGGGTGTGAGGCAGGAGCTGGCAGCCTGGTCTTAGTTTCCCATCTGGCCCAGAACTGGTTTTGATTTATTCTTAAACTCTTGTATGGCTATTCAACTTTCTAGGAATGTATTTAGGCAGATTCATACTTTTTCCCCAAGACCCATCACCCTACTCTACTAAATGAATTAAAAAACTAGCTTACTATGGAAATAATAGATCCAGCTGAAGAGAGGCAGTATAGCCTAGTGATTAATGGTATGAAGGTATGGTGTCAGATGGCCAGGGTTCACATCCCAGCTCATGAGACTCACTAATGGTATGACTTTGAATGAGTTACTTAATCTCTCTAGATTTCAGTTTTCTGATCTCTAAAATGTAAGTGGCTAATACAGATCTTTTCTCCTTGTTATTTTTCTTTACCAGCTAGGCTCTGTTGTGGACCTTCCATATCATGTAGGCAGCAGTCAGGTGGCAAGGTGTGGTGGAGCTGAAATATAGTGGCTTTCTTAAAGAGAAAAATAAAAAATTATAAAAGGCCTTGTGCAAGTAAGAACCCCTGAGACTGAAATCTTCATGAGCCTCACTGCAAATTTCCTAGGCTACAATGGGAATGAAAATAGATTCTAACTTAGTGTTATCCTATAATGTTATTGTGAAATATTTTTAATTAATATAGACCCTGGCAAATAGTAGTATACAATAGGTTAGCTTTCATTATTCTTGAAGGAAAAAAAAAGGTAAGTAGGGTTCTGTGTTTAAATTCATGTGGAAATGCTACACACAGTCTTTCATTCTTAGAGTTTCGCAATACATGTTAACATATTGTAATAGTAGCACAGTAATTTAAGCATGCAGATAATTTGTAGCTTCTTTACTTTGTAGTTGATCTGGTCTTCCAATGCCCATCACCCACTGCTTAGAAGAATGAAACAAAAACAATGCCCAATCCAATCTAAAGTTCTATCCAATATTTTAAATAATTCTTTTAGATAGCAATAAACTTCGCTTGCATAAAATACTATCTCTTATCTAGCCTCTGGCTCCCCGAAGAAAGCCAGATATATGAGGAGAGAAGTGTATGGCTTGTAGAATCTGAAGACATATGGGAAGACAGACTCTTTGGATCCACAATGAATGTGCTACACTCACTGTCTCCTTTCTAGGCTGGGAAGGTCCCCTTTTTGTTTGGTTGCTAACGTAGGCTGCTGGTACTTTTGGATTAGGCAAAGCTGGTTTTTTGAAAAGATCAACAAAATTGATAGACCACTAGCAAGACTAATAAAGAAGAAAAAAGAATCAAATAGATGCAATAAAAAATGATAAAGGGGATATCACCACCGATCCCACAGAAATACAAACTACCATCAGAGAGTACTGTAAACACCTCTACGCAAATAAACTAGAAAATCTAGATGAAATGGATAAATTCCTGGACACATACACCCTCCCAAGACTAAACCAGGAAAAAGTTGAATCTCTTACTAGACCAATAACAGGCTCTGAAATTGAGGCAATAATTAATAGCTTACCAACCAAAAAAAGTCCAAGACCAGACAGATTCACAGCCGAATTCTACCAGAGGTACAAGGAGGAGCTGGTACCATTCCTTCTGAAACTATTCCAATCAATAGAAAAAGAGGGAATCCTCCCTAACTCATTTAATGAGGCCAGCATCATCCTGATAGCAAAGCCTGGCAGAGACACAACAAAAAAAGAGAATTTTAGACCAATATCCCTGATGAACATCGATGCGAAAATCCTCAATAAAATACTGGCAAACCAAATCCAGCAGCACATCAAAAAGCTTATCCACCATGATCAAGTGGGCTTCATCCCTGGGATGCAAGGCTGGTTCAACATATGCAAATCAATAAACGTAATCCAGCATATAAACAGAACCAAAGACAAAAACCACATGATTATCTCAATAGATGCAGAAAAGGCCTGTGACAAAATTCAACAGCCCTTCATGCTAAAAACTCTCAATAAATTAGGTATTGATGGGACTTATCTCAAAATAATCAGAGCTATTTATGACAAACCCACAGCCAATATCATACTGAATGGGCAAAAACTGGAAGCATTCCCTTTGAAAACAGGCACAAGACAGGGATGCCCTTTCTCACCATTCCTATTCAACATACTGTTGGAAGTTCTGGCCAGGGCAATCAGGCAGGAGAAAGAAATAAAGGGTATTCAATTAGGAAAAGAGGAAGTCAAATTGTCCCTGTTTGCAGATGACAGGATTGTATATCTAGAAAACTCCATTGTCTCAGCCCGAAATCTCCTTAAGCTGATAGGCAACTTCAGCAAAGTCTCAGGATACAAAATCAATGTGCAAAAATCACAAGCATTCTTATACAGCAATAACAGACAAACAGAGAGCCAAATCATGAGTGAACTCCCATTCACGATTGCTTCAAAGAGAACACCAGGGTTCTTGGTCTTCATGCCAGTTTAGATAAAATGACACGGACACACATGGAGTGGTTTTAAGGAGCAGAAAGTTTAATAGGCAAGAAAGAAAAGAGAAGGCAGAAGGAAGAGGCTCCCCTATACAGAGATAGAGCGAGGCGGGCTCCAAAGCTGAAAGAGGGAACCCCGCGCTTAGGTAGTATCAGCCAGTTATAGGCGATGGCTGGAGGAGGCGGTGTCTGATTTGCATAGGGCTCAGGGGATTGGTTTGACTAGGCATGTCATTCACGTAGCCCCCAGAAAAAACTGGCCCTCCCACCTTAGTCTTTTAACACGCAAATGCAGGGCACTATGAGTTCTGCACACGTGGGGATACGTGGGGGTGGCCACGCTTCCAGGCACATGTGGGGGCAAGGGCAAGAGGACAACCGTGAGAATCGCTATGTTGGGTGGACCCAGTTTCTAACGGCTTGCATTTGCATATTAAAGGTTGCCAGCTAGGGTGTAAGAGCCAGGGTTTTCATGCTAGACAAGAGCTGCGAAAAAACCTTCCAATAACCCTTTTTTCCTCTCTATCTGCCTAAAATAATTTCTTATTAACTCCTACCACAGTTAGTGTTAACTCCTTGGCTCCCAGTAACAATCCCATGTGACATTCTGAAAAAAACAGATATTTGAAAGAAAAAATTGGCCAAAAAGATGAAGTGCAGCAAAGAAATGAAAAGTGGTAATGCTGGAAATGAAATGCAAATTGAACATAAATGGAGTTATAGGAGAAATAGTAGACTGAGGGAATGTTGACATTGTTGCCATGTGAAAGACCCTGGATATATAACCAGAGGAACTTTGTAAAGGCAGACTTATCAACACAAATGAGTAAAGTAGTTGTAATGGAAAAGATGAAGCTGTCTCAAAGCAGGGGTCCCCAACCCGAGGGCCGCGGACGGTACCAGTCCGTGGCCTGTTAGGAACCAGGCCACACAAGAGGAGGTGAGCAGCGGGCAAGTTTGTTTACAGCCTGAGCTCTACTTCCTGTCAGATCAGCTGCAGCATTAGATTCTCATACGAGGGCAAACCCTATTGTGAACTGCTTATGGGAGGGATCCAGGTTTCGCGCACCTTATGAGAATCTCCTGATCATCTGAGGTGTAAAAGTTTCATCCCGAAACTAACCACCCCACTGCCCTAATTTTTTATGGAAAAATTGTCTTCCGCGAAACCAGTCCCTGGTGCCAAAAAAGCTGGGGGGGGCCTGTCTCAGAGGAAGTGATGCTGGCAAGAAAACTTCACATTAAAGGCAGTCTTAGAGATATTTGATGACACTGAAAGCATAAAGGATAAAATTAATGCTGATACAAACTTAGAAAGGAGTATAACAATTTGCCAAGGCATAGAAAAGACACGGGCTCTATATTGTGTTACATGACAGGAGAAACAAGGCTGGAACCACTCAAACTACTCTCGATTATTTTTGAAGAAATAACTCACTTTAATTCCCTATGTTTTTGATGCTTTAAGTTGCAGTATGCTAACTTATTTGTTTTATAAATTTTTAATTTCCCTATATATTTATAATCAGCAGTAGGAAAAATTTTAAAGTTTTGACAGAATTTTTTGAAGTTGTAGAACAACTGTAATTTTTGCCTTTGATTATTAAGCTCTCTTGGCACAGTTTCAGGTAGCACAGTCATTTTTAAAGTCCCACACTTCCATGCAAAGCAGAGATTGCTTGGATGATAAAGGAATTTACCTTACAGGATTGTTGGGCAGATTAAAAGAAGTGGTGCATGTCAACACCAACTATGAGATCTGACATATAGTAGGTTCTTAATGAGTGTTCTCTATTTTATGTGACTATTACCAGCTGCTTATTCTTTTAGGAATTTGGGGGAGTTCGTGTGATTATGTATGACCTATTTTATAATTAAAATTTGATAGATTATTAATGTTGGAAATTTTTTTTAAAAGTGTATTCCAAACTAAAAATCTAAGTCTTTTTTTTTTTTTTTTTCTTGACAGGGCTTTGCAATGTCACCCAGGCTGGAGTGCAGTGGCATATCATGGCTCACTGCAGCCTTGACTTCTTAGGCTCAAGTGATCCTCCCACCCCAGCCTCCCAAGTAGCTGGGACTATAGGCATGTGCCACCACACCCAGCTAATTTTTTAATTTTTTGTAAGGACAGGGTCTCTCTATGTTGCCCAGGCTGGTCATAAACACCTGGGCTCAAGTGATCCTCCTGCCTTGGCCTCCCAAAGTGCTGGGATTACAAGTGTGAGCCACCAGACCTGGTTTATTATTTTCTTCAGAACAATTTTTGATAGCTATCTACCCCCTCCAAAATATTCACAAAACTTATGAGTCATTCACAGACTGGAAACACCACATTTATGGGCACTTCCATTAGAAAAGTATTCAAATGAATTATAAATATGATATTGTTTCATTTCCTTATTTTATTTTCATCTATCTCTGGGTTTTCCCTTTAAAAATAAAAAGTGCCAAGTTCCTTTAAAATATGCTTTTGGGGATTAAGGAATTAATATTACATGAAGCTCATTTGGGAAACTACTAATGGAAGTACCATAATGATTATAGACAGGTAGACTTTTCAAAGGAATCAGTTCAGCAAGACTGATTCTTATGTGGGAATTTTAAGACCCAAGAAAAGCAATGGAAACAGAGCAGTAAGTATGTACTTATTACTTAGAGGTTGGTCCTATATTGAAACTAGAGGCTTAAAATACCCATGGGATTTTTTGTTTTTGTGTTTTTTTGTTTGTTTGTTTGTTTTAACTAAGTGATGATGTGTTTTGCTGATGAATGAGAACTTCTTTGAGGGGGAATTTGTGAGTTTTAATGCTCTTGAAAAACAATGTATCTGTTAATGGAATCTAGGCAGGTTACTGAACTGATTGATAAACTGAGTATGGCTTGTATCAGCTTTTGTCTTAAGGGAGAAGTAAAAATCATTTAACCAATAAAATGGCAAAGTACTTGTCGATAGATATTTTAAAAGAAGCAGTTGAGCTAAGACTGCAACCTAGTGGTGAGTTTGTGACTGAAAAACAGTGACTGCATTCATTCTAGGCCATTGATAAAAGGGGCATTTGAATTCAAGATGAGAATGAACAGGCAGAAGTCCATTGTGCCCTTGTGAAGACTGATCTGAAATCATGGTGGAGCAGGGCTAAAAATGGGGAAAGATGGCTGTTACCAGATCCTTGAGGCTGTTAATTTTATGTATTTTCTACTTTATCTGAAGCTTCTGCTCACTTATGTCAGTTTCTTTGTCTCTTTAAAGATGAAGACCTTGTCAAAACCACTGTAGTTTATCTTCTCACACTGGTTGCACTAACTTAGTTTATTTGTTTAATCAGTTTCACTTTAGGGCAGACTTCTGTTTCCTTTTATTTTTGTAATTAAGGCAATTCAGATCATACTCTTCTTTAATTCCAGTAAGTTTTTCATGTGAGAGGATTCCAAGATGATTCTAAATGTCATTCTCATTCTTTGACTCCACAATAGTGCTTGGCTTTTTACTGTGTAATGTAGCCTTTATTCCTTACAAATGCTTATTAGAAACTATATTTATTACAGTTTCACATTGCATTGTATTAATATGGAAAATATTATTGACATGGTAATGCTCAGACTTTGTTCTTTTAATGATGATCACCTCTCTCTCTCTCTTTTTTTTTTTTTGTTAGAGACAAGGACTTGCTCTGTCACCCAGGCTGGAGTGCAGTGGCATGATCATAGCTCACTGCAACCTTGAACACTTGGGCTCATGCTATCTTCCTACTTTGGCCTCCTGAGTAGCTGGGACTGTAGGCATATACCACCATGCCTGGCTAATTAAAAAAATTTTTTTGTAGAGACAAGATCTCGCTATGTTGCCCAAGCTGGTCTTAAACTCCTGGCCTCAAGTGATCCTCCTGCCCCAGCCTCCCAAAGCACTGGGATTACTAGCATGAGCCCCCCACACACACACTAAATATAGAATATTCAAGAAATATAGCATAAGAACTTGAATATTTTAATTGTTATATAACTTATTCTGAGTTTTTAAATCTGCTTGTATCTTTTCTCATTTTCTCATCAATCCTTTTTAAGCATATATTTAAGAATTTGTTCAGTGTTTCTTGATTTTTATTGTCAAATCATCCTTGTTCTTAGCACTCTGACTTTTAGTTAGCTTATATTAACTTTCTTTTATATAGTTTTATTTTACCTGCAAAACTACCTGTGATTTGTTTGTTTCCCCCTTCCAAATCTTTTTCCCTGGCAAAGCTTGATATTTAGGTGTGAAGGTTAGTTATTCTGTGTGCTGTAAAATCAGTCCTGTGCTTTCATAAGGATTATCAAAAGATAATATTATTAGCTTTTAAATTCTTTCTCCACTTCAGGTCTTCCACATTTAATTTAAGTGCATTTTCAGAAAATGTCAAATTATCTCAAATGTATATGCTTCTAAGTTTTGAAGATGTGAATCCATAGCTTCTCTGATCGCTCAGGATTGCAAGACTCACCACAGTAAATTGACTACAGAAAGCCCACCCCTGTCAGTGAAATGATGCTGTGATGGCTAATTTTAGGAGCCAACTAACCTGGATTAAGAAAAATCTAGAAACCTGGTAAAGCATTATTTTTGGTTGTGTCTAAGAGGGTGTTTCCAGAGGAGATTAGCATGTGAGTCTGAGCGCATGTAGGTGGAGAAGATCCACCCTCAATGTGAGTGGCCACCATCCAATCAGCTGGGGACCTCATGAGAACAAAAACAGAAATGATGGATGTATTGATCTATCTCCTGGAGCTGGGATACACTAATATCCTACCTTGGACAACAGAACTCCAGGGATTTCTGGACTCAAGTCCTTTGGACTCAAGGATTTACACCAGCAGCCTCCCTGATTCTTAGGTCTTCTGCCTCATACTGAGAGTTATATGATCGGCTGCCCTGGTTCTGAGGCTTTCAGACTATGAGCCATGCTACTGGCATCTCAGGGTCTCCAGATTGCAGATGGCCTGTCATGGGACTTCTCAACCACCATAATAGTGTGAGCCAATTCCCCTGATAAGTCCCCTCTCATACCTATGCAGTCGTGTCATCCAACAACAGATGTATGTTCTGAGAAATGCATTGTTAGGCAATTTCATTGCTTTGCAAACATGAGAGATTATACTTACACAAACCTAGATGGTGTAGCCTACTGCACACCTAGGCTATATGGTATAGCCTATAACTTCTAGTCTACAAACCTGTACAGCATGTTACTGTACTGAATGCTACAGGCAACTGTAATGCAGTGGTAAATATGTGTATATCTAAATATACAAAAGGTACTGGAAAACTACAGCATAAAAGATTTTAAAATGGCAGGAGCGCAAGGCCAGCCTGGGCAAAATAGTAAAACCCTATCTCTACAAAAAATAAGGAAATTAGCCAGGCATGGTCATGCACACCTGTAGCCCCAGCTACTCAGAAGTCTGAGATGGGAGGATCACTTGAGCCCAACAGTTCGAGGCTGCAGTAAGCTATGATCAAACCACTGCACTCTAGCCTGGGTGACAGAGACCCTGTCTTTTAGCTTACTGTAACTTTCTTACTTTATAAAAACTTTTTAATTTTTAAAGATTTTTCTACCCTTTTGTAATAATTCTTAGCTTAAAACATAAACACATTATACATCTGTACAAAAATATTTTTTCTTTATGCCCTTACTCTATAAACTTTTTTCTATTTTTTAAATTTTTTATTTTTTACTTTTAAACTTTTTTGTTAAAATCGAAGACAAAAACACACACATTAGCCTAGGCCTACACAGGGTCAGAATCATCAATATCATTGTTTCCACCTCCATATCTTGTCCTCCTGGAAGTTTTTGAGGGGCAGTAACACACATGGAGCTGTCATCTCCTCTGACAACATGCCTGCTTCTGGAATACCTCCTGAAGGACCTTCTGGAGGCTGTTTTACAATTAACGTCTTTTTTTTGGAAGTATAAGGAGTACACTCTAAAGTAATGATAAAAAGTCAGTGCAGTAAGTTTGTTTACACCAGCACCACCACAATCATGTGAGTTGTGCATTGTACTATGACATCAGCATGGCTGTAATGATATCCCTAGGTGATAGGAATGTTTCAGCTGCAGATAATCATATGGGACCCTCATATACACAGTTCGTTGTTGACTGAAACATAGTTATATGGTGCATGACTGTGTCTATGTCCAATTGGTTCTGTCTCAGTGGAGAACGCTGATACAGATGCCCTGTATGTAATTCAGAGATTATATCCAGTGATATAATCCAATGAAACTGTTTTGGATCTCCATTGGTCTTTAGAACAGCTTTCTACAAAGTATAGATTTTTTCACTTGATTTTGGATTTGATCTAAATGAGGCAAACCAAGGAACCAGCCACTCTGTAATCAATGCAAAAATCAGTGCTGGAATAGTGAATTGTCTGAAGTGCTTTCTCTTTTCCTACAATTCCGTTTATGAAAAACAGTCCGGGATCTTTGTTGGGAAATCTGTCACATAAAGATCATGATGGATAACATGGCACTCTAAAGGCAGTTTCTAGTGAAATAAAAGTTAATGGAGCAAAATGCCTTTCTATAGAGTCATGAATGTAATACTGAGGGGAACAAAATAAATGCTTCCCCACCATACTTAATTAGGTTTTGGAAGGAAGAGGCAAATTAATAAAACAGCACGGCAATTCCCAGAGGTATAGATTTTCAAGATATTACTTATATAAAGCTATAAAAATGCATGGCATGAGATATTTTTAATGACCCTTAAAACCTTTTTAAAAACAATAATGTTTTTAATAATTCAGATTTATTAATTATCACAGAAGTAATGTATTAAAAATGAGAGTATAGGCTGGGCACAGTGGCTCACACCTGTAATCCCAGCACTTTGGGAGGCCGAGGTGGGCAGATCATGAGGTCAGAAGATTGAGACCATCCTGGCCAACATGATGAAATCCTGTCTCTACTAAAATACAAAAAATTAGCCGGGCGTGGTGGAGCACACCTGTAGTCCCAGCTACTCAGGAGGCTGAGGCAGGGGAATTGCTTGAATCCTGGAGGTGGAGGTTGCAGTGAGCTGAGATTGAGCCACTGCAGTCCAGCCTGGCAACAGAGCGAGATTCCATCTCAAAAAAAAAAAAAAAAAAAAAAAAAAAAAAAAAAAGGTGTATATTTTGTGCTAGAAATTATCACTATATAGGTACAATTTTCTTAACAGAAAATTCTGTTGTGTAAATATGTATAAGATAGCATAGTTACCTGAAAGTATCCTTTACAATATCCTTGAGAAGAAAAAAAGCTTAATCCTTGAGTAGTGCCATGATTCTCATATGAGATAAACCTACAGAGTTTATTTTTCCGGTCTTAAAGAGCTTTACCTCACATTCTAAATACATATAAAAGAAATGTAAGAAATGCTGTTTTATTTTATGTTCTATAAAAATAAAATCTTCAGTTGGTGATTAATTTACTTATCTACAATAACTCTTGAATACATAATTGTTTAAGAGCACATTATTAGGACTTTAGGTAAGAAAACATAAAGCAAATAGATTTTGACCCACAAAATTACAGATTTGGGGAGGGGCAAGAGTGACAGGAAAAAGTAAAAAAAAAACAAAGTGAAGATGGTTTTTACTTAAATGATAGGCATAAATAAAAGACATCAAAAGACTTGTCAAGTTCTCTCTCTCTCTCAACTTTGTAAGTTTAAATAGACTATAGATGTTGGGAAAGAAGATGTACACACACACTCTCCTCAAGTTTCTGATGTACTTGGCTAAGGACAGACAAGCTTAGTGGAAGCCAGCTGGCCACATCTTCAGCATATTTCAGTACAGCTTCCTTTGGCCACCAGAGCACCCAAAGAGGGATGTAGAGCTGTAAACAAGGTGTAGCACTGTTAAGGGATATATAGCTGCACAAAGTAAGTCTTTCCAGATCTGGAAAGCTTAATTTTGTCTTATACTTTTGTATACCAGGGATGTAAATTACTATTTGGAAAGAACTTAAGCAATATGTGCCCTGACTGGAAAAAAAAAAAAAAATAAGACATCTGGAACTCTGGTTCTCAAGCCAAACTTGGCAGAAAGCTTATTCAGAGGAAAAAGCAGAATGAATGCTCATATATCGGTGAATGGTGTCCTGACTCTAGCTTTCTAGGATCTTGGGAAGCCCATTTCCACCAACACAGTTTTTCCTCCTCCAACCGCACATCCCCAAATGACCACCAAGAGCAATAAGTAAATGGGATATTGAGAAGTGAATAATGGATTTATGGATAATATATCTTGGACAAGCTGAGTACTTGTGCATATTTGAGACACATGGCAAATACTAAAGCTGTCTAAATGTAGCTTTTATACTATTACAAAATAAAAATATATGTGAAAAAACACCATAAAGTTTATTAGCCACTAAAGATCTGTAGGAGGAAATTATATTCAAGTATTATATTAGAACATGAATAATGTGTTAATCTAAATCTGAGTCAAACCATACCAAGAAGGCAATGTTTACTACCATTGAAGTTATTTTTTAAATTGAGTTATATTTTTATAAACTTATATCAACATCATTTTTGTTTCTTATCTTTTTTATTTCTCCCTTCTCTGGCCATTCCACCAACAGTCCCAGATGGCCTTAAACAGTGTTTCCCAAAGCATGGTACACACAGTGCTGATGGTACCTGAGATGGTTTTATGTGGTTCAAGGAGGTTTTACTTTTACAGTCTCTATATATAATAAAACAATATAATGAAACCCATCAACCTGAGAATTCACAGATATAAAATTTAAATCACAGATATAAAATTTAAATAAGTTTATACAAAATAAAATGAGTCAATTTAATAAAGTAATAAGGAAATAACAGTAGGGGTGGCACTCAGAGGGGAAAAATGTGAGGGTGGCACTCAATGTGGAAATACAGCTATATATTTTAAGAAAAGAAACTGATTCTTAGTATGAAATAGCATTGTGTCTTTTTCTTCTAATGGAGCTAATGTCTCTTTAAGGAAGTGAAATAGCAGTTTTCATTGGGGTTTTAGAGAACATTATTTAATGGGTCCACACGCCCTATCAAACTGGTAAAAATCCAATGAGAGGTCACAAAAGAAACCAATCCATCTAAAGAACCTAAAAATGCTTGGAATATACAGAGGGTGTTTTTACAGGGAATCTGGACATGGTAATAACCAAGAGTGTTTAGAGCTAAAGATGGATTAATCAGAAATCTATCCACAAGGCACAAAAGGCAGCCAAACTCTACCCAGCTAATCTATGGTCTTGACACAGGGCAAGTGCTACAGGAACTGTAACGGAGAAGGAGAGGGAGTGCAATGGTACCGGAGTCTAGTGCTGGTTCTGCCAAAGATTAGTCATATGCCCCAGGGCAGCCCATTTAAATCAGGATATCTTAAACACACAAATAATACATGTTTATGATGTACGTCTTCAATGAATGCTTAATAAATATATTGCTTTTCCTCCTACCCAGAATTGCCATCATAGATTTTTGGTTTGTTTACATGCTTCTTTGCATGTGTTTATGTTCATAAAATTGATGTAACACGTATTATACAAAACAAAACAAACAACAAAACCCTCAATGTAGAAATGTATAAAGAAGAAAAGTCTCTAATAGTATAAAAACCTAAACTTAAGAGCTATGTATCCTTATAGGATTTCCATGTTGCATATCCCCCTTAAGGGGATGCCAGTCAATTGATTATCATAGAAGACTATGAATGATGTCTCCTTGCACTTCAGAAAACACCTACATATGGTAGCTCTGTTTATGAACCTGGAATATTTTTTAATGATATGACGTAAGCATATATGTGTATACCTGTGTTTACCACAATTGAAATTAGGTTGTACATAACATTCTACAACTGGCATATATTTCAGTTTCTTAGAATTCAGCACATGTACATCAACTGGCATATATTTGGCTTCTGTACAAATCAGTACATGTATATCTGCCTCATTTTTTAATAGCTGTAGAGTACTCCATTTACTGATGCCTCATAATTTAATTAATTCCTTATTTATGGATGTCTGGATTATGTCTAAACTTTTTCTATAAAAGTGTGGTTGCAACCATGAAAAGTTATGCTGGAAGATTTCAATTAAAAAATTGGACCCATAAATTATTTGTGTAATTAAAATTTATTCACAGACAAAATATAAATGATTTTGTGAATATCTTTGTAAAATATTTGATAGTCAGAATCACTCCCATCCCTCAACATACTTATTTTTAAAAAACAAATAAATACTTGCCATGTGCCCTGATTATGTTATGTTCTTTAATAGAGCAGTCCATTTTAATTGGTTGGGTTTTTCCTTTTTCAAAATAACCAGCTCACAGGTGTCCACACAATACTGAAAAATGAAAGTATTTTCTAAGGTGATGAGGGGGAAAGTAATTAATGTGGGCATAGTATAGTCTAATGTTGTTCTCGGTGGGTTGCAGCATCTGTTAGAGAAGAAAACAGAGGCAATAATATTAGCAAGTAACCAAACCAGACAAGTGGAGAGGTAGAGAGATGTGAGTCTTGTGTAAGTCACCATGATCAGAAGATCCTATAGCTAGCAGGACCTTCAGAATACCTACATGAATAATCTCACAAAGATAGACCTATCTCTAAAGAGAACTGGCTGTAGGTACAACTGTGGACCTGGTGAGACAGGCCTTCTCTGTCCTTCTTCCTCTGAGTGCCTCTCCTCCTTTTAAGAGATCCCTTCCCATCCAGCCCAGGATATTTTTCTATCTTGTGGTTACTTGGTTTACAGAGGCCCTCTTCTATTTTACTATGTTTATTCATTCTTGTAAACTGGGCTGGATTTGGGGCCTGAAGATGTAGTATGTTACAACAGGAATAGACTTCTAGTCCAATTTTTCATATTAGAGATGAACAAACTGAAACCAGGGCAGGCTAAGTGACCCTATCACAGATCACACAGAGAGATTTTATAAACTATTTTATAACTAGTACTCTATCATTCATTCCAGCTATTTTTCTCACCCATCTACTGAAATTCCTTCTCAGTTTCTCAAAGAAGGAGTATAAGAATTGATGACTAGGTCTTTGTGTCTCTAAGGCATTTGAATTTTAACTGGGGAAAAGGCCTTGACCTGGAAATTTTCTAATACTGCAATTGAAAGTTAGATGTTGGGAACAAATAAGGAGGAAGACACATTGGAGACAGAGAACATCAAATCCTAGTCTTTTCATTCATCAGGCCAGCCATATTCAAACGTATCATTTTAGTTAGATACAAGTTTCTAATTTAGTAGATACATACAGTAGTTGCAATGCAAAAAAATTTTAAAAAGCTAAATCCTGCTAGTTTTCTTCTCTTACCCCTGCAGTATGGTGGAATATAGGTGTTGTTGGTAAGATTCAACTACCTCATGTAAATGTTTTAGGATAATACTGTATTGATGATCAAATGTACAGAGAGATTAAAATAAAGCCTCCTGAGGATGTAATATCTATAGAAAATGACTGGCTTGAGAAGGACCTGGATCTCGCTAGCTATCAGTTTATTCCTATGCTAAATAGTTCTGCACAAGTTTATCATAAGGTACAAACAGCGGTAGATCAACAGAGAAAGAGAATAAGCAAATCAGTGCCAGAATACGAAAATGTATATAATGGATTTTTAGGGAAAACTCATTGTTTCTTTAAATCTACCCCTACCCTACACTGGCTTCTCTAAATGTTAGGTATTTGCTATATTTGTTGTATAAATGTGACACTAAATGTAAATGCTCAGATAGATATGATCATTTTGCTGTAAGGGGTCCATGGCCAGAGACCAGAGTGAAGGCTGTGAAATTATAAGAAATATATGTATTGGTCTCTGCCCCCATTCCTTGTAACAGGGCTCCTGAAATCCTTGTAATTTCCTGAGTGATAGGGATGCTAGAAGAATCTTTTGTTCTAATATTTGGTCTTTGACCCTGGTTCCTGACACAGCGATCCTAAATATCCCTTGTAGTTTCCAGGGTGATAGAAGCATCTTTTGTTCTAATGGGGCAACTCTTAGTGGGCACCTAGATGGGGAATGATCACCAGAAAGACTAAGCCATAGTTCTAAGGTTGGAGCTTTCACTCTTCTATTCCCCATTCTCAGGAAAGGGAAGAGAGGTTGGAAATGGAGTTAATAATTGATTATACCTACGTGATGAAACCTTCATAAAAATCCCTGAACTATGGGGTTTGGGGAGTTGCTTCTGGACAGCAGAATGGATAGTGGAGGTTCCTGGAGGTTGAAGTGGCTTGAGAGGGTATGGGAGCTCCATGTGCCTTTCCACATACCTTCCTTTATGCATCTCTTCCATCTGGCTCTTTGTATCCTTTCTTTATAATAAATGAGTAGAGGTAAATAAAGTGTTTCCCCAAGTTCTGTGAGCTGCTCCAGCAAATTAATAGAATTCAAGGTGGGGGTCATTGGAAGTCCAATTTATAGCCAGCTGATCAGGCCACAGCCTGGGGTTTGCAGTCGGCATCTGAAGTTGGGCAGTCTTGTAGGATCAAACCTGTGGGATCTGATACTATCTCCTGTGGGATAGTATCAGAATTAAACTGAATTAGAGCTGGTGTCTGCCACAGAATCTGCCAGAAAATTGCTTGGTATGTAGAGGAAAAAAATATCCACACATCTGATGTCAGAGGTGTTGAGTGACTGTGAAAGTAGAGGTAGGAAAAACACTCGGGTTTTTCTATATCACAGCAGTCTCATATATAGAAAACCTTAAAGACTCCACCAAAAAAAAATTTGCACTAAAAAATAAGTTATTTTGCAGGATACAGAATCAACATATAGATAATTATAGCATTTCTTTATACTAACAACGAGCTATCTGAAAAAAATCCAGAAAACCAATTTAAAATAGCTACCAAAAAAATAGGAAGAAATTTAACCAAAGAGGTGAAAGAACTGTACACCGAAAGCTATAAAACATTTATGAAATAAATTGAAGACACAGAAAGATATCTTGTGTTCATGGATTAGGAGAACTGATATTGTTAAATGTCCATATTACAAAGCGATCTACAGGTTCAACATAATCCCTATCAAAATTCCAATGACAATTTTCACAGAAATAGAAAAAATAATACTAAAATTTGTATGGAACCACAAGAGACCCTGAATAGCGAATGCAATCTTGAGCAAAAAGAACAAAGCTGGAGGCATCACACTGTCTGATTTCAAAATATAAGGCAAGGCTACAGTAATCAAAACAGCATGGTACTGACATTAAAAACAGACACACAGAATAGAGAGCCCAGAAATAAATCCACGCTTTTACAGTTAATTTATTTTTGGCAAAGATGTCAAGCATATACAATGGGAGAAAGAACAATCTCTTCAATAAATAGTGTAGGGAAAACTGAATATCCACATGCAGAAGAATGAAATCAGACCCTTATATCACACCATATAAAAAATCAACTCAAAATAGATGAAACACACTTAAACATAAGACCTGAAACTGTAAAACTACTAGGAAAAAACACAGGGGGAAAGCTCTATGACATTACTTTGGGGGATGTTTTTTTTGGAGATGACTCCAAAAGCACAAGCAACAAAAGCAAAAATAAACAAATGAGATTACATCAAACTAAAAAGCTCTGCACATAAAGGAAATAATCAACAGAGTGAAAAGACAACTTACAGAATGGGTGAAGATATTTGCAAACCATGCATCTGATAAGGGGTCAATATCTAAAATATATAAGCAACTCAAACAATTCAATAGCAAGAAAGCAAATAAGCCAATTTAAAAATGTGCAAAAGGCCTGTAATCCCAGCACTTTGGGAGGCCAAGGTGGGCGGATCATGAGGTCAGGAGATAGAGACCATCCTGGCTAACACAGTGAAACCCCGTCTCTACTAAAAATACAAAAAAAATTAGCCGGGCGTGGTGGCGGGCGCCTGTAGTGCCAGCTACTCGGGATGCTGAGGCAGGAGAATAGCGTGAACCCAGGAGGCGGAGCTTGCAGTGGGCCGAGATCACGCCACTGCACTCCAGCCTGGGAGACAGAGCGAGACTCTGCCAAAAAAAAAAAAAAAAAAAAAAAAAAAAGTGCAAAAGAACCTGAATAGATATTTCTCAAAAAAACACATATAAATGACCAAACAGGTATATGAAAAAAACATGCTCAACATCATTAATCATCAGGGAAATTCAAATTAAAACTCTAATAAGATATCACCTGACACCTATTAGGATGGCTATTATCAAAAAGATGAATAAGTGTGGAAAGTAAAGGAACTGTTATATACGGTTGCTGGGAATGTAAGTTAGTGTGAAAAGCAGTATGAAGGTTCCTCAAAAAACAGATCTACCATATGATCCAGCAAAGGAAAGTATGTTGGTGGGATATCTGCACCCCTATGTTCATTGAGCACTGTTCACAATAACCAAGATATGGATTCAACCTAAGTGTTCATCAACAGATGAATGGATGCTATTCAGCCTTAAAAAAGGGAGTCTTGCCATTTGCAATCACATGGATAAACCTTGAAGATATTATGTTAAGTGAAATAAGCCAGGCACAGAAACACAAAAACTACATGATCTCACTTAAATGTGGACTCTAGGAGAGTTGAACTCATAGAAGCAGAGAGCAGAATGGTGACTGACTGGGTCTGGGGTTGTAGAAAGTGGGTATTGAGGAAATGTTGGTCAAGGATACAAAATTTCGGTTATGAGAAATAAATTCAAGAGATTTCTTGTACATTATGGTGATTGTATTTAATGAAATGTATTATACACTTGAAATTTGC
This sequence comes from Homo sapiens, assembly GCF_000001405.40. NCBI lineage: Eukaryota > Metazoa > Chordata > Mammalia > Primates > Hominidae > Homo > Homo sapiens. The sequence goes on from NC_000002.12 coordinate 190,133,968, forward strand.
TTAGAGAGTAGATTTTAGGTGTTTTCGTCACAAATACATGAGGTAATACATATGTTAATTAGCTTACTTTAGCCATTCCACAATATATACATACTTCAAAACATTATGTTGTATACCATAAATATATATATTTTGTGTGAATTTTTAAAAAATAGTTGTAGCATTAGGACTGATTAGTGAGAGTGTACAAATGAAACCCATGAGCTAAAAACAGAATTAAAAGACATGGTAAATAGGAAAGGTGTTTGAACTTATATGGGCTCTCGTTCATTGAAAATATAAAATACTACTGTTAAAGGTGAACCCTGCTAGAAATTGATGTTACTCCTGGGACCAGGGATGCAATAGTTTTATTAAATGATGCTTTGTGGGATATAGCTTTAAAATAAACTATACAAATTGAGAAAGGATTAACATAGAACTGGTTGGTTTCAGTTTATCAATTATTGGTATTTTATTAAATGCTCTTAAAAATGTATTTATTACCAAAGATGTTGAATGATTAAAAATATATTTATAACATGGGTATCTTTTAGTTTAATACTTAATGTCATAAGGTTATTATAACCATTACATCTTATAATTATTTACAGAGAAGCCAGTAATAAAACCTTTAATATTTTTAGAAAATTCTTAAATTTTAAATGGCATAGTGAATTAGGATGAATTTAAAAATAAGAAGCTTATTTCCTATTCCCAGATCTCCAATGGTTATTTAAGTCTCTGCAGGGAAGTTAACTTTAAATGTGTGTGTTTTAATTTATCCTTCTGTTAAGTTAAATTAGATCTGTTTTCTTAATCTGCATTTTCCCAAGGGTGCATCTTACTGTATTACTATTCTATATTGTTAAATACTGAAGTTGCTTACAGTTGTTTATAAATGACTATGAACAGTGATAAGTATCAGTGTGCATAAATATTTTTCTTTATTTGGAGTATTTATTATATATTCCTATAAGTAGAATAATTGATATTATAACTCTTCAAAGCTATGGGATCATTTAAATTTCAGGAACTTTCAGGATTTAAAATTTTAACAGGGTCTTCACTGAAGGCATCTTATTTACTATTCATTTGTCACCACTTTAATAATCAAAAACATTTTAAACAACTTTTTTATGTTAGTATTTGGATTACTAAAAGGTGAATTTGTTATCTATTTCGGCATGAATAATTTTAGGGTGATTGAAAATGAGGTAGATTTTTTTCCCAGTAACTTCTCAGTCACATTTTCTCCCTCCTACCTACTAGGCCAGATGCACTGGATGTAGTAAGTAAGAACTGAGTTCCAGTCTCAGCTAGCATTTCCCTTTGTTCTTGCTACTTAAGGTGTGGAACGTGGTTTTTAAAATCAGTATCATGGGAGCTTGTTTGAAATGTAGAATCTCAGCCTTCATCCTATACCTATTCAATAAGAATCTGCATTTTTAAGGATCTCTGCGTGATTTATATGCACACTAAATTTTGAAAAACTCTGCTTTATGCAACTTTCAGCAGTTCACTGAATCTCTCTCCTCCTTGGTTTCTCTTCAGTCAAATGATGGGGTTGGCCAAATAATGTGTAGAAATTTTAAAACTGGAAGGAACTCATAATAAGGATTATTGGTTTAGAGCATGGGTTCTGAAACCAGTGTTGTCTTGAGTTTGAGTCCCAGCTCTACGGCTTACCGTGTTACCTTGGGCAGATCATATAGCATCCCTGTGCTCCAGTTTCCTCATTTGAAAAATAGGGATTATAATGGTATCTATTTCAAGAAGTTGTGATATTTAAATGTAATAGATGTAAAGTATGTAGATTAGTGCTTGGCACAAAATAAGCACTATACAAACATGAACTCTTCATGATTTAAGATTCTTGATTGACTAGCATTCTAGAACACATGAAGATGCCAATTTACTTGAAAGATACCAGTTGGGGCATTCTCATTATTAGTATGAGTTTGAAGGACTAAAGAAAGTGCCATGGAGGAAGTGGGAATTTGGAACAGTTTTATGGGATAACTAAATTTGAGACTGATTAGAAACAAAAGCATTAGGGGCATTCCAGGTGAAACAAAAATTCCTGGCATGTAGTAGACACCGATGTATTTATTTGGTGTCTTCCTTCTAAGGAACCAGCAAATATATGGGTGTCTACTACATGTGAACAAATAAATATATGGGTGTCTACTATGTGCCAGGAATTTTGAGGAAGGGATAGAGTGGCTAGAATCAGAAAGTTTGTTAGGCAGCTAAGGAGCTAAGATTGAATCCTCTTAATTCCAAACTTAAAAATGTTAGCTTTAACTGCCAGGTCTGTCCCACAGACCCTGGCCCAGCAATGGATGAAAGGAGTACTCAGACACAGGTATGCAGTGTAAGAGCAGCTAGGTGACTGCCTGGCACTAGCAGCCCAAGAGTGAGCAGTCTTGATAAGCTGGAGCTGCTTGCTTTCATTCAGCATAGACAAAATGCCAAAAGCCTGGAGCAAACACAATCTGCAGGTAATTAACATTATTGTTTCCCATTTTAGGGAGCAGTCATGCACGCAGATGATCAAAGGTTGGTTTCTGGACAACATAAGTAAACAAGCCTGTTTGAGATAAATTCCCCTACACTTCCTTGTACCTACTCTTTGCCCTCTGCCTCAGGGTCAGAGAACAGCTGCCTTCAGCTATTCTCCCCCAAAGGTATGCAGAGCCAGAGCCTTCTGACCTTTCAGAAGGCCTGTTTCTTTACCTATAGTTTCTCCCACCACTCTGACCAATCTCCCACATTTAACTGTGAGAAATAGAGAAATATTCTTTTCTGGCAAATAGAATAAAGTAAATACAGAAAAGCATTAGTAGATGGAATGGGTTAGTAGAAAAGAAAGCAAAAGGATAAGAACCAAGATTTGGTTATTAGATTTTGGAGAATATGTACTGCAGGAAGCAATTATGACTCTAAGATTTTAAGTCTGAAGGACCAGGAATGTGCTTTTGGCAAAAATGGGAATATGGTAAAAGCTCCTTTGAGGAAAAGATTGCTTTTGGAAGTGTTGAAGGTAGTACATCCAGTAAATGTGTCGACGTAGCAGAATGCACTTCATTCAGAACAGGGACAATCATACTTTTACCTTTTATCACATTACTAGAATCAAACTTTTAAAATTGTCATATTATGTCATCCATATCATCAATAAGCTAGGCAATCCAGCTTTGCTTTATCCTAATAATGTCAATTTTGTGCAGAAAATGGTTGAGTCTATAAAAATTTGAACTCCAAATTTTTGATAAGCAGTAAGAAAATATAAAACAAAGGAAAACTTTAAAATTCTGGAATGATTATATCTTTGTGTCCTTTATATAGTTCAAATTCTCAAATTCTGTCTACCTAAATATTTTTTAAATGAATTAAATTGAATGGTTTGCAGTATTGGCTTTTTGTGAACCAAAAAAAGAACTTGAAAGACAGTAAGTTTCAGCTCTATTATTTCATTATCCTGGTCCCTGGATAACATTTATACTCAGCCTGAAATAAATTAAGAACAAATGAAATATGTAGCTTTCAGACTTCTCCAAAGCACTCCTAGACCTAGATGACAAAGGTCTTCATCTTTTTGTCCAGGAAATAGCCTAGCATGGTTTACTGTCCCTGAGACTATTCGCCATCATAAATAATATTTACCAGAGTCTTTTGCCTTTAAACTACACAGGAGCAGAAAAACTGATCGGAGGGTGGCATGTGTGTTATAATACTGATTATTGGGTGAAAAGTGCATTTGTGAGCAAATGTGGTGCTGCCTAGCAACTGCTTCTAGGCAGAGTGGCTGGGAGCCAGCTGTTGTCATCATTCAGGAGCTATCAGCCTATTTCTACATACTTTATATCTGTTTTGGATTATTTGGATTCCAGTTGTAAGGTACAGTTTTTCTGAGCAACTCCTAAGGCAGTACTAAATATTTTGCTTTTTAGTGATTGACACACCAAACCCTTACTTTCTACCCATCTCTGAATGTAAAAAATACACAGCTTTTTAACTATAATGGAATATATGTCTGAAGTTGGGTACTTTCGTATTTTGAAAAACCATTGACATCCATTCCTTTTAGGCCTAAACTCTGGCACATTCTTAAGTGGTCTAGGATTACACCCAGGTTTCTACCTACTACTGAGAATGTAAGAGGTGGTATGAAACATGCTTCAGAAACTTTTAACTCATCTTCTGAAAAATTCATTCCTGGCCTTCTTTGTGTAGTTACTACTTTCACTACTGATCATGATTTATTTTCTTGCCCCTGACCCTTGCAGCAGGATAGAGCTAAGTTAACAGAAGTGAAGCAGTAGATGGTAGAGTAACTAGAGGTTATGCCAGAACTTGATGAGGAGTAGATAGGCCATATTAGTGGAGTAGAAGTCCCTCCAGGGAGAAGAGTGCTCACAAAAATTGAAGGAGTATACAGTAAGTACTATAGCCTAATACTGTTTGAGTACTTCCCGATACTCCTAGGCAGTTCAGCTGCTCTAATTCTGTCCAAGCTTCTTGTTCACACAGTCACTAAATACTTAAGTGTACACTTGCATTCAGTCAACAATGCATTCATCCTTTTATCCCCATGGCTGCTGAGAAGTCTCATCCACTCTCCTTGCTCATTTTCTTACAGCTGTCCAGTCTCCTAACTCATTCCTATTTATCTGCAAACCCACTTCCTCTGTGCCCTCAACCTTTTAACAGGGCACTCCATCACATCTTTTAAAATTGAAACCCCAAGGAGCTTACTTCATTTTCAGTTCCCTCCAACAGAGCCTGTTCTTTGTCCATACCTCATAAGCCAAAGCCAGGAGATAGGTTTTTATCATCTTTAGCTCCCTATACCACTTCCAGGCCATTTTCACGAGAAGACCCTCTTCATTTGGGAGACAATATAGGACTTAAGAGCATAGGATTTGGACGTAGACCCTTATTTGGGGATGTTAACCTTTATGAGCCTCAATTTCCACATCTGAAAGGAAGGATAAGAATATCATTTGGCAAAGTTGTTATGAGGATTAAATTTATGCATTCTTTTCACAAGCCTTTGTGGATTACTATGTGCTAGGCACTTTTTAAAGTACTCAACAAAACAAATAATTCCTACTCTCATGAAGCTTGTAGTTTCATGAGGGGGAATAAAGTCTTCTTTAAACAAGTAAATACATAAACACAATGATGAAATCTGATATGAAAGAAAGTATATCAAGTGTTTAATTGGAAGTAAAATTTAGATGGTGGTGAGCTGGTTAGGAGAAAGGTTTGGTTAGGAGGTGACATTTAAAGTTACAGTAGAAGGATAAGTAGGATTTAGGCAAAGGAGCAAAGGATAGAGGGCATTACAGAAATAAGGCAGCTTGGCACTTTCTAGAGACTGAGAAAAGGCCATTATGAAAGGGAGAGGTGTTACAGAGTGCAGTCAGAGATGTAGGATGGGGCAGAATTTATAGGACCTGAATATGAAGGCTATATTAGTCCATTCTCACACTGCTGTGAAGAAATACCCAAGGCTGAGTAATTTATAAAGGAAAGAGGTTTAATTCACTCACTGTTCTGCAGGGCTGGGAGGCCTCAGGACACCTACAATCATGGCAGAAGGGGAAGCAAACACATTGTTCTTTGCATGGTGGCGGCAAGGAGTAGTGCTAAGCAAAGAGGGAAAAGCTCCTTATAAAACCATCAGATCTCATGAGAACTCACTATCACAAAAACAGCAGCATAGGGGTAACTACCTCCATGATTCAATTACCTCCCACAACATGTGGAGGTTATGGGAACTACAATTCAAGATGACATTTGGGTGCAGACACAGCCAAACCATATCATTCCTCCCCCGGCCCCTCCCAAATCTCATGTCGTCACATTTCAAAACACAATCATGCCTTCCCAACAGTGCCCCAATATCTTAACTCATTCTATCATTAACCCAAATGTCCAAGTCCAAAGTCTCATCTGAGACAAGGCAAGTCCCTTCCATCTATGAGCCTGTAAAATCAAAAGCAAGTTAGTTACTTCCTAGATACTATGGGGGTACAGGCATTGGGTAAATACACCTATCCAAAATGGGAGAAATTGGCCAAAATGAAGGGGCTACAGACCCCATGCAAGTCTGAAATCCGATGGGTCAGTCAGATCTTAAAGCTCTAAAATGATCTCCTTTGACTCCAGGTCTCACATCCAGGTCACACTGATATAAGAGGTGAGTTCCCATGGTCTTGGTTAGCTCTACCCCTGTGGCTTTGCAGGTTATACTCCCCTCCTGGCTGCTTTCATGGGCTGCTGTTGGGTGTCTGTGGCTTTTCCAGATACACGGTGCAAGCTCTCTGTGGATCTACCATTCTGGGGTCTAGAGGACAGTGGTCCTCTTCTCACAGCTCCACTAGGCAGTGCCCCAGTGGGATCTCAGTGTGGGGGCTCCCACACCACATTTCCCTTCTGCACTGCCCTAGGAGAGGTTCTCCACAAGGGCTCCATTCCTGCAGCACACTACTGCTTGGACATCCAGGCATCTTCTGAAATCTAGGCAGAGGTTCCCAAACCTCAGTCCTTGACTTCTGTGCACCTGCAGGCTCAACACCATGTGGAAGCTGCCAAGGCTTGGAGCTTGCACCCTCTGAAGCCATGGCCACACTGTACCTTGGCCCCTTTTAGCCACAGCTGGGACACAGGGCACCAAGTCCTGAGGCTGCATACAGCAGGGAGGCCCTGGACCCGGCCCATGAAACCATTTTTTCCTCCTAGGCCTCCAGGCCTGTGATGGGAGGGGCTGCTGTGAAGGTCTCTGACATAGCCTGGAGACATTTTTCCTATTGTCTTGGGAATCAACATTTGGCTCCTCATTACCTATGCAAATTTCTGCAACGGGCTTAAATTTCTGCCCAGAAAATGGGTTTTTCTTTTCTATCACATTGTCAGGCTGCAAATTTTCCAAACGTTTGTGTTCTGCTTCTTCTTGAACACTTTACCACTTAGAAATTTCTTCTGCCAGGTACCCTACGTCATCTCTCCCAAGTTCAAAGTTCTGCAGATCTCTAGGGCAGGGGAAAAATGCCACCTGTCTCTTTGCTAAAGCATAGCAAGTGTGACTTTTACTCCAATTCCCAACAAGTTTCTTATCTCCCTCTGAGACCACCTCAGCCTGGACTTCATTGTCCATATCACTATCAGTATTTTGGTCAAGGCCATTCAACAAGTCTCTAGGAAGTTCCAAACATTCCCACATCTTCCTGTCTTCTGAGCCTCCCAAGTCTCTGGGAAGCTCCAAACTTTTCCTTATTTTCCTGTCTTCTTTGGAACCCTCCAAACTGTTCCAACCTCTGCCTGTTATGCAGTTTCAAAGTCGCTTCCACATTTTTAGGTATCCTTATAGCAGCACTCCACTCTACTGGTACCAGTTTACTATATTAGTCTCTTCTCACACTGCTGTGAAAAAATACCTGAGACTGGGTAATTTATAAAGAAAAGAGGTTTAATTGACTCACAATTCTGCAGGGCTGGGGAGGCCTCAGGAAACTTACAGTCATGGTGGAAGGAGAAGCAAACACATCCTTCTTCATATGGTGGCAGCAAGGAGCACTGCTGAGCAAAGAGGGAAAAGCCCCGTGTAAAACCATCAGATCTCATGAGAACTCATTCACTATCAAGAAAACAGCAGCATGGGGGTAACCACCCCCATGATTCAGTTACCTCCCACAAGGTCTCTCCCTTGACATGTAGGGATTATGGGAACTACAATGCAAGATCACACTTGGGTGGGGACACAGCCAAACAATATCAAAGGAGTTTTACTGTTATTGAGCAAAGGGGGCTTGCTGCCCAATGTGCTAGAAGCCAATATTATGATACCCGGTTTTTGAGAGAAGCTTTATATTGCAAGTTGACTCACAAGAGACACAAGTCAAGCTGAAATCTTTCTCCTCGTGCTGACTTTAAGGCAGTAATTTTATTTAAAAAGGCTTAGCGGGAGGATTCTGGGATTAGCAGGTGATTGGCGGAAGGAAAGGTGAGGTCTGGAAAGTCCTCAGGCATGTGCAGTTACCTCTTCATGCTACTTCGTGGGTCCCATGTGCATATTCAAAAATGAGTTAGTATGAAACATGCAGTGGAAATTCAGGCTGTGATGTCAGCAGGCTTGTTTTGTGCAGACTCCAGTCGGTCATATTGGTTCCAACTGATTTCAGCCAGCTTCATGATCTTACAAATGGAGGGAATTTCAGTGTTTCAGCAAGTTGTTTCTCTTATCTGCCATCCTGCAAACTCAAGAATTTCTGTTAGTTATGGTGTCTTTAACTCTTTGTGGCACAGTTTCATTACTTCCATTTAAAATGTCATTAGACACAATGATTTTAAGTAAAGGTATAATATCATTTATGCAATTAAAAGATCTCTGAGGACAGTGCTTGGAACACATTACTTACTTGGTAAATGAAGTTATATTCACATGGGCCTTGCTCTCCAATATTTATGAGGTATAATGTATCTGGGTCACAGTTTTGCTCTCTACCCCAAACTCTTGCCACCACTCTTTGATTAGCTCAGCCAGTGTTCCCACTTCAGAACTCCTTGACATCCACAATTCCAAGGGGCCACTCTTTGGAGCTTCTCTGGACCAGAGGCTTCCCTATCTGTGAAATCTTATATGCCAGTAAACTTCTAGGCCTCCACAGTGGTAAGAAATGAGGATGAAAAGAAAGCCAAGTTGTGAAGGGTTGCTTTGAGGCTAACAAACTGGTACTTTTGATACCAGCGGGCTGGGGGAGGTCCCCAAATGCTGGTGGGACCTTGACTGCAGCCACTGTGCAGGCTCTTGATACCATCGCAAGAGTGAATTCAAGGACAAGTCAGAAAATAGTGAAGGTTACAGAGATTAATTGCAAAGGGAAAAGTACACCCTCAATAAAAGGCAGTGTGGGTGTCCTCAAGAGAGTCACCCACAAGGGGGTTTGGGGCTGCTACCTTTATGGGTTTCCTTAACCAAGGGGTGGAATATTCATGAAAATTCCTGGAAACAGGTGCAGATTTCTGAGAACTGCAGTACTACCCATTTTTATACTAAATATGGATGTTCTTGGAACTGTCATGGCACTGGGGGGCGGGGGTGTGTGATTTAGTATGTTAATGACCATATAATAAGGTCCTATTTGTGAAACCTAGGTAAAATCCAGTGCCATTTTGGGTCCAGTCAGTCTTAGCCAGCTTGGTCCACACCTTGTTTTTCAGGGTTTTATCAGCCCATAGTCTCTAGTCATGTGTAACTGCTGCCTGGAGTTTTTTTTAATTCTCTTGCAACCACCCTGTATTATTCCTGTCAAACTTTATCCTGTAGGAAAAAAAAAAAAAAAAAGCAACACTGAACTTTATAGTTCCCTAAATACCATGGAACATGCCGTTCCCTGTGCTTGAAATGTCCCCTCTTTCCAGGATCACCTTCAAGCTCCTAGTCATCCTGTAGATCTAGCTTGGCTCTCATCACTTCTAGGAAGCCTTCCTTGGCAAATGAAAGTAGTTAATCACATTACACCTTGTGTATAGCTCTTGGTGTTCTTGTGCCTTATCATCATATGTTTATGTTTTTGGCTCCCTGATTTGAACTCTTTGAAAGCGAGAACTTCTATCCATATTATTGTGTTCTCAGTGTCTGACCTAAAGGATTTCTTCAAGAGTTTTTGAGTTCTCCTAGAAATACCATTTGACCCAGCCATCCCATTACTGGGTATATACCCAAAGGACTATAAATCATGCTGCTATAAAGACACATGCACATGTATGTTTATTGCGGCATTATTCACAATAGCAAAGACTTGGAACCAAGCCAAATGTCCAACAATGATAGACTGGATTAAGAAAATGTGGCACATATACACCATGGAATACTATGCAGCCATAAAAAATGATGAGTTCATGTCCTTTGTAGGGACATGGATGAAATTGGAAATCATCATTCTCAGTAAACTATCGCAAGAACAAAAAACCAAACACCGCATATTCTCACTCATAGGTGGGAACTGAACAATGAGATCACATGGACACAGGAAGGGGAATATCACACTCTGGGGACTGTGGTGGGGTGGGGGGAGGGGGGAGGGATAGTATTGGGAGATATACCTAATGGTGGATGACGAGTTAGTGGGTGCAGCACACCAGCATGGCACATGTATACATATGTAACTAACCTGCACAATGTGCACATGTACCCTAAAACTTAAAGTATAATAAAAGAAAAGAAAAGAAAAAAAATATTAATAAAATTATAACTTAATAAAAAAACAATTAACAAAAAGGCTCTAACAGAAAAAAAAAAAAGAGTTTTTGAGTTCTCAAGTCCCACTAAAAAGAAAGTACCCTAATAAAAAGTTGGCAAATTGGCTGTAAACAATTGGCAATTTCTCTGTATCATAATCTAAACCACGTTACTTTGCTGAAGTTTATTCAGATATCTTTGCTCTAAAACTTGGCACCAAATTCTAAGAAAATATTCTATTTTATTCATTTTAATTATTTGATTCAAATATAAAAATATGTTAAAAAACACATAGAAATCTCATTCCTCTATTTGCATTTCCACCCTTTTCTCTCTAGTTGCTATAGTTTAACGTTTGTATTCATGTATTTTTTATCCTCCCAGTATTTCTTTATGCAAATATAAATGCATCCTTTTCCCTCCTGTCTCATAAAAGTAGTCTAGAATACACACTGTTTTATTCCTTGCTTTTGTTTTAACATAAAAATTTATTCTGGGCCGGGCATGGTGGCTCACGCCTGTAATCCCAGAACTTTGGGAGGGTGAGGTGGGCAGATCACCTGAGGTCAGGAGTTCGAGACCAGCCTGACTAACATGGTAAAACCTCATCTCTATTAAAAATACAAAAATTAGCCAGGCACGGTGGCACACCCCTGTAATCCCAGCTACTTGGGAGGCTGAGGCAGGAGAATCACTTGAACCCGGGAGGTGGAGGTTGCAGTGAGCTGATATCACTGCATTGCACTCCACTCCTGGACAACAAGAGTGAAACTGTCTCAAAAAAAAAATTATTCTGGAAAGGCCAGGCATGGTGGGTCACATCTGCAATCCATCCCAGCACTTTGAGAGGCTAAGATGGGAGAATTGCTTGAGCCCAGGAGTTCAAGACCAGCCTGGGCAATATAGTGAGACTTCATCTCTACAAAAAAAGTTTAAAAATTAGCCAGACGTGGTAGCCCACGTCTGTAGTCCCAGCTACTCAGGAGGCTGACATGGAAGAATCACTTGAGCCCAGGACATGCAGGTTGCAGTAAGCAGAGATCACATGACAGAGTGAGACCTTGTTCCAGAGATGTTTCCAAGTCAGTAGTAGATAGAACTCTTCCTTTTTCTTTTTTGCAGATGCATAGTTTTCTATTGTATAGATACACTGTGATTTATTCAACCAGTTCCCTACTGCTGGATACTTGTGTTCTAATTTTTTGCTTTATGAACAAAAAAATTGCAGTTGATTTTACAACTATCATATTAGCACAGATAATATCTATATAATATACAGTCATGCACTGCATAATAATGTTTTGGTCAATGACCGACTGCATATACTATGGCCATCCCATAAGATTATAATACCATATTTTTACTGTACCTTTTCTGTGTTTAGGTACACAATTACTTAGTGTTATAATTGCCTGTGGTATTCAGTACAGTCACATGTGGTACAGGTTTGTAGCCTAGGAGCAATAGGCTATATCTTACTGCCTGAGTTTCTAACTAGGTTTGTGTAGATACACTCTGTGAGTTCACACAATGACTGAATCTCCTAATAATACATTTCTCAGAACGAATTTCTGTTATTAAGCAACTCATGATTCTCTCTCTGTATATATAGTGGGTGTAATATATATATGTATATGTATGTGTGTATATATAAAAAGAAATATATATATAACTATATATATATATATAAAGAGATTCCTAGAAATAAATCAAAGGTAAATGCATCTGAAATTTTAGTATATATTTCCAGAAACCTCTTCCTGATGGTTATTCCATTTTTCTTTTTTTTTTTACATTTTTATTTTTATTTTTTATTTTTCCATAAGTTATTGGGGTACAGCTGGTATTTGGTTACATGAATAAGTTCTTTAGTGGTGATTTGTAAGATTTTGGTGCACCCATCACCCGAGCAGTATACACTGTACCGTATTTGTAGTCTTTTATCCCTCACCACCCTCCCAATCTTCCCCCAGGTCCCCAAAGTCCATTGTATCATTCTTATGCCTTTGCATCCTCATAGCTTAGCTCCCAAATGATATTTGGTTTTCCATAACTGAGTTACTTCACTTAGAATAATAGTCTCCAATCTTATCCAGGTCACTGCAAATGCTGTTAATTCATTCCTTTTCATGACTGCATAGTATTCCGTCATTTATATATATCACAGTTTCTTTATCCACTCGTTGATTGATGGCATTTGGGTTGGTTTTGCTATTGCGAATTGTGCCAATTTTGCTATTGTGAATTGTGCCGCTATAAACATGCATGTGCAAGTATCTTTTTTGAATTATGACTTATTTTCCTCTGGGTAGATACCCAGTAATGGGATTGCTGGATCAAATGGTAGTTCTACTTTTAGTTCTTTAAGGAATCTCCACACTCTTTTCCATAGCAGCTGTACTAGTTTACATTCCCATCAGCAATGTAGAATTGTTCCCTTTTCACCGCATCCATGCAAGCATCCACTGTTTTCTGATTTTTTGATTATGTTCATTCTTGCAGGAGTAAGGTGGTATTGCATTATGGTTTTGATTTGCATTTCCCTGATTATTAGTGATGTTGAACATTTTTTCATGTTTGTTGGCCATTTGTATATCTTCTTTTGAGAATTGTCTTTTCATGTCCTTAGCCCACTTATTGATGGGATTGTTTATTTTTTTCTTACTGATTTGTTTGAGTTTATTATAGATTCTGAATATTAGTCCTTTGTCAGATGTATAGATTGTGAAGATTTTCTCCCACTTTGTGGGTTCTCTGTTTACTCTGCTGACTGTTCATTTTGGCGTGCAAAAGCTCTTTAGTTTAATTAGGTCCCAGCTGTTTATCTTTGTTTTTATTGCATTTGCTTTTGGGTTCTTGGTCATGAAATCCTTGCCTAAGCCAATGTCTAGAAGGGTTTTTCCAATGTTATCTTCTAGAATTTTTATAGTTTCAGGTCTTAGTTTAAGTCCTTAATCCATCTTGAGTTGATTTGTGTATAAGGTGAGAGATGACAATCCAGTTTCATTATCCTACATGTGGCTTGCCAATTATCCTAGCACCATTTGTTGAAAAGGGTGTCCTTTCCCTACTTTATGTTTTTGTTTGCTTTGTCAAAGATCAGTTGGCTGTAAGTGTTTTGGTTTATTTCTGGATTCTCTATTCTGTTCCGTTGGTCTATGTGCCTATTTTTATACCAGTACCATGCTGTTTTGGTTGACTATGGCCTTATAGTATAGTTTGAAATCAGGTAGTGTGATGCCTCATTTGTTCTTTTTGCTTAGTCTTGCTTTGGCTATGCGGGCTCTTTTTTGGTTCCATGTGAATTTTAGAATTGTTTTTTCTAACTATGTGAAGAACGATGGTGGTATTTTGGTGGGGATTGTGTTAAATTTGTAGATTGCTTTTGGCAGTATGGACATTTTCACAATATTGATTCTATGCATTCATGAGCATGGGATGTGTTTCCATTTGTTTTTGTTGTCTGTGATTTCTATCAGCAGAGTTTTGTAGTTCTCCTTGTAGAGGTCTTTCAATTCCTTGGTTAGGTATATTTCTAAGGTTTTTTTTTTGTTGTTGTTGTTGTTGGAGCTATTGTAAAAGGGGTTGAGTTCTTGATTTGATTCTCTGCTTGGTTGCTGTTGGCGTATAGAAGAGCTACTGATTTGTGTACATTCATCTTGTATCTGGAAACTTTGCTGAATTATTTTTGTTCTAGGAGCTTTCTGGAGGAGTCCTTAGGGTTTTCAAGGTAAACGATCATATCATCAGCAAACAGTGACAGTTTGACTTCCTCTTTACCAACGTGGATGCCCTTTATTTCTTTCTCTTGTCTGATTGCTCTGGCTAGGACTTCCAGTACTGTGTTGAAGACGAGTGGTGAGGGTGGGCATCCTTGTCTTCTTCCAGTTCTCAGAGGTAATGCTTTCAACTTTTCCCCATTCAGTATTATGTTGGCTGTGGCTTTGTCATAGATGGCTTTTATTACACTGAGGATGTCCCTTGTTTGCTGATTTTGTTGAAAGTTTTAATCATAAATTGATGCTGGATTTTGTCAAATGCTTTTTCTGCATCTATTGAGATGATCATATGATTTTTGTTTTCAATTCTGTTTATGTGGTGAATGACACTTATTGATTCACATATGTTAAACCATTCCTGCATCCCTGGTATGAAACCCAATTGATTATGGTGGATTATCTTTTTGATATGTTGCTGGATTCAGTTAGCTAGTATTTTGCTAAGGATTTTAGCATCAATGTTCATCAAGGATATCAGTCTGTAGTTTTCTTTTTTGGTTATGTCCTTTCCTGGTTTTGGTATTAGGGTGATGTTGGCTTCATAAAATGAATTAGGGAGGGTTCCTTCTTTCTCTATCTTGTGGAATAGTGTCAAAAGGATTGGGACCAATTCTCCTTTGAATGTCTGGTAGAATTCTGCTGTGAATCCCTCTGGTCCTGGACGATTTTTGTTGGTAATTTTTAAATTACCATTTTAATCTTGCTGCTTGTTATTGGTCTGTTCAGGGTATCTAATTCTTCCTGATTTAAGCTAGGAGGATTGTATTTTTCCAGGAACTTACCCATCTCTTCTAAGTTTTCTAGTTTATGTGTGTAAAGGTGTTCATAAAGTAGCCTTGAATTATCTTTTGTATTTCAGTGGTGCCAGTTGTAATATCTCCTGTTTCGTTTCTTAGTGAGGTTATTTAGATTTTCCCTCTTCTTTTCTTGGTTAATTTTGCTAATGGTCTATCAATTTTATCTTTTCTTTTCTTTCTTTTTTTTTTTTTTTTTTTTTTTTTTTGAGATAGAGTTTCACTCTTCTTGCCCAGGCTGGAGTGCAATGGCACGATCTCGGCTCACTGCAACCTCTGCCTCTCAGGTTCAAGCGATTCTCCTGCCTCAGCCTCCTGAGTAGCTGGGATTACAGGCATGTGCCACCACACCTGGCTAATTTTGTATTTTTAGTAGAGATGGGGTTTCACCATGTTGGTCAGGCTGGTCTTGAACTCCCAACCTCAGGTGATCCACCTGCCTCAGCCTCCCAAAGTGCTGGGATTACAGGCAAGAGCCACTACGCCCATTATTTTTCAAAGAACCAGCTTTTTTTTTCATTTATCTTTTGTATTTTTTTGTTTCAATTTCACTTAGTTCTCTGATCTTGGTAATTTCCTTTCTTCTGCTGGGTTTGGGTTTGGTTTGTTCTTGTTTCTCTAGTTCGTGGAGGTGTGACCTTAGAATGTGAGTTTGTGCTCTTTCAGCGTTTTTGATGTCGGTGCTTAGGGCTATGAACTTTCCTCTTAGCACCACCTTTGCTGTATCCCAAGGTTTAGATAGGTTGTGTCATTATTGTCATTCAGTTCAAAGAATTTTAAATTTCCATCTTTATTTTGTTTTTGACCCACTGCTCATTCAGGAGCAAGTTATTTAATTTCCATATATTTGCATGGTTCTGAAGGTTCCTTTTGGAGTTGATTTCCAGTTTTATTCCACTGTGGTCTCAGAGAGTGCTTGATATAATTTCAGTTTTCTTAAATTGATTGAGGTTTTATGGCCTATCATATGGTCTATCTTGGAGAAAGTTCCATGCACTGTTGAATAGAATGTATATTCTGCAGTTGTTGGATGAAGTGTTCTGTATATATCTGTTATGTCCATTTGTTCCAAGGTATATTTTAAATCCACTGTTTCTTTGTTGACTTTCTGTCTTGATGGCTGGTCTAGTGCTGTCAGTGGAGTATTGAAATCTCCCACTATTATTGTGTTGCTGCCTATCTCTAGGAGGATTATGGCTGTCTCTGCAGGTTGTCAGGGAAGTGGGGGAAAGCCGGCAGTCACAGGCCTCACCCAGCTCCCATGCAAACCGAAGGGCTGGTTTCACTCCCACTGTGCCCCCTGCAACAGCCCCCAATCCGTTTCCAGGCAGACAGCATGACAGGCTTGAAAACTTGCCCTGGGCTACCCACCTCCCAGCTGCAAAAGAAAAGAGCTTGGCTCTTCCCCCTCTGTGGAGTCTGCACACAGGATTTGCGCCCTCCCCCGAGTTCTGGCCAGGAGGCTTCTCACCCCATTCGAATTGTTACAAAGTTCAGCTAGAGATTTCCTTCTCCCTGTGGAGTTTCACTCCCTGCTCCTCTGGTCACCCTCCTGATGGATCTCTGTGGTGCCAGGCAGGAATGGCCTGCTAGGGGATGCAGCGAGATCCCAGGTCCTTTCTGCTGCTTCCTCTACCACTGTTTTTCACTCGGCTCTCCAAATTGACTCAGCTCCAGGTGAAGTCAGAAATTTCTCCCACAAACAGACCTTCAGCCTCTCCAGTGGGAGGTGTTTGGGAAAGGAGGGTCTCCCTTTCCCAATTCTGCAGTTGGGGGACTTACAGTATTTGGGTCCTGGGTCCTGCAGGAGCAGTCCACTTCCTTCAGAGGGTGTGTGGGCCCTCTCAGGATTGCTGGTTTGTTCTTGCAGTCAGTATGGAGCTAAAATTCAAATGCGAGCTTCTGCAAACTGCTCTGTCCGGAGCTGCAATCTAGTCCTTTGGACAAAGTATGATCTCTGTCCTCCCAAGAGGAGATCCTCCCATGATCTCCTGCTTTTTTTTTTTTTTCATTATTCCTTTTTTCTACTCCCACCAGCAATATTTGAAAGCGTTTGTTTCCCCATAGCCTCTCCAATAATGTACTATAGGAGTTTTGGATTTTGCCAGATAGTTGAGGAATTCTATCTCAGTGTAATATTAATTTGTATTTTTATTGGTGAAGTTTAGCATCATCTCATTTTTTTAGTGGATATTTGTATTTTTTCTGTGAACTATTCATTCATATTCTTTGCTTACTTGTCTATAAAATTGGCCTTTTCATTCACTATTTCTAGAAGTTTTTATATAAGAATACTTATAAGCACTCAGTTTGTGCTATGAATTGCAAATGTCTTTCCTATTTGTCATTTCTGTTTTGATTTTGCTAATGGGATATTTTTGACATACATAAATGTTTGGTTGATTTGTGTTTACATTTGACTATTATGCTATCCAGATTTTTTTTAAATTTTAAGTTCTAGGATACATGTGCGGAACGTGCAGATTTGTTACATAGGAAAACGTGTGCTATGGTGGTTTGCTGCACCTACCAACCCATCATTTAGGTGTTAAGCTCCGCATGCGTTAGCTATTTATCCTGATGCTCTCCCTTTCCCCATCCCCCCATGACAGGCCACAGTGTTGTTCCCCTCCCTGTGACCATGTGTTTTCATTGTTCAGCTTCTATCTGTAAGCAAGAATAAGCAGTATTTGGTTTTCTGTTCCTGTGTTAGTTTGCTGAGGATAATGGATTCCAGCTCCAACCATTTCCCTGCAAAGGACATGCTCTAGTTCCTTTTTATGGCTGCATAGTATTCCATGGTGTATATGTACCACATTTTCTTTATCCAGTCTATCATTGGTGGGCATTTGGGTTGATCCCATGTCTTTGCTATTGTGAATAGTGCTGCAATGAACAAACCAAGCAACTATCCAGACTTTGATTTATAGTTAGAAAGGTCTTGGCCAGGCCGGGCATAGTGGCTCACGCCTGTAATCCCAGTACTTTGAGAGGCCAAGGCAGTCAGATCACTTGAGGCCAGGAGTTCAAGACCAGCCTGGCCAACATAGTGACATCTTATCTCTACTAAAAATATAAAAAATAAGCTAGGCATGGTGGCAGGCGCCTGTAATCCCAGCTACTTGGGAGGCTGAGGCACAAGAATTGCTTTAATCTGGGAGGCGGAGGTTGCAGTGAGCTGGGATTGTGCCACTGCACTCCAGAGCGAGACTCTGTCTCAATTAAAAAAACAAAAAACAACAACAAAAAAAAAAAACAAAGAGAGGTCTTGGCCAGGCTCCATGGCTCACTCCTCTAATTCCAGTGCTTTGAGGGGCTAAAGTGGGAGGATCGCTGGAGGTCAGGAGTTTGAGACCAGCCTGGGCAACAGAATGAGACTCCATCACTACAAAAAATTAAAAAATATTTTTAATTTAAGCAAGAAAGGTCTTCCCATGATTCTAATAAATATCACCTATGTTGTTTTCTAATACTTTTATCATTTCATTTCTTTACATTCAAATTGTTGCTCCATTTGGGCCTATTTCTGTATCCCCATAACATAGCATGAGTACAGAACTGGCTTTCTTTTCTTTCAACTTGCCACTCCATTTCCCCAACACTATTTATTTATTTAAAAGTCCATCTTAACTTTGATTTGGCATGCAGTCTTCATTGTGCACTAAATCCCCATGTGCATTCAAGTCTTTCTCTGGACTTTTTCTACTCTGTTTCATTAGTCTGTCTTTTCATAAGCCAATCCTACATTCTTAATTATTGATGCATTATAGTATGTTTAAACCCCTAATAAGAATAGCACTTTTATTGCTTTTATTTATCAGAATTTCATAGGCTATTTTTTGTTCACTTTTTCCCCCATAGGAATTTTATAATTGGTTTGTCTAGTTCCAGGAAAGAAAATCTGTATTTTTTGTTATTATTGTTCCTTAGTAACTTATCAATGTAATACAACTGCTTTATGATAATGAGTCTTTCTGTTAAAGAACACAGTCTTTACATTTGTCTAAGTTAACTTTTATATCCTTTTTATTAGAAAGTTTCTCCTCTAGGTTCTGAACATTTCTTAAATAATTCTTAATACTTTGTCACTTGTTATTATCGATGTGGGATTTACTCGCCCATTCTTTCTTTTTTTTTTTTTTGAGACGAAGTCTCACTCTGTCGCCTAGGCTGGAGTGCAGTGGCGTGATTTCAGCTTACTGCAAGCTCCGCCTCCCGGGTTCACGCCATTCTCCTGCCTCGGCCTCCTGAGTAGCTGGGACTACAGGTGTCCACCACGACGCCCGGCTAATTTTTTGTAATTTTAGTAGAAACGGGGTTTCACCGTGTTAGCTAGGATGGTCTCGATCTTCTGACCTTGTGATCTGCCCACCTCGGCCTCCCAAAGTGCTGGGATTACAGGCATGAGCCACCGTGCCCGGCCACTTGCCCATTATTTCTAAGTCATTGTTTACATATATGAAGACTATTAATTTCTATGTATTAATAATTTTATATCCTGCTACTTTGCTGAATTTTCTTATAATCATTTTCATTTGGTATCTGTTGGATTTTTCAGGTATACAATCATACCATCTGAAAATATAGAAATATATTTTTTCCCAATTTTTATACCTCTAATTTTCTATGGTATTGGAGGTACAGCCAATCAATTAGACAATGTTAACTAGTAGTGGTGATTTTGGGCATCTTTGTCTAGTTCCAGACTTTAGGAAGAATATCTTCAGTGTTTCTCCACTAGGAAATGGGCTAGCCTTAAAGTTAAGATAAAATATGTATAATAGTATAATGTTTTCATCAATTCTTATTTTGAGTGCTTTTTAAAAAATCAAGAATAGTTTTGGTTTTTATTAAATTCCTTTTAGCAACTATAAATATAAAAATAATTTTCCATCATAAATTTATTAATATGGTAAATTACATTAATATATTTTGTATTATTGAGTTATTCTTGCATTCTTACATAAGCATTGAGAAGGAATCTCACTTGATCATGGTATATTCTCTTAATGTGCTAATTTGTTAATATTTTAGTAAGTCTTCTCAATTGACATTCATAACTAAAGTTGATAATTCTTTTTTGCAGTCTATAAGGCTTTAGTATCATCAATGTTATAACTTATAGTCTGGAATTTTTCATTTTTCTAAAATTGGAACAGTTCAAATAGCATTACCTACTCTCTAAAGATTCCTCTGTGAGACGAGATGGGTACATTTGGGGGTTGAGGAGATATTTGCAACATATGTAAGCAATAATTAAGCTATTTTGCAACCTCTTCTTTAGGATTTCCCTCTATTTCAACACGAAATTTCAGTATTATCTTACAGCATTTAACCTTGATATTTTTAATTGTGCTTATGCTTCTATAATCTACTAATTTCTATGGTAATTGACCCCTGTGGAATTTCTGAGTCTGCTGGGGTGACTTTTGAATGATTTAGTTTTCCTGGAAAAATCATTTGTTTCATCTTCCGAGTTTTCAAATTTATTTGCACAGAGTTGTGCAAAGCAGCTTCATAATCCCTTTTGTTTCTGTTATTCTTTTCATTTCATATTTTTTAATCATTTGCTGTATTTTAGTTTGGAAAGTGAATTAATCTGTCTTATTTTTAGTGTATTTCTGTTTCTCCTTGTATATTCTATAGCTTTGACTTCATGCAAGTAATTGCTAAGCTGTTTGGTACACAGATATTCATAACTAATCTTCCTTGTGAATTCTCATACTTAGCATTTTTTAAAAGTCTTTATAAATCGCTTTTGGGTGTGAGTTCTATATTTACTGATTAAAATCACTGCCTGTGCTTTATTTTAGTTCATATTTGCTCATACTGTTATCTTAATTGAGTTGCATTGTCTTAGAAGTGTCTCTTGTATACAAGACAGGGCTACATTTTGCTTTATGATAGAAGTATATGACTTATTTCATGCACACAAACCCCAAAATTCACATCTAACTATGTTCCACTGGCCAAAGCAAGTTACCTGGCAGTCTAGATTCAAAGAGGAGAAATAAACTTCACTCTTAGGGAGAAGTTACACAATACTGTGGCCATTTGGGTAGGGAACAGACCTACTGCAGGCTGTGAGGTGGACTGCCTGTGTAAGAGCTAACTGGGGAGTGTAGAAGAGATCTGTGTTTGGAGGCAGGTCTCCTACTTGAGTGAAATGTGCAGTTGGCAGACACTCCCACCGCTTTTCTAAGGCTTACTTAAGAACCATACATGCACTGGAAGAGAAAGCCAGCATTTGAACTTGTGCTCCTCAGAGTACATGGATGGCTATTCAGTGTTAGCCACAGAAGCAGGGACAGCCAACATAGAGGGCTCCAACTTTCTCCAGTCAAGGAGGGGGACATTTTCTCTCCCCCCTTCCCCTCTTTTGCCCCAATTACAGAAGAGCTACAACAGAGAGAGTAAGGAGGTATCTGGGAACCAGACCCTTGCCCTTCATTCTCACTCTAAGCTGATAGAACCACAGCTTTTGCCTAAGTTAAGGGAGGGTAGGAGAAGAACTAACAACAGAATAAAGTATTTCTGATGGTTGAAAATGGCTGAATGGCTACAGAATCTGGCCAAGATATCATTAAAGGAGCCTCTCCACAGGAAGAAAGAATTTAATAAAGTGCAAAGTATAGACAAGAAAAAGAAAATAGGAAGCAGAGGTGGTAGGTGAAAAAAAGAAGGGGGCAAAATTAATACAATATAATGAATAGAATAACTATTAGATTAGACTAGAAGAGGGTAAGGTCCTAGAGGAAGCTGAATGGGGTGGGATCAATGCAGCCTGGACTTGACCAGGAGGAAACAAACTTCATCTTTTAAGACTGGAGGAAAAGGTACTAAGAACTGATATGAACAGGTGATTGTGCAGACAGGAGTCTGGAAAGCTAATAACTTCAATTTTTTTAATGAAGTAGGAAGTAAGAATGTCTAGTGAGAAAGAGAGTAGCTTGAACAATGAGGAGCTTTAGAATAGTCATTGGAATACTAAGGTTGAAATTAATCAAAGGTGGATAGATTAAAAATATTTTTCTCTGTGCTAGCAACAAGCTATAAAAGAGGAAAAAAATTTTAAAGGACCTCCTGAAAAATAATAGAATGATACATAAGGACATTAAATAATAAATTTTTAGGTATACTTAGTATAAAAACATGAATGCTCCCCCAAATCAAGTAAATGTAATACAATTCTAATTTAAATTTGCCTAGGGTTTTGGGGAATTGGATAAAGTGATCTTAAAGGCTATATGGAATAATTAATGTAAAAAGGAAAACTGGTGAGGAGTGACCTGCCTCACTAGATTGGAGCATATCGTGACCTCCTTATAGGCTTTGGTTTTGGCTTAAAAAAAGATAAGTCAGAAGAATAGAATAGAGGGCTCAGAAGTAGACCCAGTACATGTGGATATTTGATATTTAATAAAAATGGTATTTCAGTTAAAAGGAGAAAAGATAGGTTATTTTTAAAATAGTGCTGATCCAACATCCTATTAATCTGGAAAAAAAGTATTAATATATTGAGATAAGTTCCAGATTGATTAAAGAAAAATGAAATAATAGATTTTATATACATACAAACATCCTTCAAATTGTTGATTAACCAAGATAGGACCTAGAAGTTATAAAGGACAAGACACACATAATTTCCAAATCTGTGTGACAGACGATTAAATTTAAATCAAAAGAAAATGAATGCTATGCTTTATTGAAAAAATTTTAAAAAGGGAATGATAAATTAGGGGAAATTATTTATTTGAAACACATGATAGAGAAGATTTGGACTATACTAAAGTGCTTACAAATGAATAAAACATAAATAACCAAAAAGAAACAACGGGCAAATTAGATTTGCAGAAAAGGGAATCCAAATGGCCAATAAACATGAAATCATGCGCAGCCTTGCTGGGAGTGAGGGAAATGCAAATAAAATAACAACAATATATCATGTCATAGCCATTAGACTAGCAAAAATTGACAGTGAAAATTGCTGCTGAAAAGGTTTGGGGAGAAGAGTACTCTCATATATGTGGAAATGTTCATTGTTTCAGTCTTTCAAAAATGTAATCTGGTATTATCCATTGTAATTAAAAATACATTTACCTATCCCATCATAGGAATCTATCCCATGGAAATAAAATCACTACTAGGTAAGGCATACACACATTTATGTTTATTGCATCATTGTTTGTACTAATGGAAGACTGGAGACAGAGTGAGTGCCCCTCAGTAGACAAATGGCTCAATATACTGTATTACAGCATACTCATATCATTAGTATCATACAACCATTAAAAGAAATCAATTCGGTTCTTATTAAGGACTTCCCTTGAGCTAGGCCCTCTTTTGATCCTCACCACAACCTTATGTGGTAGGTGGTAATAATTTTACAGGGTAGGAAACTGAAGCACAGAGAGTTTTTAAAAACGTACCCAAGGCCTCACAGAACTACATTCAAAATCTCTCTATTTTCTCTTTATGCCAGTAGATTTGGAGACATTTTGAAATATATTGTTCATCAGTATGAAAATCTTAATACAGAGAAGTATATAAAATAAGATCACAGTATTATAAAACAAATGACTCCCTAAACTTGTATACACACACACACACACACACACACACATATCACAGGATGCTATATATCTAGAATAGGTTTCTACTCCAGAAAAGAAGGTTAAATATTAGGTTGTTAACATTTTAACTTTTGGAAGAACTACATTTACTATTCATGGTAAAAAAATTATGGATATAATTTCATAAAGCTATGTATAAAGGAATGAACACCTTTCATGATTATCTGATGGGGGATAGATTTTATATGATTTTTATTTTTACCTTTGTTTTTAATTACTTAACTATTTTTTTAAATGAGCACAGATAATTGAGGGAAGGGGAGACTATATCCATTGTGGGAAAAATTTACATTAATGGAGACATAATAATGACAATCTTATAAATTCGCCTCAAGACTATGTCTCACATGTCTCTAGAACTCAAAACAAATTAATGCTAACAAGAAAAGGTTTAGTTATTACATATAAGACTTAAAATGTAATGCTCCAAACATCAGGTCTTGAAAGTGAGGGAAGAGAGAGACCCTCTCATATTGTTTTATACTCAGTACCTGTTTTAAGAAAAAAACAAGGAAGTGAAATCAAAGACAGGCAGCCCGGCGCCAGGCCCAAAATCAGACCTGGGCCTGCCTGGCCTAAACCTAGTAGTTAAAAATCAACTCATGGCTTAGAAACCGATGTTATTCATAGATTCCAGGTATTGTATAGAAGAACATTGTGAAACTCCCTGCCCAGTTCTGTTTCTCTATGACCACTGGTGCATGCAGCCCCTGTCACGTACCCCTTGCTTGCTCAAATCAATCACGACCCTTTCATGTAAAATCTTTAGTGTTGTGAGCCCTTAAAGGGGACAGAAATTGTGCACTCGGGGAGCTCGGATTTTAAGGCAGTAGCTTGCCAATGCTCCCAGCTGAATAAAGCCCTTCCTTATACAACTCAGTGTCTGAGAGGTTTTGTCTGCGGCTTGTCCTGCTACAAAAGCAGGGTGTTTTTAGCAGAAGTAAAATTCAGTCTATATTTCAGTGTATGCAGACCTCTCAAGCAAGCAGTTTCATTTAAAAAATTGGTGACGTATTTCTCACATTAACAAATTTGAAGTAAATTTAACAGTGTGTTTCACCTATTGAATAGGAAATGGTAAGAATTTATATATAGATTCTATGTAAATATTTATATACTTTAAATGAATTTTGCCATAAACAAGCTGTACTTACATTACTTTTAATGATATTGATTAAATTGTAAATTCCTGAGGGGATTCATAGTATCACGTTATCATTTAAGAGATTTTTTTCTTTTTTGATTCTGTTCTCCCTGGCTATCATCATCTTGGCATTATGCAGACTTTGTGGTGCAGAGAAATAGTGGACCCAGGTCCCAAAGTTCTCCCTGAATGGCAGAGCATGCATAAGAGGCAGATCTAAAAGTGATGAGGCAGAACAGATATGATCACAGGGCAGAAGCCTCACAGAAGCAGGGGAAACATCCCTGTTTGGAGTTGGGAGTGGGCAGGAGAATTTCTGTTGCTATCCATTTGGAGAGAAGGCTGCAGGAGAAGGGCTATCCTCAGGGGAGGCCCAGGATTCCTGTAGGGCCTGGAGGTGAAGAGACTTCTAAGACAGGATGAGGATGCAGGAAGTTGATTAGCAAGGGATTAGGATTCCAAAGGCTGCAGTGGAAGGGGCTGTGATGCAGGATAATTGTGGGAGTCACCAAAGCTGAGAAAATGCAGAAGGGCGTAGGGAACTAGACAAGGTAGGAGGTCTGAGCTGGGATTAGGCACTTGCCTTTCTCCCTGTAAAGGAAAGTTATGATTAGTAGCGACTGGCCTCCACCCAACTAGGTACAAATTATATTGGTGCCATAACTGCCTAAGGGTCCCAGGCACTTGGACCTGCCTCCAGTATTTGTTATATGGGCATGGTGACAGTGGTGGAGCAGAAGGGCAAAGTCCCCCAGGAGGCTCACTTGAGTTCTGGGTTGATGAGTACTGTTGTGCTGAGCCTTTGTATTCTCACCGTCTATATAATCACTTACAATGATTATTTTGTGAATATAAAACATCTACTCTCTGGTTATGAGTTAAACTCTTCAGACTCAATTTCTGGGGATTTTTGGTTTTCTTCCCTGAATTCAGGACATGCCCTACTTCAACTTGGGATGCGGACTGCTAGAGTGTTGTGGTTCTGTCATACTTGGCTGTGAGTGAGACTCATTTCTTTGAGCTCCCTTTGTTTTGTGAAGCTCAGTGTTCCAAGTTCTCTCGTCCCTAAGGTCCTTGGCTGATGACTGCTTCGTAACCACATTCTTCTAGCCAACATGATGTAAACTAACAGAGCTTGCCAGTAGCTCTGTGATCTCTGAGAGATCACTTTAAGAAAAAAGGCTGAATTCATTGACTCACAAAACCAGTCTTTTGGCATACATGGAAGCCAATGAAGAAAGTATGTGAAAAGACAAGTTGCAACAATCCATTCTTAAGAGCCATTGTTGGCCCTTTCTAAATTTCTGTTCTTTTAACTTTTGAAACTGCTGTCTTTGTATCTGAAAACATTAAGCTATTATGAACTAGAATTTGCCAATGCCAAATTGAAAGCAATTTTATGAGTTTAAAATGTCATTGCCAATAAAACGTTACCAAATACTTTCTTTTAGTATTTCAGTGTAGAGTTGAAACATTTCTTTAGATACAGGCAGGGGAAGTTCATTTTTGAAGATATAAGTTATGAGCATTTTAAGAGGGACAATCACGACCTAGCTGAGGTTTTCATGGATCTAGTTTTGATGTGACTTTCAATCTTAGGTTATTTTGATCTTTTCTTTCTATTTCTTAAATTAAGTTGCTTTGCAAACAACTACATATTTAATGGTCTCAGAATAGGTAAATAACATGGTCATTTTATGGGCTGCTATTGGACATTGTTCTAATATCCCCAAACTCTACTCCTATCTAATTTTCCTACCTGTCTGGATGGCACTAGGCTTAGAATAAGATTTTTTTTTTAACCATGGTCATAGTAATATTCGTCCATGTTTCTCTTTCGTGATCCCTACTTCAAAATGCCAAACCCAAATATTAGTCTCTTGGCCTTTTGTTTATTGTTCTTATGAAAATTGCATAGCTTATCTGTGCTAAAAGGGTAGACTTTAAAATTTATTTTCTCCCATGAGGTTTATAAAACATGACTAAATGAAACTCATGTTTTAGCTTTTGGAATGGGAAACAAATTGGAATATTGGGATATAATTCTTTCCCATTTAATGAAAGTATGACTAGACTTTTGACCTACACTGATTCAGGAAAGTGATATTAAGGCAAAATGTTTTAAGTAATTAGCTCTCTTTCTCAATTTGCGATTTTTTTTTAAAAAAGAAGAAACTTTGAAAAATTAAAGACAGATACTAAATATTAACTATAAAAGGATTTCAGTATGAGGGATAATAAATGTTTGAAAGATTCCAAGACAGATAAAGTATAAGAATTGCATGGATAAGTAACTTTTAATTCATAATATAAGTGACATTTTCTTATTTACATTTACGTGAAAGTCTAGTCATACTTGCTTTAAATGAAATCTAATCGAGTACTTACAGATGAAGAACGCTAAGTGTAACTTTATATTTGGTCTTAGATGATTCATTAGAAAATCCTTGATTTATAGATAAGCAAATTGTCTCTAAGAGACTGGAATATTTTTTAAAGCTCCCCAAATTTTTAGGGCCAAAACCAGAGTTTCAACATAGTTCTCTGGATTATTAGACATCATTAAATTAAACTTTTTTTTCTAAAATATACATAGTGGAAAGAGGCTTCCATGAATTGCAGTAAGGTCTTTGTGCTGGTGCTTGAAGAGAGACCTCATGCTAGGAAATTCTTGCCTCCAGAAATTACCAATATATCATTTCCTGCAGTGACATATTAATTTGTCACTTTATTTGCCTTAATCAGTCCTACATGGATGGTCCAGTAGGCCTGAACTCAGAATGTAGTTTATACCAGCTTTTAAAAGGCATTTCTTTACCCTATCAAGTAGCATACCTATTAATAGGCATCTAAAATCATACCAAATTTATTTTCCATAAACAGCACATCCCAGCTTCTCAGGCCCACATTCTAAACAAGTAGCAAGTAAGTAGACTCTAGGTATAACCATTCCATTATTTACTATTGTCATGTCATCTTATAGAGAGATCTCTTAGACTCAACACAAAATATCCTTCTTTTTTATTTTTGTTGACCTTTCGACAGCCTTTGACTCCTGGCTTAGAAATCAGTTATAAGACAAAATGCAGTAGCTCAGTATTGATCCCCCTGTTACAGACGCTTATGCAGAAGCAGGAACTGAGGAGTAGAAGTATTCTCTTGTTGGATCAGAAAATATTTGCCAGTTCATTAAATAGGAATGTGTTCTGGACTTACTTTTGGATAAACAAGTTGCATTCATTTTTTTTCCCTCTCAGCCACGAAAAAGAAAAGACCCATATTCAGATGATATGAGTTTATTATCTGGAACTAGGAGTGACTTAGAGACTACTGGTTCTATTCTCTAATCACTGCCAGACAAAAGAACATGGCTTCAGATCAACTATCCCAAAATCAAGGTGTTTATTTTTGGTAGACATTTCACCTAGTTTATAATTGACATCTCTATTAATCAAGTTTCCTCAAAGTAATTGTGACCTAGGATGCTCCTTTCTGGTGCAAAGGACATGACATTTAAATCCGGAGAATACCTCTGGATTAAGATGATTATGTGAGCAAACGTGTTTTCTTCTCATAATTTTACCCTTACCTTCTTTATGACTATCTAGTAGAGTAGAAGATTCATAAGCAAGATTAATTAGGATAGCTTATAGGAAATAGAGAAGTTATTATCTTTGTAAATATGAGTAATTTAAAAATTGTAATACAGTAATATTTTAAATTGCTTATACACATATTAATTTTATAACTTTCTGTTTAAGCAGAATATTCTTCTCCCCAGCCACTCTAGGTAATAGTAGTCTAAGTTGGGGAAAAACAGAGTTAAAATCTTTTGAAGGAAAACAAGGCCCAAAATAACGTTGAATATATACAAAAGAGAAGCTTGTAATTAAAAGTCAATGAAAATAAGCTTTGGAAAAAAAGTATAATTGCTAATAGTGCCACAAAAACAATACCATGCTTCTCACAAAAGAGAGAAGCAAATTCTACTGTAATCTCTGCTACTACATTTATGACTATTGAGGTAAGGCAATAAGGATTTATTTCTTTTGGGTTCTCCATCAGTAAAACTGAAATGATAATATTCCCATGTTTACTTAATAAAATACCAGGAAAATAGTAAGCTGCTTATTTAAGAGCCTTATTTAAGGTTTAACAATAATAAATACAATTCAAACTTAAGCTCCGATGGACATATCAGAGGATTCCTTTGGAGTTTTCTTATTTAAGACTTTGAGCACATGGAAGCAATTTTTTTTAGGAGATATTTTAATGAGAATATTTCTTGCCTGGAAAAAAAATGAAGGTAAATTTAAAGCTGAGAAATTATATATTTGTCTAGATATTTGAGAGTAAATCTATTTTTCATATTCCACCCAAAAGAAAAGAATAAAAGTTCTTATATAAGCAAATACTGTTAAAAAGCAAGTGGAGTGCATTATATTAAATATGAGTAAGCCTGTTTCAGGATTGACCTCGCCAGATTATTGGATCATCTTGATGTAAACATTATGCAACCGATGTGTTTCTTAACTTTATAGTTTTAGAAATTAGATTTTTATTAGGTCATCCAGGAGATATCAAGTCCTATAAAACTGAGTCTTGGCCGGGCGCGGTGGCTCACGCCTGTAATCCTAGCACTTTGGGAGGCCGAGACGGGCGGATCACGAGGTCAGGAGATCGAGACCATCTTGGCTAACACGGTGAAACCCCGTTTCTACTAAAAATACAAAAAATTAGCCGGGCGTGTTGGCGGGCGCCTGTAGTCCCAGCTACTTGGGAGGCTGAGGCAGGAGAATGGCATGAACCTGGGAGGCAGAGCTTGCAGTGAGCCGAGATCGCGCCACTGCACTCCAACCTGGGAGACACAGCGAGACTCCGTCTCAAAAAAACAAAAAACAAAAAACAAAAAAAAAAAAAACTGAGTCTTGCCCTGTGATTTACAAATCTGAGGTCTTAGCCTGAAATTCATAGTACTTCCTAAAATATTTATAACTTCCTTTAGTTTTCATCTATTTAACAGACATATCTTGAGTTCCCACTAATTACCAGGCACTCAACTAGGAATTGGAAATACTTAGAAGACATCATTTCTGCCATTTGAGTGAGGATACTAAATGCAAACAATTTATTATAATTATTTATTGTTATGGATACATACATAAAATGTAGTAGGAAGATAGGGGAAAGATCTAAATCAATGACTTAGTATAACTAGGCCCTTTGTTACGAGCTCAATGACCCATTTCCCCATTTTCCAGAAAGAATATGCATGAATTTTAACCAATAACATTATACTAAGTTCCATGTACTCATATGTTTGCATTGTATAAGTTTTTAAACCAGTTATTTTAGGATTAAGATTGCATCTATTAAATCTTTTTCAGCCTCCATTTAGAAAGGGAGCATGAGAAGCACTGAAAAGTAAGGCACTGTGATCTACACGGAAACCATATATTGGGCTCACAGCTACTGAATGAGACCGACTGGTGGAGACAGTTTAGTGAACCTGGTAACTTCAGGGTTTTCTTACTTTTAACTGTGAGACAGAATCGGTTAATTGGTGATTTATAGTGAAAAAATACATTTAAAAATTGTTTCATCTCCTTACAAGATATCTATTTGAAAAACTTAGTCCTGCAATTCAATAGGAAGAAAAGGCTTTATTACAGTATGATAAAAGTATGCCTGTTAAAGGCAAATCGGTCAGATGTGTTGGCTCATGCCTGTTATCCCAGCACTTTGAGAAGCTGAGGTGGGCGGATCACTTGAGCTCAGAAATTTGAGACCAGCCCGGGAAACATGGTGAAACCCTGTCTCTATTAAAAATACAAAAAATTAGGCATGCGTGGTGGCACTGTGGTCCCAGCTACTGGGGCGGCTGAGGTGGGAGGATTGCTTGAGCCGTGGGGTGGAGGTTGCAGTGAACTATGATTGCATCACTGTACTCCAGCCTGGGCAACAGAGCCAGACTCTGTCTCAAATAAATAAATAAGTAAGTTAATTAATTAAAGGCAAATAAAATTTATTTATAATTTATTTAGAATATTGGTACTTGAAAATAAATTTTTTTCAGTGATTCAATCTACCATAAATTTTTAATAATGCTTCAGTTAAGAATTATTTTATTTAGTCATTTTCAAATATATTTAATCTGATATTTTAGAGGAATGCTATTAGTTCTCAGATGGGCAGATTTTTGGAATATACAAAATATGGAAAAACTTTCATAGGCTAAAAAAGAATAAAAATAAAACTTACATTCCTTGAGTGCACAATATTTGCCAGATATTCTAATGCTAGCAGGCATTTCCAGTTTGGGAGCTACTGTAAATACAGATGCTATGGATAGTCTTATCTCTTGGAGTACATGTGCATGATTTTTGTTGGTTATACATCTAAGAATGATCATTTCTAAGTCACATCATAGGTATGTATTAGCTTTAGGTGATAATACTAAACATTTCCCAAAGTGGTTGTCTCAAGTTTTCCTCTCATTTACAGTATAAAAGAATCCCAGAAGCATTTACTTCATCTTATAAGAACCAGAACCCTGATTATATTATTAGCATTAGAATTAAATTTAAAAATTTTAAACCAAATAGAGGCCAGTCCTGGTGGCTCACACCTGTAATCCCAGCACTTTGGGAGGCTGAGGCAGGTAGATCACTTGAGGTCAGGAGTTCGAGACTAGCCTGGAAAACATGGTGAAATCCCATCTCTACTAAAAATACAAAAATTAGCTGGGCATGGTGGTGGGCGCCTGTACTCCCAGATACTCGAGAGGCTGAGTCAGGAGGATCACTTAAACCTGGAAGGCAGAGGTTGCAGTGAGCTGAGATCCTGCCACTGTACTCCAGCTTAGACAACAGAACGAGACTCCATCTCAAAAACAATACAATACAAAACAAAACAAAAACTAAAACCAAATAGAATTTCAAGAAATGAAAAAAAATACCGTAACAAAAATTAACCCAAAGCATGAGCTAAGTTGAGAATTAGACATAGCTGAAGACAATTTATAGAACTTTCAATTTACAGAAATTATTCAATATGCAGCACAAAGATATAGAGATGGAAAAATGTGAGCAATTAAGAGACATTGAAGGTAGAATGGGAAGGTCCAACATATGTCAGAGAGGAGTTCCAGGAGGAGAGAATGAGGGGAGGCAATAGTCAAAGAGATAATAGCTGAACAGTATTTATGTTAGATGATAGACATTAATTCTCAGATTTAAGGAACTCAACAAATTCCAAACAGAATAATTAAACACCCATACCTACACATAAAACTTTAGAGCACCAAATATAAGAAAGAATATTAAAGAAACTATAAAGATTACATACAAAGGAATTGAAGGAATGGAATAATATCTTCAAAGAGCCAAGGGAACATTCCTAGCCAGCTAAAATATTTCAGAAAGAATGTCAAAGAAAGTTGTATTTAGAAAAAGAGTGAGTTTACCACTTAGATCTTGACAGAAAGATTACTAAATGATGTACTAACTGCAGAAGTAACTTAAATCTAGAACAAAGGAATATAATAGAAGAAGCACTGGTGAACAAAGAAATTAATATTATAAGTAAAAAAGAGAAATATGCAAAGCAGTTATTTAAAATATGAGAGAATAAAATGAGCAATGTAATGCTGATAGACTTTAAAACTCAGGGAAAATGGGAAATCTTCTGGAAAAATAAAGATTTCCAAAATTGACCCAGCAAGTGTGAAACTTGACTATGTGAAGGAATTAAAAAAAAAAAATCCACTCTTTTTTTTTTTTTTTTTTTTTTTTGCTGAGGTCTGCTACACTTTTGCAAAACAGATTGTTCCTATCTTATATAACCTGTTCCAAAGACTAAAATAAATGGAGTGCTTTCCAACTCATTTTATAAAACCATTATAACATTAATACCAATACAGGAGAACTGTTTAAAAACTATAGGTCGATATCACTCATGAACATAATACAAAAATAAGAAAATACATGTGCAAACCAAATCCTGCAATGTATTAAAAAGAATTACAACCAAGTTTGGTTTATTCTAGAAATGAATAAATGATTTAGCACTTGAAAATCTATATAAGTTATCACATTAACAGATCAAAGTAGAGAAACCATTTGCTTATCTCTACAGATGGAAAAAAGCATTAAAAAATCACCCATTCATAAAAAATATCTTAGAAAACTAGGAATAGAATGGGACTTCCTTGATCTGATTTTCTTAACTGCCAAGCCCTACAACAAACATTGTAGTAAAACATGGAAATAGTCCCTTTAAAAGCAGGAACAAAAATAATTCTGCCATTGCTACTGCTATTCAATTATAGCCAGCAAAAAAAGAAAAAAGAAAGAAAAAAGAAAGAAAAATGAATGACATGAGGACTAGAAATGAAAGACCAATTATTTATTTGATGGAACATTGTCTACATAGAAAATTTTTAAATTATAGATCATCTATTAGAATTATTGAAAGTTCAGCAAGTTAGGATACCATCCAAAATGTAAGAAAAATATAGGGTATTAGTTTGTTTTCACACTGCTGATAAAGACATACCCAAGACAGGACAATTGACAAAAGAAACAGGTTTATTGGACTTACAGTTGCATGTGACTGGGAAGGCCTTACAATTATAGCGAAAGGTGAAAGGCACGTCTCACATTGTGGCAGACAAGAGAAAAGAGAGCTTGGGTAGGGAAACTCCCCTTTTTAAAACCATCAGATCTCATGAGACTTACCACGAGAACAGCACAGGAAAGACCTGCCCCCATGTTTCAGTTACCTCTCACTGGGTCCCTCCCACAACACGTGGGAATTCAAGATGAAATTTGGGTAGAGACACAGCTAAACCATATCATTCTGCCCCGGCCCCTCCAAAATCTCATGTTCTCATATTTCAAAACCAATCATGCCTTCCCAACAGTCCCCTGGAGTCTTAACTCATTTCAGCATTAATTCAGAAGTCCACAGCCAAAATGAGACTCTGAGACAAGGCAAGTCCCTTCTGCCTATGAGCGTGTAAAATCAAAAGCAAGTTAGTTACTTCCTAGATACAATGAGGGTAAAGGCACTGGGTAAATACAGCTGTTCCAAATTGGAGAAATTGGCTGAAACAAAGGGGCTACCGGCCCCATGCAAGCCCAAAATCCAGCGGGGCAGTCAAATCTTAAAGCTCCAAAATGAACTCCTTTGACTCCACGTCTCACATCCAGGTCATGCTAATGCAAGAAGTGAGTTCCCATGGTCTTAGGCAGCTCCACCCCTGTGGTTTTGCAGGGTACATCCTCCCTCCTGGCTGCTTTCATGGGCTGGCGTTCAGTGTATGTGGCTTTTCCAGGTGCACGGTGCTAGCTGTCAGTGGATCTACTATTATGGTGTCTGGAGGATGGTGGCCCTCTTCTCACGGCTCCACCAGGTGGTGCCCCAGTAGGAAATCTGTGTGAGGGCTCCAACCCCACATTTCCCTTCCACGCTTCTCTAGCAGAGGTTCTCCATGAGGGCCCTGCCCCTGCAGCAAACTTCTGCCTGGACATTCAGGTGTTTCCATTATATCTTCTGAAATCTAGGCAGAGGTTCTCAAACCTCAATTCTTAACGTCTTTGCACCCATGGGCTCAACACCCTGTGGAAGCTGCCAAGGCTTGGGGCTTCCACCTTCTGAAGCAACAGCCCCAGCTATACCTTAGCCCCTTTTAGTCATGGCTGCAGTGGCTGGAACGCAGGGCACCAAGTCTCTAGACCACACACAGCATGGGTAGCCTGGGCCTGCCCCACAAAACTATGTTTTCCTCCTAGGCCTCTGGGCCTGTGATGGGAGGGCCTGCTGTGAGGGCCTCTGACATGCCCTGGAGACATTCCACCCCCACCCCCCCACCGCCCTCCCCACTCTGTTGTCTTGGGGATTAACATTTGGCTCCTCATTACTTATACAAATTTCTGCAGCTGGCTTGAATTTCTCCTCAGAAAATGGAATTCTCTTTTCTATCGCATTGTCAGGCTGCAAATTTTCTGAACTTTTATGCTCTGCTTCCCTCATAAAACTGAATGCCTTTAACAGCACCCAAGTCACCTCTTGAATGCTTTGCTGCTTAGAAACTTCTTCCACCAGATATCCTAAATCATCTCTTTCAAGTTCAAAGTTCCATAGATCTCTAGGGCAGGGGCAAAATGTCACCAGTCTCTTTGCTAAAACATAACAAGAGTCACTTTTGCTCCAGTTCCCAACAAGTTCCTCATCTCCATCTGAGACATCTGAGCCTGGATTTCATTGTCCATATCATTATCAGGATTTTGGGTCCAAGCCATTCAACAAGTCTCTAGGAGTTCCAAACTTTCTCACATTTTCCTATCTTCTTCTGAGCCCTCCAAACTGTTCCAAACTCTGCCTGTTACCCAGTTCCAAAGTTGCTTCCACATTTTCAGGTATCTTTTCAGCAGTGCCCCATTCTACTGGTACCAGTTTACTGTGTTAGTCCTTTTATGCTGCTGATAAACACATATGCGAGATTGGGTAATTTACAAAAGGATGAGGTTTATTGGACTTGCAGTTCCATGTGACTGGGAAGGCCTCACAATGATGGCAGAAGGTGAAAGGCATATCTCACATGATAGCAGACAAGAGAAAAGAGAGCTTGTCCAGGGAAACTTTCAAGACTATCAGATCTCATGAGACTTATTCACGGTCAGGAGAACAGCACAGGAAAGACCTGCCCCCATGATTCAATTACCTCCCACCGAGTCCCTTCCACAACACATGAGAATTCAAGATGAGATTTGGGTGGGGTCACAGCCAAACCATATCATATAGCATTCCTGTATAGTCTTTTGTATCCTGCAGCTCAAGCTGGTGAGGTGGTCTGAATGTGAGGGACTATCTCACTAAGAGCATGAGGCACTCTGATAAAGATACGGAAGATTAGGGCCTGACCTTCTCAGTTTCACTGATAACAGAGTAACTAACACTTGCTGTGATTTATGAGATAGAGAAAAGGTCCAAAATTTGACATTAGAGAATTAGGTAGCCAGGCTTCTTATGAACAAATAACAGGGAAGCCAAGTTGGATATTTGCATTTCCTATTCCACCACATTTTAGGAGAAGATGTTTAAGCATTATGAAATATGATCAGCTACTCCCTCAGTGAGGTAATATGCATTTGCCTTTGGGGACTCGGGTTAGCATGACTCCACATGGTAACACTGATTAGGCTTAGCTGGTTTGGGCTTAAGATACAGCATATTAGCTGGATGCTTTAAGAGTAGAACAAATGGCTTTAAGTGGCAAGACTTATCAGATGTGATTCTGTGGGAGAAGTATTAATAGCCTTAAACTGGTACAGGTTGTTTTGAAATTAAGCCTGCCAAGACACTTGTTTGTCCTTGAAGATGAGAACATAAGATAAGAGCTGTTAAAATGTATTTTTGCCATTAAAAGTAATGGCAAAAACAGCAATTACTTCTGCACGAACCTAATGTAACAAAAATACCACAGGTTGGGTGGGCTTTAACAATGGAAACTTATGTCCCAGTTCTGCAGGATGGGAAGTCGAGATCATGGGCGACAGCACAATTGGGTTCTGGTGAGGGCTGTCAAGGAGCCAGGGCAAGCAGGCTCTTGGGTTTCTGTTTTTATAGGGGCACTAATTCCATCCTGAGGGCTTCACCCTCGTGACCTAATTACTTCCCAAAGGCCCCATCTCTAAATATGATCACATTGGGGATTAGGGTTTCAACATATGAATTTGGGAGCAGGGGGGAACACACTTAGGCCATCATAGACTTACAAGGCTGAATCCTAGCTGAGTTATTTGTTATTATCAGATGTGGTACAGATTTTCTCCATCAGTGGCATATTGCCAGGACCATCAACTTTGGAACTGGGAAGAGACATACTTAGCTCTCTGAACTGTTTCTTCATCTTTATATATGCATATATTATTACCTGTTTTTCATGGTTTCAGGTTTTTACTGTTGGGGATTCAATCCCAGCAATGTTAGTTTCCTTATGTTTCTGTCTCCTCACCCGCTGCCTCCCATCCCCCATCCCCAACCAGGACCCAAAGATGGACTATGTCATATTGATGGGTTTTAATTTTGCTCTTAGAAAAGAGAAGATAACTGATATTAACCGTAGAAATTCCTATGAAGCTTTTTTTTAATGAGACAGCAGCCTAATTGTTCACATGTAATCTCAAATTGGGATGATGTATTGTGGTAAAGAGGTTAGATTCACTATTTTCTTATCGCTTTTTGTAAATTAGATGTGCAGAGTCACACTCAGTTCTTAGATCAGGCTGGTTGGGAGTCTGGAATGTTGATAAGAGACTGTGTACATTGAACTTCCTTGTACATAAAAACTGGATAGTCTTAGATCAGATAAAGTAGCAATGTCTCAAGAATTGAACTCTCTGGAACTGAGCTAACCACTCTCTTGGGAAATAAAATTTTAATTTAACTATCTGATGGGCTCCCAGGAACTGTCTTTAATTGGTGGCTAGTCCTTTAAATTGAGATGGTAATTTAGTTCAAAACCAGGAAGTATATTTGGGTTCTTAGAAAGACCTCTAGGAAGCCAATCAAACAAGCACTTTTCTCCTTTCATATAGAGCATGGGTTATCCATAAATTGCCTCTTGTAACCATAATTCCAATTCTTTATTACAAAATGCAAGTAAAATAGAAAAAAAGTTAAAAAAAAAAACAAACAGTGCAATTCTCATACTATTTAAAATATTTTACTGAAGGTGAAGGAAGGCCTGAAAATGAAGCCAAAAGAGGTAGGAAAACTGCACTAGTAGCTAATTCCCACCTAACAACCCCTTAAAATGATCATGGTTTTCTTAGAGGTCCTCCAAAACTATTCTATTCAACTTTTCAAAATGAAAATCATTTTATTGGACTTTTTTTCTGACTACAAGTATAATCAATCTGCATTGTAAAGTTTTTTTTGTAAGTTCAAAAAAATACAAGCCTTTCTCTAAAATTCTTAGTTCTCTCAGTCTCAGCTAATAACCTTACCTTGCTTTACTGAGCACTGACGTGATTCCATTTTTCTTCAACTCTACTCAATAAATATATAATTGGTGGATATTTATTTCTCTTTTTTTGGCCAGAAAAAATTTCATATTACTCAAAATACTTAAATTCAATGGACAGTGTTTCCATTAAGTTTTAAGAGCTTCAGATCTTGGTAGTTAGTGGCAAGAATACCCACAAATAGACTAAGTTTATGGGGGGAAAATAACTTGCTGGGGAAAACAAAACATTTTCTTTGAATTCTTTGTTATTGTCTCAGGCATTACGGTAGGCCAGGTCAATATACTTTTTCATCTGGATTTCTGTGGCATGATTGGTTCATGCCACTGATCTCTACCCACATGTTCAGAGTTGCCAAATTTACCCTAGATCTATTCAAGAACAATTTTTACATCATTTTTACAATTTAAGAATTTTCAACGGGTGTCTGTTCCTTATCTTAACAAATCACCCTAGCTTGGCACCAGCAGGTTGAACATGCCTTGCTAGTTATTCTCTCATAGACTCATTTTTTTCCCATCCATATGTATTCTATCTGCTCCATGCTCATTGCCACGCCTGTTCTTTGGCATAGGCTATATGCACTCATTCCCTTCTTTCAACAATTTAAATGGTAGGATTGTCTCATGGTTCAGATCCAAACTTACCCACTTTTCATTGACCTCCTGTTATTTGCATTTTACAGTATTTTCTGTCCTCTCCCACTATTATGCATTTACTAGTTTGTTTACTTATAGCTATACTTTAGTTATTTTATAACTATCTTATCTCTGTGGCTGGCTCTATGTTGGAATTGCCAATGTAATATGAAATATAACATCCATGGTATAGATCGTTGTCCAGAAACACAGAAAACCTAGAAAATATCATTGTTCTGAATACTTTATCACCCTATTCAAGCCAAATATTCTACCATCAGAAGTCCACCAGTTTTGTTGACAACCCATCATTTTTTCAAATCTCCATACCTTTACAATGGATACTGCTCATGACAATTAAGGGATTAGGAATTAGATAGGAGGTTTGCTGCCCAGAACTAGGGCCAGATTTAGCAGGCCATTCTGAGGACACCTGAGATGTTGGAAAGCAACACAGAATAATAGAAGGAGCACTGGCTTTGGACTCAGGCCTGGTTCAAATTCAAGTTCTAGCACATATTAACAGTTACCTTATTTTTTCCATTTTCTCATATTTAAAACAGAAATTATACATACCTCACAATGCTAGTGTGACAATTAGATGAGATGGCATGGCCAAGTGCAGTGGCTCACGCCTGGAATCCCAGCACTTTGGGAGGCTGAGGCGTGCCGATCACCTGAGGTCAGGAGTTGGAAACCAGCCTGCCCAAAATGGCGAAACCCCGTCCCAACTAAAATTACAAAAAAATTAGCTGGGTGCAGTGGTGGGCACCTGCAATCTCAGCTACTCCAGAGGCTGAGGCAGGAGAATCACTTGAACCCGGGAGGCAGACGTTGCAGTGAGCCGTGATCATGCCACTGCACTCCAGCCTCGGTGACAAAGAGAGACTCCATCTCAAAAAAAATAAAATAAAATAAAAATGAGATGGCATGTGAAGGGCTGTTATGGTTCTCAGCACATAGTAGATGCTCAATAAATAGTAACTATTATCTCTAAGTTAGAGTTAATTCTCTACTACATCTGATGAGGTTAGCAGTTAAGTGAAATATCACAAACCATAAAATATTCGTACATAGATAGTTTCTTATGTTGAATTATCTGGAATTCATGAGTACCAATTCATTCAACATTTGGCAGTTGGTTTGCTCTCTAAGAAAAAATGTTCAAAAGATTGAAAGCTGCCTCCTTAGCCAAGGACCACAGCAGAACTCACTCTGTCCTCATAGAGGGCATACACTGTAAGACGTCAAGATAATGCCTGTAGTACTGGGGTGAATGTAGTTCAAATGCCAAGTGCACGTGAATTTATATTGTGAAACAACTCCTAAAATGATAGAATCTTGGCTTTGAGAAATTTTATTCTTTGTAAAAATCTCCCTCATAGCTTCCCAGATAGATCATCTGACTTCTGGTTGAAAGGGAAGCTCACCATTTCACAAACCAGACCATCGTCTTCTAAGTTATAACCAATAGACAGTCCTCTCTTAATTAAATCCAGAACTCCCTGCTGGAGGATACAGTAAATTCCTCTTCAAAGTTTAGCCTGTTAACTTCCTTTAAAATTCAAGATCGAGAAAATTGTTAAGTACAGTGAGTTCTGAGTTTCTCTCCAAAGAACCAATATGTCAGTATGTTCAGCTTCCCTGTTCTTTGTTCTCCATCTTAAAGTCTGACTTTCTTGTTCTTTACGTCTTCTTGCCCCTAGTTTCAGTAAACAACCCCCTCCTAGCTTCTGTCACCTGCTCTGTCCTTAGTCACCTGCTCTGTCCTTAGTCATCCTTAGTCACCTGCTCTGTAACCATCCCTCCCACCAAAACTACTCACCCTGCCACTCCGGCTCCTACCTTTGCTCTCTTTAAAATAGCCCAGTCAGAATTAGCTTAGACTGTGTGGTCCAACCCTAGCCAATAGGGGAAAAACATAGCAGTAGGGACTAGCTGCATTAGGAATAAGACCCCCTTCCCCCACCGTGTCTGGTGTGCTCTCGCCATTGCTCCATCCACAAAACACACCCTTCTATAGAAGTAAATTGCCTTGCTGAGAAAACTTTTGCCTGAGGACTGTTTTCACTTGGTGGCACTGAGCATTTACTTCCAACACTGCCATGACTTCTTCCTGCTGGTTCTCGTACTGCCCATCAGAGCAGCGCAGATTAAATACAGTCCCTTGTCCATATGAATACCCCTCAGATTTCTCTTCTCATTCTCCTTAACTTCTTCAGGATAAATATTCTAATGTCTTCAGTTATGTGGCTATGCCCCCTTTCAAGGTATATTAGTCAAATATTTAATTTAAAAATCATGAGCTAATAAATATGTGAAAGTCCATAATTCCAGGGAGAAGCTAAACTATGTTGATCAAATTGGGACAGATTGTTTTTAACACCCAAGGCAGTGAAACAATGGAAAGTGACTCATACTGAAAGGCACATATGCCCTAAGTAAAAAAAACAGAACATACAATATAATATGAAATTTGAAATAGCAAATTTTGGACCAATGGTTATTGCAGTATTTATATGACTTTTAACAATGTCTTATACTCACATTTGTAAGCAAATAAAAGTTGGCCCCATCTTGATGCCAAAAATGGTTATCAAAATAAATGCAGGTGAAGACTTATAGAAGCTTGGATTCATGGGCCCAAGCAGTAATGTTCTTCTCTGTTTAAACTGAGATGAAATTATATAAAGCACCAAAGCAAAGAATCATGCCCAACTCCACAAACATTTCATGCCTTCCTTGTGTCAGGTGTTGGAAATAAGCACATAAGATACATAGATTACATGGAGTACATAGTTCCTATCCTCAAGATGCTCAGAATTTGGTGGTGGGGGTAGGGGTGGTAGAATAAATATAGGTAACCATAAAAGACAACAACAACAACAAAATCAGACGCTTATTTATTTCCAGGCACGTCTACCTCTTTGGGGATTGTTAAATCTACTTATACCATAGAAATATAGTGTCTATTAATGATGCTTTAAAGACTTCAAAATGTACTTAAGTTCAGCGTAAAGATCTTTTGACAGATCTTGTATAGGAAGATGAGGCTTGTTTACGGACAGATGCACATCAGTAAACTTAAAGACCAAACTCAACACAAAAAGGAATGCAGAACAACTTTAAGAACCAAACAAGTGAGAAGAAATAGACTGATGGTATAGTTGACAGCTTATATAGTTGTAAATATAATGAACAGAACTGGATTATACATTACACGGTCAGGAGATACTATTCCACAATAGTCTCATGCTCTGCATTAAACTCTTATTTGGAACTATTCCCTAGTTTGGGTTGCCGGACATTTAGTTACACCTGGAGAACCAGAATGGGTCTAGAGCAGCCTAACAAAATGTGAGTAAAGGAAATTCTGTGAGAAAAACTAAAGAATTTTTTTCTTCAGGAGTGAGAAGCTTGGAGGGGCTATTTGATTTTTGTCTTCCACATAAGGAAGATAATGTCAATCACTTCTCACTTCAGTGACATAATGAGTAAGACTACAATGGCCTACAGTACCATTTGGAAAATTTAATTCATAAGAGCTTTTAAGCATATCATGATATATATTAAAATATTATAATGGCAAACTGCCATGGTTTGAATGTTCCCTCCAAAATTCAGATGTTGCCGATGTGATAGGATTAAGAGGTAGGGCCTTTAAGAGGTGATTAGGCCTTTGGAGCTGTTCCCTTGTCAATGGGATTAAAACCCCTTTAAACGAGGCTTCTTGTGGCATTTAGCTAGGGTTCCCCACCTCTGGAGGATCCAGCCCTCACCAGAAAACCTACCAAACCTGCTTGTGCCATGATCTTGGTCTTCCCATCCTCCAGAGCAGTGAGAAAACACATTTCTGTTCTTTAAAAATTATCTTGTCTTAGGTATTCTGTCACAGTAGCACAGAATGGGCTAGAACAGCAACTCTGCTGGTAGGTTTACATTTTCACTTGTTTGGCTATATAGGTAATCTAATGATTTGCAATTTGATTCTGGGAAAATGGTAAACAAGAAGAGGTCTTTCCCACAGTGTCATTAAGGTTCACAACAAGGTTTTAAAGCCTGCTTGGGCATAGAAACAACTAGGAGTAGTAAAAAATAGTTCAGGAAAAGTTTCAGGAGTAAAGTATGAGACATTTTCTTTTTTTCTTGACACAGAGTCTCGCACTGTCACCCGGGCTGGAGTGCAATGGTGTGATCTCGGCTCACTGCAACCTCCACCTCCCAGGTTCAAGCGATTCTCCTGCCTCAGCCTCCGGAGTAGCTGGGATTACAGGTGCCTGCCACCACACCCGGCTAATTTTTTTGTATTTTTAGTAGAGACGGAGTTTCAGTATGTTGGCCAGGCTGGTCTCAAACTCCTGACCTCGTGATCTGCCTGCCTTGGCCTCCCAAAGTGCTGGGATTACAGGCATGAGCCACGGCATCCGGCCAAGACATCATTTTCATACCCACTCCTAGTTCTTCATCAAGAAACATTTTTAGGTGTCTTGAGTTACAGAAAGTGTTAAAGAATCAATACACCATTTCTGCTTCTGAATTTTTAAAGCTTTGTATCCTAAAGCCTTAATTAGGGTCTGACATGAAAATGTGTCTGTTGCCTACTCAGAGAAGATATCTGGGCCTCTCAGCCAAATCCGAATAAAATCTTAGCAAATACGAGGTAAGTTCACTGTTTTGGAGAGGCCATTTTAGATTGAACACACAAAAACTAGCACATAAAACCTGAATCAGTGAGAAATATATGTAAGAAATAGCCATGTTTTCCAATAACCACTAAAAGATTTTTTTTTTCCCTAGACCAGTGGACTGTTATTATATGAGAAACAAAGAGGTAGAATCTAAAAATGAGTTTCCTCAATGGTCATACCTATGTGCTATTCTATCAGGGTTCATATCCCATAATGGTATTTTTTTTCTGTCTCCTCAGTAAGTTTATCTTGTTTGCATTTACATTTTCCTCTACCCACTCAGTTGGCTTTGGCTTCTTATTTTGTAACCTGAGATAAGTTCTAGGGGTAGGGGTGGAGGTGGTGGGAGCAGGTGGGGAGTTAGTGTCATTTTCTATTCTTTATAAATCTTTTCTGTGATTTGCGTTACCTCTCTCTAGCGTACGTGAATTCTCTAGCCTCCATGTGAATGAACACTCGCAAACTATGCCATCCCCCTCTCCAGTCCTCACCACTTCATTATCAGAAAACCAACTGAGACATTTGACTCTCTGATATGCTTGTAAGAGCCCCAGTGGCAGACAAGTGAATCCCAGGGCCCGGATCCTTCCTGACAAGGCCACATCATCTCACTGCTTAGAGTACTTTTAGAAAGGAGGTCCCTTCTGCCTCGCCGGCATAACCTCCCTTGCTTCTCCCAGAGGTGCAAGCTCTGACTGGTCTGCCTGAGGCAAAAATGGAAGTTAAAGGTGCTCGTTTAAGTAGAGAAACCAGTGGCGGGAGTCAGCTATGTACCTCTGTGGTCTGTCTGTCTGACGTGGAAGTTTTATGGGGCTGGGGATGGAAATGGGAGTTCTTTACAGAGCAAAGAGTATGTGAGTGCCTTGATTTGATTCTGCTAACTGCAAGTTTACTATTTAAAATGCAATCCTCAATCCAGCTCAGTATTTGTTTCCTGTCAACAGCATGGACCCTAGGGTGAGATTGCTTATGTTCAAATTCCAGGATTTTATCATTGCTGTTTTTATGAGTTTTACTTCTATGAACTCTGGAGAAAACAAAACCACTAAACACTTGCTACGGCCCCTCACCCTAACCACATTCACCTCAGGCCATCGCTGGGTCCTTCGTCACCCCTTTCACTTCATTCCCCAGCTTTTAAAAAGTTATCTCAGCACTTTCAAAATCCTGCAGTTTGTCTCTGCCACCACCAGTTTGAGGAGTTCTTGGT
The DNA here is from genome assembly GCF_000001405.40 of Homo sapiens. Taxonomy (NCBI): domain Eukaryota; kingdom Metazoa; phylum Chordata; class Mammalia; order Primates; family Hominidae; genus Homo; species Homo sapiens. The sequence continues at coordinate 190,178,116 of NC_000002.12, forward strand.
TCCTGTTGCCTCTATCCTTGTTCAAGCCCAGGTGAGGACAGAGGGGCAGAAATGCTATGCCCTGACTCCCAGTTCTAGGCTGGGCAGCTGGGAGGAGAGCCAGCTTTCCCGAATCCCAGGGGCAGAGGGCGCCAAGTTCCCTCGACGCATCTTCCCTCCAAGTCTTACATGGCACCATCTTGACCAGAAGCATGGCCTGCAGTCCTGAGGAGAGAAGTCAAGGCTATTTTCCAGGCCCAACCTGCAAGTACCTGTTCACACTGGCCTGGACCTGAGAGAGGCCCCACAGAGAGGAGAGCAGAGAGGGCCACTCACAGAAGGGTGGTGGTGCGGTCTCCCCACCAGCCCCAGGCTTGTCCCTCCTGCTCTACTCTCTCCAGTGCACACCCATGAGGGCAGCCGGGCAGATGGCAGAGGCCACGGGCTAGGTCCTCCCTTAGTCATCCCTGCCAGACCTGACCTGGGTCTCCCCCACCAGCTTGGCCAGCCCTATGATGGCGAAGGAAGGGTCAGGCTCCAGCCTGGCAGGAGCAGCTTGGCTCGGTGTGTAGGCCTCGCTCCCTCATGGCCCGCTTCATCTGTAGACCAAAGGCTGGTCCAATTTGTTCTCAAACTGAGTGAAAGAAATTTTCAAGTTTATGGGTTTCTCTTCTGATGGAGGCCAGAGACTCTCACCCACTTTTTCTTTCCTTCTGACCTGGTAACTGGGAAGTAAAAAACACAAATTTCTAAGTGTCTCCTCTGCCTAGATCACATCAAGAACTGACGCCATCCCCTCAGTGTGGAACCCAGGGGTCTCCTAAGGATGATTCCAGCACTAGGTTGATAGAAGTTTAAAGCTGGGGAAGGAAGAGCACAAGAAAATTACATAACTTAAGTGAAGAACTAGGCCTAAAAGTGGAACCTTGCATTTGAGCATAATTATTTAGCATGGTGTGCCTGAAATATGTAGAACTGAATAATTTGTTTTATGTAAGTATAATCAATTTGTATACATTAAAATTGATACTGGCTGGGTGCGGTGGCTCACACCTGTAATCCCAGCACTTTGGGAAGCCAAGGCGGATGGATCACCTGAGGTCTGGGGTTCGGGATCAGCCTGGCAAACATGGTGAAACCCTGTCTCTACTAAAAATACAAAAATTAGCCTGGCATGGTGGCAGGCGCCTGTAATCTCAGCCACTCAGGAGCTGAGGCAGGAGAATCGCTTGAACCTGGGAGGTGGGGGTTGCAGTGAGCCAAGATTGCGCCATTGCACTCCAGCCTGGGCGACAAGAGCAAGACTCCATCTCAAAAAAAAGAAAAAAAAAATGATACTTATCAGAAAAATCAATTAATATAGGTATACTTACATTCTATGATTGTCAGGATGTACCAACTCCAATCCCATTAATCATACTAGCATGAAGAAAAATTACATTTCTGGGCCACTGGGTTTGTATATAACCTTAGCTAATTTAAGCCTGGATAAAAATAAGAATGCTTGATTCATTTAAAATCTGAGATTCTGGGATAGATTTTTGTGTAACTTAAACTTCTCAACTCTTCTGCAATCTAGGTTTATTTTTTACTATAATGTACCTTCAAAGAGCTAAGTCTCAGTTTATAGATTGTTAGTTTTTTAAGTTCCACTCTCTTTCGTTGTACTGCTGAACTCTGGGCCTCTGTGTCCTCATCTGTAATGTGGAGTCAAAATTATCACTAAGGTCCCTTCAAGCATGAATTTCGCATTGACTAATCCGTTGTAGAACACAAGGAAAATAATGGTTCTTTTGTAGTTCTCTTGGGACTTTTACTATTGCTAGAAATCATGCTGGGCAGATGCAGGCATCACATGGACTGTGCGGGGAAGTGTAACTCAATAATGGCCATGTTTTGAGGCAGTGGTATTCAATGCTTTAAAGAGTGAGAAAATGGCCTTTAGAGATACTTTGTTTGAAAGAGAAACACGCTTGGAAAATGTTCTTGAGTATTTCTGTATGGAAAAGTATAAAATGGATATGTCCTTTAAATGTTTAAGTACTTCCAACACTTTTGCTCTGCATACTCATGGTGCAAACGAGGTGGGAAGGGCGGAATCCCTGGCCTAGCTCTGCGAGAGTGGGGTTTCAGGTCAAAGCAGGTCTGGCAGCTCTGCCCGGCCCAAGCGCAGAACCCTTAGCTGGGAAGGCCGCGGCCAGGCTGCGGGGCCCCCTGCAGGCGGGCTCAGTGCCCCGGCCCAGCACCTGTTGTCCCAAGGCAGGCCCCGCGGGGGAGAGGCCTTGGAGGGCAGCGCCCCCTCTCACCAGGGCGGAGCTCAGGAGAGTTCGCAGCCCAGGGGGCCGAGACCAGGGGCAGGGCCAGCGAAATGCCTCGCTGGCTCTTACTTTCATTGACCTCTGCGATGCCTCGCTGGCTTCTGCTTTCATTGACCTTTGCGGGTCTGTTCCCGCTGCGGCGCCGGCAGCTGCTTGGTAGTTGCGGGGGGCGTGAGGGCGGTGGCCCAGACCAACCGGCTGGCAGCCCAGCTCCGCTCCGCCCGCCCCTGCCTCGGACCCTGCGCCTGAGGAAGTATCGAGGCAACCCTCTGCCACCCGAAGTTCGTGGGTCGCTCCCAGAGGGCGCGCCCTGGAGCCGAGCGCCCTTGGGCGGCCATCTGGAGGCCAGGTGCGGGCCGCGAACCCGCGAGGAGCGCGCGGCGGGCGCGGCGGCGACGGCAGGAGGAGGGGCCGGGAGCCCGGGCGCCGCCGAAGGACGCCCCGTCCTCCACATGCTGCCACTTGGCTGAGCCGGGCGCCGGCGAGAAGGCGGCGCCGCTGCCCTGGCAGCTGGACTGCACTTTGCCCCCGCCCGGCCTCAGCTGCCGCCCGCCCAGACGCCAGCAAGCCCCCCTCCCACGACAGGGCTGCTCCGGGAGCTTCGGAGACCCGCCCCGGGCCTGAGCGCAGGCTGCCTCCGGGACCCCACGGCTGTCCGGACGTGCCATGGGCGCGCAGCTGCCGGGCAACGTGTTGTGTAAGTGAACATCTGGGAGGTGGGTGACTGGTGAAGGGCGGGTGTCTGTCGGTCTTTGCTTGTCAGCTGTGCCTTTTAGATTTTTCAATGGCAGAAACCCATGAGTTACAGGAGGCTTTAATTAAACGAGACCGTTCTCAGCCAGCTGCCGTGGATAGAGCCTCACATCTCCGTCCCCTAATCGAGAAGAGTTAGCCCCTACCCCTTCAATTTTGTTCTGGGCTTCCCAGTGAAAGGTATCTCATTATGAGTTGCAATTCCACCCTGCTGCCTACCTGAAGAGTGAGTGAAGATTTTCAGGTAAGAGATTTGCCCGTGAACATTGCATTGATATGCCAAGCTGTCAGGCTTGTGCTCTGAATGGCATATCATGAGCAAAGTATTAGCTCTCGTGCTCTTTGGAGCTGTGGGAGGCTGAATATTGAGGTGAAATGATGCAAATAAGAAATTAAGAGGAGTAGACGGGTAAGATCCTTTAGCCATGAGTTAAGGGGTCAAAGAAGCAAAGCGGAACAATTGGAGTTGTCTCTCTTGTCTCTGGTCTGACACCAGCCCTTCCCCTATCCTTTAGGGAATTAGGTTAACATAAAATTGTAAACTAGTAAATGTTCTTATCAAAGACCATCTTTTTAGGATCTAGTGTATGTGGCAGCTCTCTCAGGGAAATTTTTAGATAAGAATTCGGAGGAATAGGGAATCTACTTTTATTATGACAAAGTATAAATCAAACCAAGATCAACAGTTGGCTATTCCTTTTTCCCTTTGGATGAGGCTGTTTTCAAACACCTAACATGGCTATCATAAATAGATGGCAAATAACATTATTTAGGCATTCTGCTTTCAAGCAGAATGGTCTGGAAGAATAATTTCAGTTTTTAATTTTGTTTTGCCATTAAACAAAAATTATAATCATTACTTATTTAGGTCCACACAATGTTGTAACAAAAGGATGCTTTAAAATTGTAGACCAACCTCCAATCCATTTTATTATCTCCTCTGTAGCACTCCTGACAGGCCAGCCACATTTTGATTGAACACTTCAGTGACAGGAAGCTCATTACATTTTGACGGGTTCCTCCTTTTCTGTTGTTAGCAAGGCCTTGTTTACGCTGAACTGACAATCACTTAGGAAGCAGTACCTGTTTCTCATTAGTCCTACCTGGCCAATAGCGCTCCAACTGTGAACTTAGAAACAAGATTTTTCTGCAAAAAGGATCTGAAACTTTAGTCAGTCTGAAAAGGGTCCATGACCCAAAAATAGTTAAGAAATGAAAGGTCTAAAGTGATACAAAATAATATTTTTGTCTCCTTTGCTTGACAGCCTTTCAGATCCCTGAGCCTCAGTTTCTCATCTGTAAAATGGGAATAATATACTTTGTCTAACCCTAGGGTTACTGTGAGGATTAAATTAATAATATTAATAAAGTACTTAGTAGAGGTGCCTAGGAGTCAGTAAATGTTAGTTATCTTCAATAAATACTAGTTTTTATGTTTCCTTCCTTACCTAAGACCCCTCTCTGTGCTAAAGATCCTTAGCCCAAAATTGAATTCAATAAGTCAGTTTAACCCAAACAGTGCAGGGTGCAATGAGCTGCCATCTTCAAATAAAATAATCTATTGCTTAATTGGCATTTGTAGTAAATACTCAGAAGTTGACTAAAAACCTCACCTCCATACCCCGTGTGCTTTGCTGTCAAGCAAAGGAGACAAAAATAAAGGTAGGCTTTATTAATTTTTAAATTATGCAGTTAAGCATTTCTTGAATCTGAATTTCTTTTTTCTCTTGGCTTGTATTACTTAAAGCCTCTGTATGGTTTGCAGTTTGTTAGATAGACGTTTTAATCTTATGTCATTCATCATGTTAATTCTACTTTTCAGTTTTGTGTCACCTACACATTTGCTGAGTTTATTCACCAGACATTCAAGTCACTGATAATAGATAGGACAAGTCCTTTTACTGTGACCGTGGTACCTCTAGAAACCTGTGGCACAGTAGGAATGGTCCTGGATTTTTGGAGGCTGGTTTTGGAGTCTGGCCCTGATACCTATTAGCTTTGTGACCTTGAGAAACTTCAGTATCAATAAAATGAGGTAACATCTGCCTTTCAGGGTGGTTGTTAAAATTCAAAGTATTGAAAGTGCCAAGTACGATAATGGCTGGAAATCTAGTTGGCCTTCAGTAGATTTTGCTTGAACTAATGAATTCGCTGGACTCAGCCCTTTCTTATCAAACTATTCTAGTCCATAGAGCAGTCTTCTCCATAAGGACATTATGAGAAAAATGTCTTGCTGAAAAGTAAAGATCTTGCATATTCCCTGATCTACCACAAAAGTAAATAACATTAGTTTAAAAATGAATGATTCTTAGCAAATTGTTAGTTCCTAGAAATCCGCAGTCTTTTCCTCCACCCCTCATTTTTCCTTGTTTAATGTTTAAGTTTCGAATTTTGCCAGAGATAGATGTCAAACTATTAGTCTGTAAAGTCTAGGAATTCTAATTCTTTCTTTTAATTTTGAATATTAAAAATAAAAACACTGGGGGAAAAAAGTTCTGTTTGAATCTCTAGTCTCTTGAGACTGCCCTTCTTCTCCATGTTTTTATAGAGGTTGTCAGAATAGTTCTGTGCTGACATCTGCAGGTTCTTTTGGTACCCTGGAATATAATTCACCAGAATGTGAAGGCATGGACTATTTTAAAATGACCTCTTCTGCTTGCACCTTAGTTCTCTCTTAGTGAGGTTTCCATACTTTCCAGCTTGAAAATCATTTGCTTTTAAGGGAGCAAAATGTTGCTGAGCAGTTTTGTTTTCTTTCTCATTAGAATACGCTATCTATCCTTGGATTTGAGAATTTTAAAATGAGCCTTTCTTACTATACTTTCCATATAGTAAGTATACTATGCACAACATGCACTAAGTCGGTGGTTGAGAAGTAGAACCACTCATGGTGTTATAATGTTAAAAGTTTTGGCAGTAGTAAATAACTCTAATCAGTATCTCACATGGGAAGAGCCTTGTATTTTAAGAATGAATTTATTCCTTGTAAGTTAAAAGTTGTGAAATTAAGAGTGTTTCACAAGGGGCTGAAGGTAACATAAATTAGTGAAGCTGAATGGGAGGGAGTAACAGATATGTGACCCAAAGAGTGAATGCCTAGCTTAGAAATATTCTAATTCAGAACAGTTTCAACACTGCATTGGCCCAACAAAACACTGGCCCAAACACTACTGCAAGTTTGTAGTCTTTGCATGTAAACAGCCTGCAAGAGGCAGAACTATGTAAATTTCACTGTGTTCTTCCCAACATCTAACATACTATAGGCACATGGATAGTTGATAAATAGGAAAACTTTAGTAAGCATTCATTAATCGCCTTGATGTAGAGAACTGTTCTGTACAAAATAAAGAAAAAAATAACTCCTGCCCTTGAGGAATATCTAATCTCATTTGGGGAGACAGCATTTATAAATTAAAGACTAGACTTCAGTTCAAGAACAGAATTCTGAGGAAGGGCGGGAGGAGGACTAGGAAGTCTGCAATAAGGAGATACGGCTTCCCCTATCCTCAAAGATAGTACTTGGGTTTAAGTAAGGAACAGGGGAAAGGGTGCTGGGTGGAGATAAAGGCGAGGTGGTGTGTTTCAACTTAAAGGAGGACTAGGAGTAGGAAATGAGAATGGGTGAGCCAAGGAGACTCACTTGATGGGAGAGGAAATTTCCTTGTATTAGTGAGAAATTAAGTCCATTGGGTAAAAACAGGGCTTTAAAAAATGGTTACATTAAATGTACCTCTCTTCCCCCAAGACACTGTACTGTTAGGCCACAGAAAATAGGAACCATACAGTAACTCTTTAGGTAAAGATGTGGAGTATATGGATCATGAAAGAACTATGAAACTTTAAATGGCAAAATTTTCTGAATTTCTTGGTCCTCTGACCTAGAGTCCTAGTGAATTTGAACACTGTTCTTCCATGTCTCTATACCAGAGTAATGATTCTTTTCAGTGCTCAAAATTACATATACTGCTGCCTAGAATTTAATTCAGTGCACAGCACTTAACACTCTTTTATTAATTTATGCCTCCTACTTGTTCTAAAATGAAGTGGTTTTACTACATAAAGACTAATAGAAATTGAATTTGTAGGGGAGGAAAAAAGCTGTCCTCTACCCTCTTAGGTTTGTGACCAAGGCCTGTGAATCAAACTGATAAAAGAGTAATGGCATAAATAGAACAGATTTAAACACACGTATGCACAGGAGTTTGCAAAAGAAATGTGACTGGAGGAGGTGGTTAGAATTTGGGGCTTATCTACCAACTTAACAAAATGATAAAGCGGGAAGAGGTTCTAGATCAGATTTTCTTTACTAGTTGGTCAGAGCTCCTTTTCATTTTTCTGTGAGGATTTATATTATGGTGCTGGAGGAATTGCTGCAGATTGAAGGTCAACATTCATGGCCATAAATAGGAGTGGCCAGATGAAGCCACCTGGTAGCCAGAGTGAAGCCCAGAAGGGCTTAGGGAAATACCTGCTTGTGTATGTGTGTGGTTTTTTTCCTCTACCTGGAGGACCTGGTAAATGAGATGAAGTATTGATACCTGGACTTAAGACATCTATCGCCTGTTCAACAGTTAGTCTATCATCTAATTGTTCAAAATCCTAAATTACTGTTGTCATTCTTAGATTATAATTCTCTTTCCTCAATTATAATCTGGAGATATAATACAACACTTAATAATTAGATGTTAGTAGCTTTAGGAGACAATCTGGAGAGATAAGAAATGGAAATAACACAGAACATGTTCCACGTTCCAAGGGAAGTTCTAGATGCTTTACATATAGATTCACAATTTTTATTTTTTTGAGACAGAGTCTTCACTCTGTCGCCCAGGCTGGAGTGCAGTGGTGCGATCTTGGCTCTCTGCAACTTCTGCCTCCCAGGTTCAAACGATTCTGCTGCCTCAGCCTCCCTAGTAGCTGGGATTACAGGCATATGCCACCACACCTGGCTGATTTTTTTAGTTTTAGTAGAGATGGGGTTTCACCATGTTGGCCAGGCTGGTCATGAACTCCTGACCTCAGGTGATCCACCCACTTTGGCCTCCCAAAGCACTGGGATTACAGGCGTGAGCCACCATGCCCAACCAAAATCACAATTTTTAGATGACTGAGGTAGAGCCCAGTTCACAGATAAAATCATACCATACCGCTTTATTCAGGTTTATTAGAATCTCAAACATTGTCTCATTTCTTAACAATGTTATTTTCTCTGCCTCTCTATTGAGAAATTTTGGCCCCAAGTGTGACCACATGGAGTCATCCTGAGCCCATCCTGTCAGTGACCAGCTGTACAGTGTGTGTGCTCTAAGTGCCTAAGGATGAAACCGACTTCTCAGTTTCTAAGGTCCCTACAGTAGTGTTCTTTCGGTGACCTTCATACTGACCAAAGTCATATATACAGTATTTTGTAGCTTTTCCTTTTTGGTGAAAGACAAAGAACACTACATTTAAATTATGTCCATTTCTGTTTGCCTGTTTAACCAATGTCATTTGATCCTGTTGTGAATTTATAGTCCAAGTGAATGATTCTCAATACTCCCAGTACAAAGACCTCCACTTACTGTCCAGTTTTCACGGAGCCCTACAAGAAAGTATATTCTTAGTATCCATTATTAGAGAACATATAATGACAAATATGTTACTAGGAACTGAGATATATGTATTTTTTATAAACTTATTTTTTATTTTTTTTGAGACTGAGTCTCACTCTATCGCCCAGGCTGGAGTGCAGTGGCGTGACCATGGCTCACTGCAACTTCCGCCTCCCAGGTTCAAGTGATTCTTGTGCCTCTGTCTCCTGAGTAGCTGGAATTACAGGCACCTGCTACCATGCCCAGCTGATTTTTGTATCTTTAGTAGAGATGGCATTTCACCATGTTGGCCAGGCTGGTCTTGAACTCCTGACCTCAGGTGATCTGCCCACCTCGAGTTATGTTTTAATGAATTGGTATTTTTATTAATCACATCTACACTGAAATTTGAAAGACATTTTATATATATATGCATAAAACTTTTTCAAAGACCACAACATGGTTTTTTTATATATTTACATTAATTCAGGGTGAGACCAATTTTAAGCAATAACTTGAGATATAAGGCATCTTAGAAACCTGTGTAAAGGCTTAAGAATATGACATAAAATGGGACAATGGTAAAATAAACCATCCCTGTTAATCCAGTGTTTAAGATGGACTTCTGGGGAGTTAGCAGCCTATTCGTTTACACAGCAGATTTTAGAAGTTACTTTTTTTTTTTTTTTTTGCTGGTTTTGTGTTTGGGTCCAACTCATGTCCAAATTATGGCCTTTTTGTGATACCTTCCACTGGCATATTCCCAAGGAATTTACTCCTTTTGATGACACTGCACCCAGAATGGAGGAACACAGCTACAAAATGAACTATAAAGAAGGGCTAGGCAGGCATGGTGGCTCACACCTATCATCCCAGCACTTTGAGAGGCCAAGGCAGAAGGATCACTTGACGCCAGGAGTTCACAACCAGCCTGGGCAATATGGCTGTCTCTACAAACAATATAAAAAATAACGTGGGCATGGTGGCACGTGCCTATAGTCGCAGGTACTCAGGAGGCTGAAGCCAGAGAATAGTTTGAACCCAGGAGTTCGAGGCTGCTGTGAGCCACAACTGGCCACTGTACTCCAGCCCAGGCGATGGACTGAGACCCTGGCTCTAGGAGAAAAAAGGTGGGTAGCTGCAGTAAATCACATTTTTTCTTTGACGGACCCAACAGAAGGCCCAGTTGTTGCTAGATCTCTTCCTGAGGATAGTGTCAGGGCTCATTCTATATTTTTAGAGCTTTGAGCCTTCAAATAACATTGAAACATGTAAAGGGGCTTTCTTTTCCTCATGTATGACTGTCATGTGTATATATGTGTCTGTGCATTGTGATTTGAGGGGTAGGAGACAGAGGGAGAGGGAGTGGTGGGTGGAAGGGCACTGTTAGATTTTAATACTTATAGCCTGAATAAATTATATTCTCTTTCTCCTTTTGATTTTGTTAATTTTGGAAGCACTTACATTCTATGGGCGCAGGTTCTAAACACATAGTAGACACTCAATATAGACTGGTTGGATGGTTAAGGGATGCTCTGATAGTTCTTTTGTGTATCTTGAGAACTAAGGTATAAAAGATTGATTTAAATATTTTTGAGAAACTGTGTTTTTTAAACATTTTATATTTCTGTAATTAGCCAGTTAAAATGACAAGAAGGCCAAAACACTTCCTGGTTGATATGCAGCATTTAATGTATCACACCTTCAACTGATGACCATAGTCACTTCCCAACCTGACAAATGAATAACAGACTAAAAATTAATTCAGGACAGCTGATCACACCTGCTATCTTAAGGCTAATCATAGCTGCCTAACCACTGACTTGCATTAATGGCTAACATTGTTGAAACTTTATTTCCTCCTTATGAATCAACTATCTTATTAGGAGTGATTGAAATTATACGAAGTTTGTTCTTCACTGGTGTGCAGGCTTATACTGTAATTGCCTTTTAAGTATTTAAAGTACTGTATTGTAACTGCCTTTTAAGTATTTAAAAGTATTTAAACAGCTGCTATTATGAACAGTAGATGCTTCACATGAACTTTTTTTTCCCTCTTGGCTCTTACTTTAAGGATGATGCTTTTTTATTCATGATAAATCTTGAGGCTTCTGTGGGATGGAAACTATAGCATGAAAATCTGATTAACAAATATGTGGGGGCAGTTTACTAATCCATTCAATTAGGGCAACTGCACCTTCTCAGCATGCCATGAGCAATTCCATTAGATAGCTAGTTACTGGACCAGATGATTACCTAATTACATGAATATATCAGTGTCATTTTTCCCAACACAGGACTTGAAGGCCAGATTTGAGAACTAGTCCTGGGGTAGTAGTACCCAGAGACCTGTTTGGGAGACTGGGAAGGTCTGGGCCATCACGTTCTTGCTGATAGCCCAGAGATCAGGTCAAGGACAGGGGCAATGAGAAGAAAGAAACAGAGACCCTGGGAAGGAGCTATCTTGGTCTTTACCGGCAAGAATTAACTTCAAAGATGGGACAGAGGTTCTATAAGTTCAAGAAAGGGAGAAAGTTAACACTTAAAAACATAGGCTGGATTGGATAAAGTACCGTTGGAGCACTTTTATTCCAAGAAGAAGCTGGAATTCGGAGTGACAGCTCCATTCTTATTTGCCATGTGAACTCTGGGTCAGCAAGTGGAAGAGCCAGACCTATCTGCCTGTTTCATCTATTAGATGGGAAGAGATGATAAACATAACATAAATTAGTAAGCAGATGTGATAAGTAACTGAAGAACAGTTGTTTTCTATCCTTAATAGATACGGCTAAACCAGCTGAAGGTTAACAACATAAATATTTTAATATCTAGGTATTTTTGATGTCCTATACTCTAGAAATATGTGCAAATTAAAGTGTGGTGGGGATGAAGTATTACTAATCTATTTCCTTGGATAAGGTTATATATCCCTCTCTCTACTCTACCCTCCTTAGCTACAAGTTCAGGAACAACACAATAAAGGACAAAAGACTCTCACATCCAATTTCAAATTGGTTTCTCATTTATTGCCATCATTCTAAATCAAAGCACTCTACCTGTTCCCAAAGGAAGTGACAGATAAAGCCCTTGAACTGGCAACTGGAAGAACTAGAAGTAGGCTTTTGCTCTTCGGTAGGCCCAGAAGATTATGACCACTGAGTTGGGCTGGTTTCAGGCCAATGTAGAAAGGAAGCAGCAGGCCTCACACTGGAGTCCTCCAGCACAGGGAGCTGGTCCGCTCTGGATGCTGCCCATAGGCGGTCTTTTTCAGATAAAATACATCAGTCCCCTGGATTTAGGTGCCCCAGAATGTTCTCAAAAACTGTTCTTATATCTTATTAAAGTAAAAATTACAGTGAAATACAGTAAACAGATGTTAAAGGTACAATCTAACATGTTTTAACATATACCTCATGTAACTAACATACCAATTAAGATATAGAATTTTTTAATAGCCTAGAAAGTTATTTCAGGGCCTCTTCCAAACAGTCCTTACTTCTTCCCACCCAAAGGGAATCACTACTATGATTTCTATTCATAGGGTCACTATTGTCCAATCTTGAAATTCATATAAATATGATCCATCTTTTTTATCTGGCTCAACATGTCTGAGATTCATCCATGTGGTTTGACATACCAATAGTTCATCCTTTTTTAATTGTCAAGTTATATTCCATTTTGAGGATATCCCTAATTTGTTTATCCATTTGATTTGCCTACTGATGGACATTTGGGTTGTTTCCAGCTTTGACTATTGTGAATAAAGAGGCTATGGATATTGGTATACAGATTTTTAAAATACCTGTGTTTCCATTTGTCTTAGATAAATATCTAGAAATGAAATGGCTGGTTCACAGGGTAAGTGTGTGGTTAACTTTTTAAGAAACAGCCAAGGAATTCTTTAAAATGGTTGTACCATTTTACATTCCTTCCAGCAATATATGCGTTGCATGTCCTCACCAACACTAAGCACTGGGGTTTTTTAAATTTTAGCAATCTTAGTGTGGGTAATTATATTGTGGTTTTAAAAAATACCTTTTTAAAATTTTTAACATACAGTAAAGCTGACTTCATTTTGGTGAACAAGTCTATGAATTTTAACGCATGTTTAGATTTGTTACAGCCACCACCACAATCGGGATAAAGAATAGTTACATCACTCCAAAAAAGGTCCCTCCTGCTGCCCTTTTGGTCACAGTCTACCCCCAACCTCCTGTCAACCACTAATCTATCATCTGTCCCTATAGTTTTGCCTTTTTCCAGAATGTCATATAAATAAGTAACCTTTTGAGACTAGCTTGTTCAATCAGCATGCCTTTGAGTCATCCATATTGGTGTACATTAACATCTTTGTTGTCAACTTTTGGCAATTATAAAGCTGTGACAGACATTTGCATACAATTTTTTTTCTTTATTTTTTGAGATGGAGTCTCACTCTGTCACCCAGGCTGGAGTGCAGTTGCGTGATCTCAGCTCACTGCAACCTCTGTTCTGCCTCCTGGATTCAGGTGATTCTCATGCCTCAGCCTCCCAAGCAGCTGGGACTACAGGTGTGCACCACTATGCCCTGCTAACTTTCTTGTATTTTCAGTAGAGACAGAGTTTCACCATGTTGGCCAGGCTGGTCTCAAACTCCTGACCTCAGGTGATCTACCCACCAAGGCCTCCCAAAATACTGGGATTACAGGCATGCGCCACCGTCCCCAGCCAGCATACAATTTTTTTATGTGAACACAAATTTTCATGTATCTAGGGTAAATTTCTAGGAGTGGGATTGCTGGGTCTTCTATGTGGTTATTCCAACTTTGTGAGAAACTGCCAAACTTTTCCAGAGGCCATGTCATTTTGCATTCCCACCAGCAATGTATGAGAGTGCAGTTGCTCTGTATATGCACCAGCACTTGGTATTATTTTTACCCATTCTAACAGCTACATAGTGGTTTCTTATCATGGCTGTAATTTGCATTTCCCTAATGGCTAATGATATTGAGCATCTTTCATGTACTTATATTTGCTATCTATAGGTGGTACCAAGTGAACTGCCTAAATCTTTCAAATCTCGTTTTCTAAACTGGGTTGTTGTCTTGCTATTGAGTTTTGATACTTATATATTCTGGATTCAAGTCATTTATTGGCTAGATGATGACTTGCAAATATTTTTTATATTTGCTGTTTTTTTTTCAATCTTTTAACTGTGTTTTTTTTTCCAGAGCAAATCTTTTTCATTTTGATTCAGTCTAGTTTACCAGTTTTTTTCTTTCATGGTTCATGCTTTTGGTATCACATCTAAGAACTCTTTTCCTAACCCAAGATCGCAAATGTTTTGTCTTCTTGTTTTATAGTTTTACATTTTACATTTAAAACTATGATCCCTTTTGAGTTAATTTTTCTATAAAGTATAAGGTATAAGTAGATTTTGGTGGGGGGAGAGTATGTGAATGTCCAATTGTTCCAATCCCATTTGTTGAAAAGATTATCCTTTTTGCATTCATTGTTTTTGGACATGTCAAGTATCAGTTTACCATATTTTTATGGGTGTATCTCTGGACTTGTTTCTGTTTCATAGGTTTGTGGCTAGCCTTTTGTCAATATAGCACTAATTACTGTAGCTTTATAGTCATTCTTAACATTAGATAATAGGAGTACTCCAAATTATTGTTCTTTCTCAAAATTGTTTTGGCCATTCTAGTTTGTGTTTCCATGTATAATTCAGAATCTGTGTGTGTGTGTGTGTGTGTGTGTGTGTGTGTGTGTGTATCTATATATCTATATATATAAAACAAATCCTGCTGGGATTTTGACTGGACTTTTAGAATCCATTTGTCAATGTCTACAGAAAAGCCTGCTGGAATTTTGCCGAATATACATGTTAATTTGGGGAGGACTAAGAATATTGTCTTTCAGATCATGAACAGCATTTGTCTGTTTGTTTAGGTTCTTTACTTTTTCTCAGTAACATTTTGTATTTTTCACGTACAACGTACACAATACAAAATGCAGTTTTCCTTCATATGCTTTGTTAAATTTATCCCTAAGTGTTCATGTTTTTGATGCTATTGCAAATGGCATTAATTTCATCTTCTGCTAAGTTTGTAGAAATTACTTTTTATATGTCACTTTTATATGTTAAGACCTTGCTACAATTATTCCAGTAAATTTTTTTTGGGGGGAGGCCATATAATCTTTAAAATTTTCTCTATACAATTTTGTCATCTGCAAATAATGGCAGTTTTCTCCTTCTCTCAATCTTTATGCTTTGTATGTCTTCCCTTCCTCATACTCAGTGGGACTTCCGGTAAAATATCAAACAGAAATCATGAGAATGACTATTGCTGCCTTGCTCCTGTCATAGGGAAAAAGTGTTGTCTTTCACCACTAACATTACTTTTGAGGAAGGCCTTCCTATTAATACTTTGCTGGGATTTTAAAAATAAAAAATGGTATTTTATCAAAATTTTTTTTCTGTTTCTACTGAGGTGATCATCTGATTTTTTTTATGTTAATATAGTGAATTATATCTATTGTCTTTGGAATATCCTTGAATTTCTGGTATAAATCCACTCAGTCATCATGTTTTATCCATTTTACACGTTAGATTCAATTTGCCAACTTCTGGGTCTATGTTCATGAGGGATATTGGCCTGTGGAGTTTTGTCTTCTTGGTAATACTGGCCTCATATAGAATAATTCGGGAAATCTTTCTTTCCTCTTTCTCTCTTTTCTGAAGAGTTTAGATAAGACTGGTATTACTTCCTCGTAATGGCCTTGGTAAGAGTTCTCTAGTGTAGCCATTAGGGCCTGGAGGTTTCTTTTTGGAAAGATTTACAATTTCTTTAATTGATGTAGGGCTATCATTTTTTTCTTGTGCCAATTTTGGTAATTTGATATTGGCATAAAATTGTTTATATTATTCCTGTTTGCCTTTTAAACGTATATAGATGTCATAATGCCCATTACACATCTTAATATGTGACTTTTCTTGATCAGTCTGTATAGAGATGTATCTATTAGATCTTTTTAAAGAACCAGCATTCATTCTGTTGTCTCTATCGTATGCTTCACTGATTTCTGTTCTTACCTACTTCTGTCTACTTATTTTGGGTTTAATTTGCTTTTCTTTTTTTAGCTTAAGGTGAAAGCTTATATCACTGATTTAAACTTTTCTTCTTTTCTATTATAAGCATTTAAGTATATAAATTTCCTTCTAAGCTCTAAAACTAATGCATTTCAAAATTTTGATGTTTTGGCTTTTGTTTAGTTGAAACTATATTTTAATTTCTCCTGTGATTTTCTTCTTTGTCCCATGGGTTATTTAGAAATATGTTTAGTTTCCAAATATATGAGGCTTTTCTAGATATTTTACTCTCTGGGGTGGTTAGAAATTGTACTGTGTAATGTTTTAAGCCTTTGAAATCTGCTGAGACTACCAATAGTCTATCTTGGTGAATGTTCCATATGCACTTGATAAGAATATGTAATAGTTGTTGGGTGTAGTGTTCTGTGAATATCAACTCAAGTTGGAGCATAATGTTGTTCAGAACACGTATTTTTTCTTTGACTATTCTAGTAATGTTTTAAGTCTCCAGCTATGCTTGTGGGTTTGTCAGTTTTAAGTTGTGTATCTTTTATAGATAGCATATAGTGGGTGTATTTTTTAAAAAAATAATAGACTGTTTTTCAGAGCAGTTTTAAGTTAACAGAAAAATGGAGCAGGAAGTAGTGTTCCCACGTATCCTGTGTATACACACACACACACACACACACACACACACACACACACACACGCAGCATCTCCCACTAGACACATCGCAATCACCTGAAATCCACGTTATTTTAGGGTTCATTCCTGGTGTTGTACAACCTATGGTTTTTGACAAATGTATGACAGAAATCCATTATTAGTATCATATAGAATAGTTTCATTGCCTTAAAAATTGTCTGTTCCACCTATTCATCTCAGCCTCTTCCATAACCCTTGGCAACCACTGGTCTTTTTACTGTCTCCAGAGTCTTGCCATTTCTAGAATGTCATATAGTTGTAATCATACAGCATGTACCCCTTTCAGATTGGCTTAACTTAGTAATAAGTATTTGAGGTTCCTCCTTTTCTTCCCATGGCTGGATTATTATTTTTTGAGGTGGGGTCTTGCTCAGTCACCCAGGCTGGAGTGCAGTGGTGCAATCAATCTTAACTTACCACAACCTTCAATTCCAACTCCTGGGCCCAAGTGACCTCGGCTTCCTGAGTAGTTAAAACTGTAGGTGTGCACCACCATGCCTGGCTAATTTTTTTCATATTTAATTTTTTTGTAGAGACGGGGTCTTGCTATGTTGCCTAGGCTGGTCTTGAACTCCTGGGCTCAAATGATACTCGCCTCAGCCTCCCAAAGTGCTGGGATTGTAGGCGTGACTATGCCCAGCCTAACTCATTTATTTTTAATGCTGAATATGTTCCATTGTTTAGATGTGCCACAGTTTACCCATTCACCAAGAAGGACATCTTGCTTGCTTCTAAGTTTTCAAAGTTATGAATAAAGCTGCTACAGACATCCATATGCAGATTTTTGCATGGATTTAAGCGTTCAACTTATTGGGTAAATACCAAGAAGCAGAACTGCTGGATCATACAGTAAGAATGTTTCACTTTCTAAGAAACTGCCAGACTGTCCTCCCAAGGTAACCGTACCATTTTGCATTCTCACCAACAGTGAATGAGAGTTCTGTTGCTTTTGCCATTATCTCACTGTTTAAATTTACAATTCCTGAATGACATGATGTTGAACACTTTTCCATACGTTTATGTGCCACCTATATGTAAGAAGACTTCCGTGAGGTGTCTGTCCAGATCTTTTGCCCATTTTTCAATTAGCTTGTTCATATTTGTATTGTTGACTTTTAAAAGTTCTTTGTATACTTTAGATAACAATCTTTTATCAAATATGCTTTTGCAATATTTTCTCCCAGTCTGTGGCTTGTCTTCTCATTTTCTTGACCATGTCTTAAACAGAGCAGTTTTTTAGTGAAGTCCAACTTATCAATTATTTCTTTAACACATCATGCCTTTGGCACTGAATCTAAAAGGTTGTCGCCAAACCCAAGGTTATCTGGATTGTCTCCTATGTTATCTTCTAGGAGTCCTATTTTATATTTAGGTCTATGATCCATTTCAAATTAATTTTGTGAAGGGTTTAAGAACTGTGTCCAGCTTTTTTTTTTTTTTTTTTTTTGGCATATGGATGATTTGTTTGTTCCAGCACTCGTTGAAAAGACTATGTATGTGTGGTTTGGATTTTTAAACTAGTCTGATCATCTCTGCCTTTCAATTGTTATTTTTAGTCCATTTTCTTTCAGGTAATTTTTCACATGGAAGGCTTTTTCATATGTTGGTTTTCTAATTGTCCCTCCCCAACCCCCAATGTTCTTCCTTTCCTGTCTTCTTCTGGGTTAAACGTATCTAATTCCTTTCCTCATAAGTCATACTTGCATTATCTCTTTAGTGGCTGCTCTATGTTTTAAATCTTTTCCCTCCATTTTTCAGATTGGACACATCTATAGATTTATGTTCAAGTTCACTAATCCTATCTTTTCCAACATTCAGTAGTCCACACAATGAATTTTTCATTTCACATCTTGTACATTTCAGTTACTGATTTTCCATTTTTATTTTACAATTTCCATTTCTCTGAGATTCTTTTTTTGTTCACTAGTTTTTCCTTTATTTTCTTGGGTATACTTAAATAGCTACTTTAAAGTTCTATTATTAATTTCTATTAAGAAATGCTGGGTCTTTTTTTTTTTTTTCCCTTGATTATGGGTCAGATTTTCCTGCCTCTTTGTATGGCTAGTAATTTTTTAATTGAATGGTAGGCATTGTGAATAATACCTTGTAAGGCATCTGGCTTATGTTATCTTCCTTTAAATGGTATTGTTTTATTTCTTGTTAAAGAGGATTATTTCTGTTTGAACTTAGTCAAATGTGGTCCATAGGCTGGCTATTTTTGTAAATGAAGCTTTATTGGATATAGCCATGCCCATTTGTTTAATATTAATATATTATCTGGCTTCTTTTGTGCTATAATAGCAGAGCTGAGTAGTTGTAACATAGACCCTATGTGTCTTAGTCCATTCAGGATGGTATAACAAAATACCAGAGACTAGTATGGAGTATTTAGAAGACTGGGTGTTTATCAATCAGTCACACAGATTTATTTCTCATGGTTCTGGAGGCTGGGAAGTCCAAGTTTAAGGCATGAGCATATATGGTGTCTTGTGAAGGCCTGCTTTGTGGTTTACAGCTTTTCACTGTGGCCTCACATGTCAGTAGGGGCAAGGGAACTCTCTGGGGTCTCTTTTATGAGAGCACTAAAACTCTAATATCATCACCCAAAGGCCCCACCTCCAAATACCATCACGTTGGGGATTAGGTTTCAATATATGAATTTGGAGAAGCCACAAACATCCTAGCTCACAAGCCTAAGTCATAGCCCTTTAAGAAAACACTTGCCAAACCTTGTTTAGGGTATACTACTGATTCCTAAGGTGTCGCATTTCTTGAGTAGTAACTAAATACGAAAGTGTTCAATGAGATTGCTCCACTCAGGCTGCAATTCCAAGGATTCTAAGTACTGTATAACTTCTGGTGTCACTGTTCAACTCTTAAGTCCTAGAGGAAGTAATCGTTTGCTAACACTTTGCAGATCCTTATCCTGGACATGCACATCCCAGTACCCTTGCCAAGTCTCATGCAGATTTCTGCCTCTCTTCCCAATCTTGAACTCTATCTTATAAATTCCAGCTGTTTTAGTAACCCTAACCTCTGTTGCATCAGAGTTGCCACTCTCTGACTCTCCTGGGGCTCAACTCCCACGGTAATGCTGGGAGATACCCCCAGGTAGAATCCCACAATGACCATCTGTGGGATTTAACATCTTGTGTTTTTCTTCTCTCAGGGATCACAATCCAGTGTTGCTTGTTGCTCTATGCCTGAAAATAATGGCAACATATATTTTGTCTGGTTTTAAAACTGGTTTTGGCAAATGCACAAATCTGGCACTACTTTGTTAGGGTAAGAAAAAGCTGCTTTTGCAAAACAAAAGGTCTTAAAAAACAGAATATTCTGATGGTTCCACTGATGGTTCCACTCACAGCCTTTTATTTATCTGACACTCATTGAGTTCTCCAAGTAATTTTTTTCAGGTTAACCATGTCCAATTCCCTTAACCATCCCTCACAGTAAAAACTAGACACTATGAAAAATCATAACATGCTGATGATTAACAACCAAGACAGTCCCCATCTTCAGTTCAGGCTAGTAAACAAGACAGACACCACACATAACTTGTTTCCCTTTTAAAATTAACATCTCTGAAGTATGCAGCGTGAAGCAGGGCATACAGAACTAAAGGTAATTAAAAGCAGAAGACTGCCTTTCCTTTCTTACCCTCATATCACTCTTATTAGGGGTAGGAACAGATGTAGTATTATGAGAAACTGGGTAGAATTTATAGAATAATATATGGTGGTAGACCTGGCAAACATCACCTCCTCTGGACATCCTTAATTACAAACTATTAAAAAATGAATTAGATGCACGCAAGCTTTTGCCTTAAGATCAGTGGTTTCAGGCCAGGCACAGTGGCTCACGCCAGTAATCCAAGCACTTTGGGAGGCTGAGGTGGGCAGATCACTTGACCCCGGGAGTTCAAGACCAGCCTGGGCAAAATGGCAAAACCCTGTCTCTACAAAAACTTAGGTAGGCATGGTGACTTGTGCCTGCAGGCCAGCTACTCAGTGGGCTGAGGTGGAAGGATCACTTGAACCCAGGAGGTCCAGGCTACAGTGAGCCGTGATTGCATCCTTTACTCCAGACTGAGTTAACAGAGTAAGACCCTGTCTCAAAAAAAAAAAAAAAAAAAAAAAAGGTGTTTTCAGAAACAGATTTTATGAATTTTTAGAGCTATGTTTTTAGTCCCAAAACTAAGATACAATCAGGGACCATTAATCTCATTCATAGAGATTACCTGTGCTTCTTACACTCAGTCCTCTTTAAAATGAAGCTGTCTTGTATTGTTTTAGTTATCCTTAAGTCCCTTAAGAGGAGTTCATTCTGTGATAACACACACTTGGGAGGCTTAGAAGGCACATCACAAGCATTGTCATCTATTTATTGACCAAACATCAAACAAGGGTAGGAATGAGACATTTAGGAGGAAAAACCTTTAACCTTAATCTGAGCTTCTGTACAATTTCACAGGGAACAGTCAATAGGTGGCTTTGCTATATGTAACCTATATTGTTTAGACGTGGCACTAGAGTAAAGCCAACATTGTTTACTACTCTTTGAGTTGTAAATATGTGACCAGGGGATAAAGCCAGACTCTAACAGTAGTCCAAGATCTGTAGGTTCATGAGGTTTGGGGAGGAACAAAATTTTGATGTGCTTGTTTTGCTTGACAGTATAGATCAGGACTCAGCAAACATTTTTTGTAAAGGGTCAGATAGTACATATTTTAAGCTTTGTGGGCCACATGGTCTGTCACAGTTATTCAGTTCTGCTGTTGTAGTATGAACGCAGCCATGGACACATGTAAACACGTGAGCATGGCTGTACAAAAATAGGTAGCTGGAATTTGGCCCAATGGTTTGCTAGCCCTTGGTATAGATAAATCTAAGCTAGCAAAAATTGAATTGTTTTGGTATAGATAAATCTAAGCTAGCAAAAATTGAATTGTTTTCAGTTTTATAAAATATGCAAGATCTTGAAAAAAAGTTTTCCTATTTTGCAAGTTGCCATTTTTATTGAGTGATTATCTTTTTCTTCTACTGATAAGATAAAGCTGTTTGTTTTTACCTCAGATTTCTTCCATGTGACCAAAGTGATGAAAGGATTTTTACATGCCACTCAATCATACACTATTTTGCATTCTGTAACTTCAAAATGAAACCTACCTTCTCTTGACAGGTAAACACTACACGTGAAGAGTGGTGAAAGGGAACATTGATTACTGAAGTGCCCTGGAGAGGGAAAGCACTGGTCAACATCACATGGACAAATTTCATTGTTTTCTAAAGATGGCCTGGAAGTAGTCTTTGCCACTGCTTCCTCCACAAACAGCTCTTCATAACATGGGCTGCATGAAATCAAAGCAAACTTTCCCATTTCCTACCATATATGAAGGTGAGAAGCAGCATGAGAGTGAAGAACCCTTTATGCCAGAAGAGAGATGTCTACCTAGGATGGCTTCTCCAGTTAATGTCAAAGAGGAAGTGAAGGAACCTCCAGGGACCAATACTGTGATCTTGGAATATGCACACCGCCTGTCTCAGGATATCTTGTGTGATGCCTTGCAGCAATGGGCATGCAATAACATCAAGTACCATGACATTCCATACATTGAGAGTGAGGGGCCTTGAGGCTGTAGGATGACAACACTTTGACTGTGGAGGTGCTAGTTTGAATAAATGTGACAAAAGCAAAAACTGGTGTGAAAAAGTACAAATAACTATCTGGATTTAAAAATGTGTCTACGATAATGTCACTATTATAAGAACAACTAGGATGAAATGCATTTTAAGTACTTCTATGTTAACAGCAATTTCTGTTTAGTCTTAGATTTTAGTCATCTGAAGGGCTGAACAGAGGTCCTGTGACACCCAATAATCAGCTGAATGTCACAGCACTTCTTCCTAAGTAATGGCATCACCAAAGAAAATGCTAAGGAATAAAAACTGCCCCAAATTCCAATGGTTGAAGTTTATCCTTTAAAATAACAATTTTTGTTTGTTTATACCCAAAAAAAGTCCAGATATGAAAAGGGCTTTTCTAAAATTTCTTGGCGAGGGAATGGCACTCAAATCATAGTGATTAACAGTAAGTCTTGTTTGTTTGTCAAGGATCTCTACTTCTTGACACAAATGAACCCTGTCTTTAATAAGATAAGATATTTATTTTTGTAGATGAGAAGTGTAACTACCACCTTGGACCTCAGGGCCCTAACTAATTACAGCTGTTACTGGACGACTCAGACTTTGTGCCTAAAGCCATCTTAGAGATAACAGTTTATAGAAGCCATGACATTAGTGTTTATTGCATTGAATTAAGCCCAGTGATATAACTATACAAGAAAACAAGTAGGGGTACCTTTTACAAAGAGCAATCCAATAAATCTTAAAAATAACAGAAACTTAGTCTGCAAGGTAGAAAGTTTCAGTTTTAATTCTGTATTAAGCTTTACTATCTCAGAGGTACAGAGGGCTGGAATATGGGCATTTATTTCCAGTTTTTTCTTGACTAGTAAGGCGGTCACCATTAAAATAGACCAGATAATGCATGAAGATTTACAGTTGTATTGCAAAACGGAAAAGATAAAACTGTCCTTTGAGGAGAGTACTCGTTTTCTGGGTTTTTGTTATTTTTTAGTGGTAACACAAGCCTATAGGGCATTTATAGCCACCTATTATACTGTTTCCATAAGCCTGGCTACCTTTTAGGGAAGCTATTTTTTCTCTTTCATTTTTACTGTCACAGCACATACACACACACCTTTTTGTTTTAAAGGATTAAGTACTGTTTGAAGATCAGTGGTAACAGAAAATTTGGGAGGGAGAAGAAGAAATTAAGACATGACTTGTTAGAAAATTAAGACTTCAGTTTCTAGAATTATCTTTTCATCAAGATTTGGTAGACATTGAGTTTAAATGGAAAGGAAATTATTTAAGCCTGTGTATGTTAGATCCACAATACACCATTGGTATTGAAATATAAAGGTTAAAAAAAAGGCTTATGACCTCTTTAATGAGATAAATATGTATTTGTCTTGTAAGCAGGCAGAAAATCTACCTCTAATTTTAACACTAATACTTTGAAACCCACAATCAAATAGAGTGAATTCTCCAAGTTACATAAGCAAGGAAAACATTATTTGAAATATGCCATGTTTTCGTTGCCTTTGGACACCTCATCATTCAACTCTAATTTTACCGAGTCCCGGGATTTGTACTGTCCCATTGTACTTGCAATCTACAATTTATATAATAGAAAAACAACCAAACCCATTCATACAAGGATCTGAAGTTATAAGGTTAAGGGCAGAAAGTTTCCCATAAGTATAAAACATTTCCAGGTCATGAAGAGTAGTTTAGGTTGAGTGACAAAAGCCTAGGTGTGGTTGTTTTTCATTCATTTTGCATCTCACACCAAGACATTTTTGCTGCAAGGTCATCTGCTGCTTAAAATGTACAATTAGGTATATAAAATAAGTACAATGGTGAAAACACAAAGCCAGGTAAAGCAGCATGCCCCACTAAACTTTTCAGTATACATAGGGACAGACAAGTGAGTTTTGGTTGTATCTAAATATTTTAATTTCAGGTTCCTTCTGTGCCCTGGGCCACTATTTCCCAGGGGTGTGACAGAGATGCCTGCCAGATCCATATCAACTAGAAGTCTGATTTCTGTTGCTGCCCTTCCTCAGCAACTATGGCAGTATACTTTTATCACCAAGCACCACTCCCTTGTCCCTGAATCACATTTTAATAGAGTACAATATCTTCTGTACAATATTTCTGAAACACTTATGTCTGAAATATATGCTGTATTGTATGTTAACCCATGACATATATGAACTACAAGGCTTGCATAATCAGTGAGCTAGTGGATAAATCAAGACAGGAGCAAATGGGAGAAAGATGAATAAACAAATGAAAAAAGATGAATAAATGAATAAGAGAGATGAATAAACAAATTTACATTACATGTGATAGTTATCATGGTATGGCCTTCATGACAAGATGGATGAGAATATCACTGATAGGATATTAGCCTTCTTTCATATCTTTATATTGAAATATGGGCTTTACTTCAATTTGAAGGTCTTTCATGAACAATAAAAGAGAGTAGAAGGACTGTCTGAGAAGGCAGGAGACATATAAAACAGATGACTGAAAGACTGACTAGCTCCTGGAAAGGGAAACATTTGGAACATCCAGAGTAAGGGCAAATGGGCTTCTACCAGCACAACAAAGAGCCTCCAGGTGGCAACATGGAAGCAGGTTATCAGAGAAAATAAATGTGCAAATTCCTTATTTACAATGACTCACTTAACCCCACAAACATGTTTCACTGCTGCCTTCCCCAGTTGTCGCTTATGTACTGTTGTTACCTTTCAGTTACATGCCTTTGATCCTAAAATTCTCTACTTTTGTTGCCTTATCAGTTCTTTGCAATCTGCCTGTGGTTATCAGCACTTAAAGCACAATTTTGAAGGGGAAAAAAATGATAATCACCTTAGTCCCAAAGAAATAATTTGTCAAACTGCCTTATTAGTATTAAAAACAGACACACTGAATGAAGTAGCATGATACGCATATATCCTACTCAGTATCATTGGCCTTTTATCAAATGGGGAAACTATACTTTTGTATTACATAGTTTTAGAAATCGAAAGTTAGAGACTCTTTATAAGTAATGTCAAGGAACAGTAATTTAAAAACAAAGTTCTAACAAATATATTGTTTGCTTAATCACAATGCCCTCAACTTGTATTTGAATAACTAAATAGGACATGTCTTCCTTGGAGCTGTGGGCATTAGTTCAGAAGCACTACCTGCATCTTAATTTTCAAAACTTAAGTTTTATTAGCAAATCCTCTTCTCTGTAAGACTTAGCTATGAAGTGGTATATTTTTTCCAAATATTTTTCTGAAAACATTTGTTGTTGTAACTGCACAATAAAAGTCCAGTTGCAATTAACTAGTGTGAGCTCTTATTTAACTGAAGCAAATGCTTTCTGACAGTGTGTACTTTGAATTTTTTAACAATATAAAAGACAACATTTTCTGCATTGTTAACAAATATAGAGAACAAAAATCCATTTATACAAATAATTTCTTGGATCATTCAGGTCCAATTTAGGACCTTTAAGAGTATAAATGTAAATGTATCCGATATCATGGCATCTTTATTCCAGATCTGTTACTGAATTATTTGAAAGAAAAATGCTTCACATAAAACAGATTAAGAACTGAGAAAACATAAAGCAATACCTTCTGGGCTGCCATTTCCTCATCTATGAGAAGGGTGCAGGACATGATCTTTAATGTCTTTTTCAGTTCCGTTGGCTTTTTATTCTTACAAACCTGAAGTTCACTTAGTTTCTAAAGAGTATGGGATGAAGGAGAAACTATAACAAGTTACAAAAAATTTATTTTGTTTATAAACAAAAATTACAAACAAAAAATTATAAATTTTGTTTGTTAATTTATAAACTTACCTTTAAAATTAAACAAAAATTACAAACAAAAAACAAAATCATAAATTTTGTTTACTTTGTTAATTTATAAACTTACCTTTAGTTTAAAAATTATTCTTGCCTAGAACTTTAAGGTTCTGAGTCTGGAATACCTTTTAGTTCTTTCATACCTTAAAAAGTACTTACTTCATTAACAATATCAATTATTGAATATATCTTTTGAACAAAAGTCTTCTTGCTTTCAATTAATTTTTTTCTCCTGACTTGAACCTTGTTTGTAAGGATAATTATCACACAAAAGTCTTACGTAAATTATAAAAAAACAGAGTGTCTCTATCTAAGAGATTGGAGTTTCCTAATTTCTCATTCTACCAGATTAACAAATATCACAAATAACAAGAAAATAATCCTTTCAGTTTCACCATGGGATGGTATTCTGATTATTTTAGGGAAGACCAAGTCTGAGTTAATACTGAAGAGGGACGTTAATAAAAATCTTTTCTCTCTGCCCAAGGTTTCTAATGTTTATAAAAGGAGCTCTTCTGCTACAGTAACTCAGTTACTTTAAAACACACTCATATATGGAGAAAATTCTATGAGGCATTAACACAGTATCCAAAACAAAAATTCTATGAGGCATTAACACAGTATCCAAAACAATTTTCAGGGTCTTTATTTTTTATATTGTATACCTAAGTTGATTTCATCAACATACAAGCCAAACGAAGATCCCATTTCAATTAGATATACCACTCAAGAGAATCTCCAAAGATCTTCACATTTTTCCATCTTCTAAAACAAGGATTGACAAACTTTTTTCTGACAAAAACCAGACAGTAAATAATTAGGCTTTGTAGGCTTTACCATCTCTATTGCAACTACTCATTTCAAAGCAGCCACAGATAATATATAAACAGATGAGTATAGCTAGTTCCAATAAAGCTTTATTTGTGAATTCTGATAATTTTCACGTCATGAATTATTAGTCTTTGATTTCTTTTCCCAACCATTTAAAAATGCGGAAACCATTCTTAGCTTACAGGGTATATAAAAACAGGCAGCAGGCTGGATTTGGCCCACATGCTGTAGATTGCCAACCCATGCTACAAAATATACCTTAAAAGCCTGTCACCTCAAAATTTCAAATCACTGCTTCCCAAAGACTTAAAGTGATTATTCAAATCTTCCTCAGTAACTTCTTTTAGATCAGCTGGTTTCCATTTTGGACTCTGGTCTTTATCAATTAAAACTGTCAAGAGAAGATACAAATGTTAATACCATTATTTTTGTCTAATATTGCTAGATTTTACTTACTGAATTGACAGAAATTCTTATACTAGGCACATTTTTCTATCATACTTTTTTCCTGCAAAATTTTTATATGTATTCTATTTTTCTTTTAAATTAAATCTCCAGGGATGGACAGCAATATACTTTTGATGACTGGGGTGGATATTTTCTAACTTCCTAAGCCTCATGTCTTAGCTTTAATAAAGCCTACTGAATTAATCCAGTGGTTTAAACATTAGAATTCTTTTTTTCTTCTTGAAATAAAATTGCCAGTGAAACCTCCACATTACAAAACAGGTAAAACCAGTGGTTTAAAGTAAAGGCAGGGGAGGGCAGAGGGACCAGATGTGCCTTCTAACCTCCTCCACATTGAATTTTGGGAGGAAATTAATTGCTTAAGGTAGAGAAAAGGGGACTTCATGCATAATTAAATGTGGATACTGTTGTTCTGCTGAATCCTCCAGTTCAGACAGCTCTGGATTTAAAAAAATCAGGTTATCATGAAACCGTCTAGTTCTCCTATTTCAGTGTAGTCATCACTCATCATAGCCACATAGTATCCCCACAGGATTATGAGGCAATCTGTAACTTCTCCGAAAAAAAAGGGGGAGGAATGTCCAGTATACTGTAGTTACACACACGTTATCATTTGGGAGACTGGGTGGAAGGTATGCAAGATCTCTATATTATTTCTTACAACCGCATGAATCTACAATGATCTCCAAATTTTAATGTTATGGTTGTGGCAGCAAATTTCAACCATGCTTAAAATGCACATAATTCTTGTGAAGAATGGAAATATTTAAATGTGCAAACTATAGTGAACTAGAAAAACCTAATTTAGCATTTAAAGGCTAAAATAGTTAAAGAAGCAGTATGGGAACCAAGGAAGAAGACTGCCTTGGTAGGTGGAGGGAAGCTTTTACATACAATTAAATGCAGATACGGGAGGTTTGTTTTTAAGATTTAACTGCCTACTATGAGATTCTGGTATCAGATCAGTGGCGATATTAAATACTGATGTTCTGATCCCTACTATTTGAAAGTTTTATATTCCGTGGACAGTGTAAACAAAGAACAACCCCGGCACATTTTTTCCACAAGAATCTCTCTCACTCTAAGTCTTCTGGTCAATACTACCTGTCTCCTTGAGATCCCACTGAAGGACAAGAGCAAAGAGACTATTAATCAAATTTGTTATTTTATTTCAAGCTAACAATTTTTTTACTAGAATACATACAAGTTCGTGCCATGTAGGCAGCTCAGGTTTTGCAAGTCTCCTGAGATAGCCACTACATGGAGTTTGAGTGGGTATCCAGCTCCACTAAGATGGTCTTTTTTTCTTCTTCTATAACCACAAAGTAGTAATTTGTTCTAGATGTTAACAGTAAGAATTTTTAACAACTGTTAAATTTGCTAACTTACTTTAACTTGCTAATATGTTTTTATTATTAGCAAACTGCAGCAAACATTTGACTATGTAAAGAACACAACAGTTTTCAATCTCAGAACAGACGCTGCTTTCTGAAAGAGGCGGCAATATACTTTCTCTTCATTAAAAAGTAGCATAGGCCAGGCGCGGTGGCTCAGGCCTATAATCCCAGCACTTTGGGAGGCTGAGGTAGGCGGATTACGAGGTCAGGAGATCGAGACCATCCTGGCTAACACTGTGAAACCCCGTCTCTACTAAAAATACAAAAAAATTAGGCGTGGTGGCAGGCGCTTTTAGTCCCAGCTACTCGGGAGGCTGAGGCAGGAGAATGGTGTGAACCCGGGAGGCGGAGTTTGCAGTGAGCCGAGATTTTGCCACTGCTCTCCAGCCTGGGTGACAGAGTGAGACTCCATCTCAAAAAACAAAACAAAACAAAAAAAAGTCGTATAATAAGCACTTCCTTTATGAATCAGAACTTTGATGCTGATTGGTTTCAACATTTTTTCCTCAAAATAACAGTATTTATCTAAAAACAGTATCTTTCTTTTTAAAGAAGGGCTATTATAACATATAATGAATACTTTAACAATATAACCCTGTATGCTTACAGGTCCTCTAAAATCAGAGTTCTAGGCTGTAATCCACATGCAGCAAGAATTTGCAGAGAATTTGTGAGGAAAATGCCTATGTTACTTAGTTTCTACAAGACACACTGCCATCTCCTCTGATCAGCTCCATGTGCTGAATACTAAAAAGATTTCAATCAAGTCCTTATTTCTGATATTGTATCATGTCAGAAATGAAGAGAACTCTATGAAGAGTGATTGTTTATCAAAGCTTAAGAGCTGAGAGAACATAACATAACCTTTTATTCAGATAAAAAAGTATATCCAGGCTGGGCACGGTGGCTCATGCCTGTAATCACAGCACTTTGGGAGTCCAAGGCAGCCAGATCACATAATATCAGGAGTTCAAGACCAGCCTGGCCAACATGGTGAAACCCCGTTTCTACTAAAAATACAAAAATCAGCTAGGCGTGGTGGCATGGGCTGGTAGTCCCAGCTACTCAGGAGGCTGAGGTAGGCAAATCACTTGAACCTGGGAGGTGGAGGTTGCAGTAAGCCGAAAGTGCACCACTGCACTCCAGCCTGGGTGACAGTGTGAGACCCTGTCTCCAAAAAAAATAAAATAAAATAAAAAAAACAAAGGATATCCAGAGTCTGCACTATAGTAAAATAATTAATAAAAACAGGAACATTAGATATGCAAAATACATGCAGAGGGAACAACTCATTTTATACAACATAAATAACAGCTTTTTATAAGGATAAGAATTATGCATAAAAAGGAATTGTTGCAAGTATGCTAGAAAAAACAGTCAAGCACGTCAAGCACTTCACTTGCTTTTTCTAAATATGCTGACATTGGAGATTATAAGCAAAATGGAAAGTATTAATAAGACAATCTGCAGATGTTACTAATGACATCATATGGTCTTTTTCCCCAGCAATGTTTAACTGCTGAGGTACAGGCAAGAAGGTGGAAAGTAGGGTTAGACCACTGGTCAATTTTGCCAGGCCAGCACGAAAGAGGGAGAAAGGGTAGGGGATTTGAGGGCTTTTTGTAAGGTAATAAATGCATGTTTCAAAGGCCACAGCAGCAGGATGGCAGCAGGATGAGTTTACAAGCTCAATGCTGCACTTATCAGATGCAGTCCATGATTGTAGGGGCAGGATTACCTTATATATAAATTAGGAAACAGTGGCCAAGTTATGTGAATTTTTAAAACAATTATCAGTTTCAAAGACTGATCTTCCTTTTCATATCCCAGATGGTAACATATTCTTTAAAAACATACACAACTTTGCAATCTTAATAAAAGTTTAATTTTCACTACTAAAACAACTATAGGTTGAGTATTCTTTATCTGGAATGCTTGGGATCAGAAGTGTTTCAGGTTTGATTTTTTTTTTTTTTTTCAGATTTTGGAATATTTGCATTATACTTATGGTCCAATGAACATTTGAGTGTCATGTTGGTGCTCAAATAGTTTCAGATTTTGGTACATTTTGGATTTTAGGATTTGGGATGCATAATCTGTATCTTCTTTAATTAACAGCATATGCTCACAAATCCCATTTCCCCAAAATGGTAAGTTCCCATTTGCCACTTACCAGCTCTAACGCCTTCATGAAAGTCATGACCTCTCTGAAAGAAAATTGAGATTAAATGGGGATAATTTCTGGGTGTCCTTATTCTGGGTTATTTTCTCTCTCCTCTATTCACTTCAGCCTTCCACTCCCATGGCCACAACCTGAACCATGACATTCAGAGACTGAACCACCTCTGATAGCCCACTCTCTGATCACCACCTCCTAAATCTTATTTGCTCAAGTATCTCCACTGCTACAAATCATTGATCTTACTGAGGTCCACAGATCCTATGACTTTCTCCCCATCTGTGCTGGCTTCACTTTGCTCTTCATCCAGCCCAATTTCACCAGTCCTTTAATATGGTCACTTTCCTGTCAAAATGTCATCATCTCCCTCAAACCTTTTTTCCTTTTTTACAATCCTAGCAAAATCCTGGCACCAACTAAACCCTATCACGTACCCCTGCCTGCACTTCAGCAGCTAAGTCTTGCTGCAGAAAATCATACAACTGTGACTGGTTTCATTTAAAATTCATGATCAAAAATCTCAAACAGGCACAGAAAACTGCCAAACAATCCAAGATCTCTTCCCAACTCCCCAAGATAATGATTTTAAGTGTTTTCTGCCTTCTCAACCTCTACCCGTAGAGCACACTCTTATTATAGTCTCAGCCAGTTACTTAACCTCTGACTTCTTTAAAAATACGAGAAGCTCTTAGATATGAAGTCTTGTCTTCTCACCACTAAAACACCTGCAGGCAACTGTGGCCATCTGCACCTGCCTTCTCTTTCAATGCCGTGGAGGAAAGGACCATCCCTTTTTCAAAGACCAGTCCTCCCTTGCATTCCAATTCACATCCCCTCTTGCCTTCTCAAGGATGGACTTTGCTTGATGTGGTCATTCACTTTTATTTTCCTAGAATCATCGATGTAGGCAATATAGCTGAGTTCAAATGTCTAGGTTCACATCCTGATAGCTACATATTAACTATGTGACCTCGGACTAGTAATTTCTCCAACCCTAGTTTCTTTACATGAAAAGGTAATTTATATATCCATCCTAGGATTATTTTAATCCACATCCAAGCACAGTGTCCGACACTAAGTGTTCAGTAAATATTAACTACCATTAGTATCATCAACATAATCTTGTTTCTCTATTGGATCATTCCCAATCATTTTTAAACATGTTCTAGTACCTTCCATCTTACAAAATAAAAAAGGAACTTCATTTGATTCCACAGTCCCAGCTTCTATCCTATTTCACTTTCAAGAGTATTCATCTACACATATTCTCTCCACTTCTTCACATCCCATTTTTCCTCTCCAACTTACTACACTCTAACTTCTGCCCCCACTCCTCTAAAATGGCTTGCCAAAACCACCCATGACATCGGCATCGCCAAGGTCAAATGACACTTCTAACCTCGTCTACACTTTGACAGCGTTCAACACTGTCCATTACACCCTCCTCCCCGAAACATTCCTCACTTTCTTTTGTGACACTACACTCTCCTGGTCCTCCTACCTCTCCATCCTTTTTTTCCTTCCTACTGCTCTTTCTCTACCACACCTCAAAATGTTAGAGTTCCTTAGGGCTCAGGTCTGGACTCTCATTTTCTTTATAATATGATCTTACCTATTCAGTGCTCAACATAGCAGCCTGAGTGATCAATTCTTTAAAGTATAAGATCATGGCATTCCTCTCCTCATAATCACCTAGTGGCTTCCCATTTTACTCAGCCAAAGTCCTTAGAGAGACCTTCAAGGCTCTGTATGCTCTGCACAGCCTTTCTCTACACTGTTTCCTCTGACCTCATCTCTCACTCACCACAACCTCTGCCCCCCATCCGCTTCCACACGGCCTCTTTGTGGTCCCTAGCACAGGCAGTCATGCTCCAGCCTCACAGCTTTGTTCTTGCAGTTCCCACTGCCTGGGATGCTCTTCCTCTAGATAATGGCATGGGCTCACTTCCTTACTTCTTTCAGGAATTCACTCAAAGAACATCTCAGTGAGGCCTTCTCTGGTCATCCCATCTACAATTCATCCCCCTGTTACTCTATATCACATATCCTGCTTCCTTTTTCTTGTTAATATTTATAATCATATAATATATATTTTATGTATTAATCTTGTTTACAGTCTATTTCCCCATTATAAAGTAAGTTCCATGAGGGCAGGTGTTATCCTACTCCCTACTCCCCAAGATAATGATTTAAACTGTTTTCTGCCTTTTCAACCTCAACCCCTGGAGCACACCTATGTACCTGGAACCTATGTACCTGGGTACCTCTAACAGTGTCTACGACATAGTAAGCACTCTTGTTTAGTAAATAACGAATCCCCAAGGTTTTCTTAATTGCTGTTGGTGTCTTTCAGATTTAAATCTCCAACTCATTCCTCTAATCTCTAACTCCTAAATGCATTCCTTCCCTCACATCCAGCAAGTCCTATCTATTCTATCTCCTACATGTGTCTCAAATCCATTTACTTCTCTCAATTGCCACCATGCTTGTCTCAAAACTACTATTTCACACCTGGATCACTGCAGGAAATCTATATCTGGTCTCTAAACCGTTCTTGAACCTCTCCAACCCTATCTCCACACAGCAGCAACAATTTCCTTCTTAAAGCAAATTGAACCGAATGAAATGAAAAATCAAATCACCTCCTGCTTAAGCCCAAGAGTCTTCTCAACATACTCCTTTCTCATCCTTTAGGTCACAAATGAAGTGACATCACAAAGATGTCTTCCCTGATCTACTTAAGGAGGTTTCCCATTGCCCCCCAACTCCCTCCTGTCCCTGCATAATCTCTTCTATCACCAACCCTGTATGTTTTCCTTTAGAGTACTTATCACAATTTATAATTATTTTACTTATTTTGTTTACTTGTTCTTTGTAGTCTCAGTAGACTAAACCCATGAAAATAAAGGACTGTGTCTTCTTATTCAACAATATAAGGCTAACACTGAGCACAGTGCCTGGGACATAGCTAACATATTTGCTGAGAGAATGAAGGCAAGAATCAATCAATCTAGGCAGTGCACTAAAAGTGTAATGAAAAACATGGAATGTGTGAGGTATACAGGAGAGTGGTCAAGAGTGCAGGCACTGGAGTAAGACTGCCTGGTTTCATATGCCATATCTCTGTCACTTAATAGCTGCACAACCTTAGGCAAGTTACACCACTATATAACAATTTCTTCATCTGTAAAATGGAGTCAATAACAGTACCTATCCTTCTAGAGATACCATAAGATTTAATGGAGCAAATGCATATAAAGTGCCTAGCGTAGTACCTGCACATAATAAACAATAGACGTCAGCTGCCATTTACATCCCTCAAGGAGTGACTTTAAGACATGGCTAACAGAGTTATTTCTAACTAGATGAACTACATTGAACATCTTAATAACTATTACATTAAAGTCATTAGGAATGTCTCCTTTCTGGCTATTAAGCCAAATAGTCCCTTTAGTCCATATATTAGTCTAAATAATAAGATGCTTCTTAAGGGTCCTCTGAACATAAAGGATGATTCTGACTTTAAAGAGTTTATCATCTGGAAGAATAAATAAATATAAATATGAGATGTTTCATGAAATCAATATTCTATGTGATTATTGTCCACTTTATGTTTACAATGGTACTTTAATAATGCTCATTATTTTAAACACGTAACAGACTAATAACTTCCATTTGTGCATTTACTTTATATATATATCTGCTTATAAATAATCCTCTTCATTTTACCAATGAGGGAATTCACATTTACAGAGTTTATATGCCTTGCCCAAGGTCACAGAGACCATCGCTGAAAGACATTAATTTCTATTTTGAATTCCTCTAAGATGAGGTTAGAGAGCTTCTTACACTGACATGCAAATGTAATTGCTATTTTATAAAGGCTTAATAACAATCTGGGTAGCAATACTTCCACACATCTAAAACTAACTGGCCTGTTGTGTTTTTGTAGAGTAAATTTACAGGTGGTTTTAATTTTCTTGTTTGCACTTAGTGTATTTTACAAGTTCTACAATAAACGTATGTTACTTTTAGAACTAAAAAATGACATTTTTTTTTTAAATTCTTACCATACAAGCTTGACTTAGCCGATACTCCATAGTTAGTACTTCTTGCAAGGTCTTTGAAGACCCCTCCATGAGTTGCCTTAGTGTGATCTTTAGAGATGTTGGAGACATTTTATTAATTACCTTTTGGAGGAAAAAATTTACTACTGTTAGTCCAATAGTTCCTTTATTGTCTATAATAAATGGGCAGAGTGTCTATGTAAATAATATTAAAATATGCCAAAATCTCATAAAAGATTATACCCTAGCTTAATCCTGCCAAAGCACCAAACAAAACTTTTCTAATCTGCTACAAAAACAAAACATCATTCCACAAGTGGAATAAATTCTGTAGCTGTGACTAATAAAATAAATCCATATTTGTAGTTTGCTTAGCATAAATTATGCCAATTGGCTAAGCAAACAGCAATTACACTTAAATAAAATCAAT
The DNA here is from genome assembly GCF_000001405.40 of Homo sapiens. Lineage (NCBI taxonomy): Eukaryota > Metazoa > Chordata > Mammalia > Primates > Hominidae > Homo > Homo sapiens. The sequence goes on from NC_000002.12 coordinate 190,213,383, forward strand.
ACACACCTTACAAACCAATCATATTCATGGAGTATAGAAAATAACGCATACAGTGGTCCATTTCCGGGACAAAGTGTCTTGAATCGGCATAGGTCAGCAAACTACAGAAGAAACAGGATACTAGGCCCCTGCTTCAATAGCCAATGCCTGCTTGTCAGCCTCCCGCTTCGTCCCCTTTTCCCCCACTTAGCTGCCCTCACCCGAACCAAAGAAGTTTAGCCTAGATACTAGTCTGCAAAATAGCTCACTTTGTCTGTTCTTATCATCCTGCCCAGCTACTTAGGTCATAAGTCAAATACTTCAAGAGCCCCTGAACTAACTAGGATTGCAATGCATTGTGGGCTGCAACAAAATGCAGCAAGACAACCCTAAAAAAAAACACCTAAAGCTGCTACCTAACACTCAACAGGTGACGTCCGGGATGACTGTGACCCTATAGGACTCAGCCTATAAGGAACCGGGGGAGGGACCTGTGCACTAGGAGGTTAAGTTGCTTGTTAAAACTGTGCCGGGTGTGCCTGCACACCAGACACCCAATCTTGCAAGACCGTCATTAAAAGTCTCGCTTTTGCTACTGTCCGGGTCTCTGAGTCCATTCTGTGGGTTTGGACGGGTGAATTGTTTCTCACAACCTGGTGGCCCATACGGCTATCTCTGTGCCTGTATGGAGTTAAGACTCCAGCCGAGAAGGGAGACGCACCCCACTTGATTTATGTGGCCTGCTCTGGACATCTTGGCTCCCCGCAGAAGCCACAGACAAACCCAAGTCTTGTTCAGGAGACAGCGGAGGTGACACAAGGAGAAAAGCAGGCACCATGGCAACCAGCCAACCTCCTGCATGATCCAAGGTAGGAAAGTTGGATTATCAGTACTGCCTTGGTATTGGGGCATTTTCAGAGAACCCGGAGTGTGCAAGAAACCTCCAGTAAGGGGGGCTGAGTACACAGCAAAAACCTGACACAGAGACTAAGTGAAAATGGGAAACAGGAATTCTAGGCCTACAGAACAAAGGAAAGAGCGAACTAAAAAGACCCCCTCTGACATTCTCCCAGATAGTCCCTTGGGGAGAATGTTGCAGGTTTGAATGGATAATCCCCAAACCAGGAACAAGGAAAAGCAAAAGATGATAGAGTATTGCTGTTTTATCTGGCCCAAAAAGCCCATTTGTCAGCCTTTGGTCTTTTGGCCTAAGTTTGGCTCAGATGAGGACTGGGTGTGCCAAGCTTTAATTCTCTACGTGAATGATAAAACCCATACTCACAGAGGATGTGGGTTATGTTCTTTGTTGGATTAGTGATTTAACCCCATGTTCCCCCTTAAAGAGGAAGAGCACAGTAAAGAGCCCTCACCCAGTGAAAAGCCCTGGGATCCCCAACACGCTTGCCCCTCCCCCAAACATCTCACAAGGTAGAGGACAGGGAGATCGGGGGCAAGAGGAAGGTCGAGGAAAGAGGAATCTGGGGATCATGAAGGAGCTAAACCCAGTGCTCCCTTAAATCCTTATCCAAACTTGAGGAAAGAATTAGAACAATGTAAGAAGGACATTGAGAATTTCCCTATTTCTTCTGAACAGTAGACGTCTAATAAGTACTCTCTTAGAGAAGTCCCTATGGGACAGGGAGGAGTTGGGTTTGTGAATGCACCTCTAACAAGTACTGAGGTTAGGAATTTTAAAAAGGAAATGAGGCCATTCTTGGAAGATCCCCTCGGTTTAGCAGAGCAAACCTCAGCTTAGCAGAGATCCCCTCGGTTTAGCAGCTAGATCAATTTTTAGGACCCAATTTTTATACTTAGGCTGAGATGATGTCAATCATGAATATTGTGTTTACTGGGGAAGAGAGGGGAATAATTATAAGGGCAGCCATAACCATTTGGGAAAGACAGCGTCCTCCCAGGCAAGAAGTCCTGCCAACTGAGCAGAAATTCCTAAATGCAGATCCTGGATGGGATAACAATAAAGAGATCGGGCCCAAATGCAGGACCTAAGGGAACTAATAATTAAAGGGATTAAAAAGTCCACTCCTAGGACATAAAATGTCTCAAAAGCATTTGAGATTCAACAACAAAAAAGGAGGAGACTCCCTCTGTGTTGCTGCAGAGGCTCAGTGATCAAATGCGAAAATATTCAGGATTAAATCCAGAGGACCCAGTAGGGCAAGGCCTTTAATTTTAAAGGTTAATTTTCTGACTAAAAGCTGGCCTGATATTACTAAGAAACTGCAAAAGGTTAATGGATGGAATGAAAAACCAATTAAGGAATTACTAAGGGAAGCTCAGAAGGTTTCTGTAAGAAGAAAGGGGGAAACATCGATGAAAAGAAAGGAAATCAGAAAGATAAAGGGGAGGAAACAGCAAACGTAGAGGGCCAGAGAAAGAGTTAAGCTGCTGACCCTGAAGGCAAGGGAAAGCCTGGTGCACAGCTGTGTGTGTGGGAGCCACTGGACTAAGCAGCCAAGACAGGGAAGGCAGTGTAAGACACTGTGCAGGTGTGCTGGTGCCCAGAGAAAAAGAGTCAGAACTGTCTGTCAGACACGGGGGAGCCAGGGCACAGTTAAGGCTCAGCTCATGCCCAGAGAGAGAAAGAGGAAGAAACTGAGTTTGAGGGAAAAAGGAAACAGGGGATGACAGAAAGAGAAATAAAAGAAGAAAATGAGCAAGAGAGAGACTGGAAAAGACAAAGATCAAAGAGACACAGAAGGTGAGACTGGGGAGAAAAATAATGTAAAAGGAAGAAAGAGTACAAGAGGAGGTGAGAGGATGTGGAGAGATTGGCAGGGCTGGGGGAAGGTTCTAGAGGCTCAAGCAACAAGGAGGTGCAAGCAAAGGGTGCAGTGTGGCCACTGAGGCGGGACAGAGCCTGGGAACCGGGCGATGCAAATGAGAAAGGGATGTGGAGGACAGTTTAGGATCAGGAGCAGTGGGTTGCCTATGGATGGCTGTCAGAAGGCGGCAGAAAGGATTCAGATTATGGAAGGGTAAATGGATGAAATGACCATTAAGGTTTTGTTGTTGTTTTACTGAGAGGCTGTAAGTCCACCACGGGCAGCTGTCAGTAAGGCTGCAGAAGGTCTGGGGGGCTATATAAGTTAGATCAGAGGGTTGTAAACTCAAATGACTACAGGGCCAGTAAATGATGAGAAGGAGGGCTGCAGGGCTGTGTGGGGACTGTGGCTAACTGAAGAGGGCACACCCTGTTAAAGGGGCCACAGCTGCTCAGCTGTGATGCCAAACTGTCTGCTTTGTCAGAGGCCAGAATTCTTTTTATCTAAAATGGGATTTTTAAATGCTGGTTATCAGTTCAAAAAACTTAAAAACCCAATAGAGGCAAAAGAGGATGCCAGTTTGCAATCCCTGAAGTAGAGAGAGCTCGTGCTGGGGAGAAGTCTGCCAAGACGCTTTGAGGTGGGATGTTTAAAAGTTCTGTTTCCCAGAGCTTGGCTGGGCTGGGGGAGGATCCCTGCAGCTGAGGAGGAGGAAAAGCCACTAAGTCCCCTCCCAGAGCGGGACA